>NC_000016.10:30692936-31008144 GCF_000001405.40 Homo sapiens
TTTTGAAATGGAGTCTCGCTCTGTTACCAGGCTGGAGTGCAATGGCGTGATCTCTGCTCACTGCAACCTCCGCCTCCTGGGTTCAAGCAATTCTCCTGCCTCATCCTCCCGAGTAGCTGGGACTACAGATGCCTGCCACCACACCTGGCTAATTTTTGTATTTTTAGTAGAGACGGAGTTTCACCATGTTGGCCAGGATGGTCTCGATTTCTTGACCTCGTGCTCCACCTGCCTCTGCCTCCCAAAGTGCTGGGATTACAGACATGAGCCACCGCACCCAGCCTTGTTTTGCCCAGGCTGGAGTGCAGTGGCATGATCTCTGCTCATTGCAACCTCTGCTTCCTGGTTCAAGCGATTCTCCTGCCTTAGCCTCCCGAATAGCTGGGATTACAGGCGTGAGCCACCACACCCAGCTAATTTTGGTATTTTTAGTAGAGACAGGGCTTCACCATGTTGGCCACGGCTGGTCTCGAACTCTTGACCTCAGGCGATCTGCCTGCCTTGGCCTTCCAAAGTGCTGGGATTACAGGTGTGAGCCACCAGCCTGGCTGTGAGTTCACTTTGGATGGAGGAGTCCAAGGTTCCTAGGGAGCCTCCTGCATGAGGATTCCAGGAGTTAGAGGATTCTGAGCTGGGGATAGTCCTTAAGAGATGGTAGTTGGAATAAACATGGAAATCATGAGAAATTACTGGGGCCTTAGAGATTAATGCCCCTTTTTTTTCCCCTGAGATGTCTTTAGGCAAATCACCAGAAATGCTTATATGGGAGTGCTTTCCAGTTACAACCTGGCTTCTCCACCTCACCTTGATGGTTCTGTAACCCCCAGCCACTAATAGCAATGGAAGGTCCATTAAAGGGAGGAGTCCTGGAAGCTGAAGCTTCATTAGTTTTACAATATCTGCCTCAGCCCTTGAAGACTTGGATGAGAGGAGGCAGTTGAGGCAAGAATCCTTAGCAGCCCCACCAATTGATGGAGGGGGCCAGAAGTGTCCTGTGGGGAGAGGGAGAAGGAAAGGGAGTGGCCAGGGAGGTGGGAGGAGCCTGGGAAAGACTGGAATCACAGAAGGAACCATGTTTAGAGGATCATCATCACTAGCAATCAACGGCCAAGTTCTGCTAATTTTTCCTTTAGTCTCTACCCCCATCTCCACTGCCACCTCCTGGCCAACAGCTCCCATTACACACAGGTGACTGCTGGTATCCTCCCTGTCTTTAGCCTTACAGACATATCACGCATCTTGTTACATACATCACCCTTCATAAAGTGGAACATGGGTCATGCCAATCTTTTTTTTTTTTTTTTTGAGATGGAGTCTGGCTCTGTCGCCAGGCTGGAGTGCAGTGGCACGATCTCAGCTCACTGCAACCTCTGCCTCCCGGGTTCAAGCGATTCTCCTGCCTCAGCCTCCCGAGTAGCTGGGACTACAGGCGGGGGCCACCACGCCTGGCTAATATATATATATTTTTTGAGACAGAGTCTTGCTCTGTCGCCCAGGCTAGAGTGCAGTGGCGGTGGCGCAATCTTGGCTCACTGCAACCTCCGCCTCTCGGGTTCAAGCGATTCTTCTGCCTCAGCCTCTGGAGTAGCTGGGAGTACAAGTGCCTGCCACCACACCCGGCTAATTTTTGTATTTTTAGTAGAGATGATGGGGTTTCACCATGTTGGCCAGGATGGTCTCAATCTCTTGACCTCGTGATCCGCCCGCCTTGACCTCCCAAAGTGCTGGGATTACAGGTGTGAGCCACCGTGCCCGGCCTGGATCATGCCAATCTTTTGCTTAACAACTTTCAATAGCTCCCTGTCACTTCCAAACGAATGCCCCATACCTAGCCTAGCATGCTGGGCCCTTAGCCGCTTGGAGCTAGGTGATCTCTCCAACAGTGTCTCAACCCGCTCCCTCATAAAGAAGACAAGCTGGGGCCGGGTGTGGTAGCTCACGCCTGTAGTCCCAGCACTTTGGGAGGCTGAGACAGGAGGGTTGCTTGAGGCCAAGAGTTCAAGACCAACCTGGGCAACATAGCGAGACCTCCCACTTTCACTACAAAAAAATAAAAAATAGCCAGGCCTGGTGGTGTGCACCTGTAGTCTCAGCTACTTGGAAGGCTGAGGTGGGAGGATCACCTGAGCCCAGGAGGTTGAGGCTGCAGTGAGCTATGATCGCACCACTGCACTCCAGACTGGGGCACAAGCTGATTCACTGTCCCCCATTCCCCGCCCTCCTCCGGCAACCATCAGCCTTGTGGAGGCTGTGTCATCTTCCTGGAGTGCCTGCCTTCATGCCTAAATTTTTCAAGGCCAGGCTCAAATGATACTTCCCTAGGAAGCCTTCCCTGATACCCCACTGGGTATCCAACCTGACCCTTGGAGAGTTCCTTGACCACCCTTCTTTTGAGACACCGCAACACTGCCATGCCTTTTACCAAGCTCACAGCTCATCCTGCAATGAGACTAAGTTCTTAAGAGCAGGGACTGTGCCATCTTCCCTCCTCTCTCCCACTGCACACAGCACAGGGCCAGATAGGAAACAGGCAGAGGAAATGCTGGTTAGGAGAACATGCTCGTTGACACGCTTGTGTATAAACAAGAGGTCACAAGTTTAACTGCCTTTAGGTGCCAGATATGACAAATGTGTTAAGTTGCCCCGTGCAAAACAATTGGGAATGGTGGGGCCTACGGCACATCGGAGACGTCATTCTCTTGCCTGAAGTAATTTTTCTTTTCTTTTTTTTTTTTGAGATGGAGTTTTGCTCTTGTTGCCCAGGCTGGAGTGCAATGGCGTGATCTTGGCTCACCGCAATCTCTGCCTCCCAAGTTCAAGCAATTCTCCTACTTCAGCCTCCCGAATAGCTGGGATTACAGACATGCGCCACCACACCTGGCTAATTTTGTATTTTTAGTAGAGACGGGGTTTCTCCACGTTGGTCAGGCTGGTCTCGAACTCCCGACCTCAGGTGATCCACCTGCCTCGGCATCCCAAAGTGTTGGGATTACAGGCGTGAGCCACCGTGCCTGGCTTCCTGAAGTTTTAATAATACCCAGAACATGAAAACACTGTGTAAAGCAGCTGGGCGTGGTGACTCAAGCCTGTAGTACCAGCACTTTGGGAGGCTGAGGCAGGCAGATCACCTGAGTCCAGGAGTTCGAGACCAGCCTGGCCAACATGGTGAAACCCCGTCTCTAGGCCAGGCGTGGTAGCTCACGCCTGTAATCCCAGTACTTTGGGAGGCCCAGGTGGGCGGATCACGAGGTCAGGAGATCGAGACCATCCTGGCTAACACGGTGAAACCCCGTCTCTACTAAAAATACAAAAAATTAGCCAGGCGTGGTGGCAGGCGCATGTAGTCCCAGCTACTCGGGAGGCTGAGGCAGGAGAATGGCATGAAACTGGGAGGCGGAGCTTGCAGTGAGCCGAGATTGAGCCACTGAACTCCAGCCTGGGGGACAGAGCAAGACTCCGTCTCAAAAAAAAAAAAAAAAAAAAAAAAGAAACCCCGGCTCTATTAAAAATACAAAAATTAGTTGGGCATGGTGGCCAGTGCCTGTAATCCCAGCTACTTGGGAGGCTGAGGCATAAGAATTGCTTGAACCCGGGAGGCAGAGGTTGCAGTGAGCAGAGATCGTGACACTGCACTCCAGCTTGGGGTAAAGAGCGAGACTCTGTCTCTAAAAACAAAAAACGAAAAACAAAAAACAAACTATATAAAGCAGCTGGGGGCGGTGGCTCACACCTGTAGTCACAGCACTTTGGGAGGCTAAGGTAGGTGGATCACCTGAGGTCAGGAGTTTGAGAGCAGCCTGGGCAACATGGTGAAACCCTGTCTCTACCAAAAATACAAAAATTAGCTGAGTGTGGTGGTGCACACCTGTAATCCCAGCTACTTGGGAGGGTGAGCCATGAGAATTGCTTGAGCCCGGGAGACAGAGGCTGCAGGGAGCCAAGATTGTGCCATTGCACTCCGGCCTGGGTGACAGAGCAAGACTATCTCAACAAATGAATACATAAATAAATACTATGTAAAGCACATCAGAAAGCTAACCTTGACCTTAAGATCATGGGTGTGAAACACTGAACTATAGTGAAATATACTCCACATTTAGGTAGTCCTTTAGAGCTTTTTTATTTTTTCATAATTTTAAAATTTTTAATTTACTGTAGAGACGACGTCTCACTATGTTACCCAGGCTGGTCTTGAGCTCCTGGCCTCAAGTGATCCTCCTGCCTTGGCCTCCCAAAGTGCTGGGGTTACAGGTGTGAGCCACCGCACCTGGCCCTTTAGATCTTTCAAAGCAATTTTACATCAGCAATTCTATCCTCACTTTACAGAGGAAACTGAAGCTCAGAAAGGTGAAGTTAATTGCTCAAGGTCACATAGCAAGGAGTTAATGGCACAAGGCTAGGTCCAATTCAGGCTCTGGCCTGGGATCCCCTCTTCTGGGGGTGATGGGAGGAGGGTCTAGAAAAGATGGGCATCATCCACTTTTCTTTCAACCCAAACTTCATCTGTAAAATGGGACCAACAATCCTCTTCGCAGGGAAGAGCTAAACTGAATGGAGGAAGGGGAGCTTCATCAGGGCTTCCTAACCTGGCCTCTTAGCGGGGGCTTTAGGTGGTAAAATTTTATGACAGCGAGTGCATTCTTGTGGCTTAGACTGCTTGGCTAGGAATCTTGACTTCAGGATCTGTCACTGTGTTTTAACGCCTGAGCCTCAATTCGTTTGTAAAATGGAGCAGTTAGGATTAAAAGAAATAATCAAGGCACCAAGTAGTGTCAGTAGAAGGTAGCTGTTATTTATTGTTCTATTCTGGGGTAAAGGTATCAGATTCTCAAAGGGATTCTTAATCTAGAAAGTTTGCGAAGAGATGGCAAAGGTGTTTGAAAGCTATCAGGAAACCATCCTCGCGTAAAACGAAGCAGCGCTACAGAAGTGGGCTGCCATGGGAATCGGGAGGCCCAGGTTCCACTGCTAACTTGCTGCAGCTTACTGGGTGATCTGTAAATAAAAAGGGAGGTGGCGGTGGTCCGAGCTGGCAGCCGCAATGCAGCCCCAGGTAGATCTAGGGGCAAACGGTAAAGGCGCTCCGAGGAAGGGCGAGCGCGCAGCCTCTGGGAGACTACACCTCCCAGGCTGCCTTGCGCACCGTGCTGCACCCTACGCTAGCACGCGAGCCTCCCCGTTCCCCCACCCTCCAGTTACTGTCTCTCGCGAGAAGACGGGCCGCGCCGGCGATAGCGATTCCGAGCGAGTGGTGGTGGTAGTGGTGGTGGTGGCGGCCGAGACGGCGGCGGCCATTTTGGTGAGGCCTCGGGAGCGGCAGCGGCGGTTCGCTGGGAGTAGCGTCTGCCCTTTTTCCCACCCACCGTCCGCATCTGTGTGCTGCGCGAAGAGGCAGTGGAGGCAAGGCGGTGGCAGTAGCCGCAGTCTCCAGGGGAGTTTAAAGGCCGCGAAGGCGGTGGCCAAGAGGGGGCCCTCCCCCCTCCTAGGCGGGAGGGGGGGTGGTGCGCACGCCCCCGAGGACGCAGGTAAGGAGAGGGAGACAAGATGGCGAACGCCCCACAGTTCCCCCTCCCATGACGGCTGACTGCGCGCGCATCTTTCCGCCACCGCCTCCCCCCCACCTTCCCGGGGTGCTGCGCGCGCACCCTCAGCCGGGGCCCCGGGGCCGGTGCGCGAGGCTGTCGGCGCGCGCCCATAGAGACAGACTGAGGGGGTCAGGCCGGCCGGCGCTGGGCCCCGGCGTGTCTCCTCTCCCTTCCCGCCCTTCTGCGCACGCGTGCCTGAGCGAGCGAGCGAGCGAGCGAGCCCTGAGAGGACGGACCCAGGTGCGCTCCTGCCCGCCCACCAACCCAGTCACCCCTCAGGGGCGCGCGGGAAGAGGAAGGGGGGCGTGGGACGAGTAGTCGGGGCGCGCGCCCACCACATCTAGCCGGGGGACCAGGACCTGGTGGCACGAACCCTCCCTTCTCTCAGCCTTTCGCGGTCGGGTGATGGGGGGGCTCCCTGACGGGCTTGGATGACGAGCTTCCCAGCCCCGCGACCCTTGTGTGCGTGGGCTCGGGTTCTGGCGGGAGCCCCTGGGCCGTGCGCGCAGCCGGCTCGCTCCGCCTCCAGCCGCGCACGCGCGGGCCCCTCCCCCGCCCGGCGCGCACGTTGGGTGGGGTGGGAGTCTGGAGGGGGCGGGGCTATCTCAGGGCTAGTGGCAACTTGGGCAGAGGTCAGGGGTCACGCGAGGTCAGTCCGTCGGGAGGGCTAGGGAGATGGTCACGAAACCTGAAGTCAAGAGTTAAGGCTTGTTGGCTTCTGGTGAGCTCGGGTCTTGGGAACGTGTGGCGGAGTAGGGAGTGAATCAAAGCCGGCACTGTGGTTTAGGAATTTCCTTAAACACTGGGGAAGCATTTCCGGGCCTCCTGCGGGTTCACACTGCCTGTTTCCGGCGCGTGGTTCTTGGCAGTGCGGCCTCTCGCTTTTGACTGCTCCTGAGTCTCCTTTTGCTGTGGTTCTTGTATTTGGGGAAGTGTCTCAAGGCGCAGGTATGGGATATACAGCGCCCTGCCCTGAATCCTGGGCGGATTTTCCTGTGACCAGCCTGTTTGTTGACTCTTCCCGGGAGTTCCACTCTCACTTCTGCGTTCAGCCCTCACTGGAAAGGCCCGCAGGCAGGTAGCACCTTTCTGAGGTTCTGGATGTGACAGCTTTTTTTTGCTGTATTTTTTTTTTGTCTTCCATTCTGTGGTTGGAGCCTTTACACTTAAAATTTTTGAACTTTCTTTCTTCACTCCTTTCCTGCTCCTGCCCCCAGGCAGGATCGTATGTCCCTCCGGAATTCACAAAACATGATTTGCATTTCCCTGAAATGTGAGATTTTCCTACTACTGTAGTTTTTCTGTTTCTAGTCTTTTAACTGATTTGGGTATATTTAAACGTCTCAAAAAACTGGAGTAAATAATACGCTTTGATGGATGTTTCAGGTGTGATTCCCTTCAGTACGGCGGCACCGTGGAAGTGCAGACTTTCACAGGGGGTGTGGTCTCAGCTCACACAGGTGAGGGATCTGCTACCATTTTGTGTGCTGATGCTAATGGGAGAAATGTTTGAGATAAAGCAATTATAGGTCCGTATTGGGGATTTTCACTCTAGAGAAGCATGGGAATGTTTGCATGTGATTTTTCTGTAGAGGGTTTGATTATAGTACAACAACAGAACTGAGGCTGTGGGTTGAGGAAAACGTGGTCAACCTGGCTCTACCAGGAAGAGTAGCAGGTTTTCCTTGGTTTTGGCATCAGACTGTGGATTGAAGCCCTCCTATCACTTTTTTACTGTGTAACCTTCCGCAAATCATAAGGTCTTAACTTCGTAACTTACAAAACAGATTATATTAGAATGTAAGCTACATTTAGGTCGGGAATCCTTTCTGCATGGCTATATCCGTTGTGTGTAGGAGGAAGTCAATATTTGTTATGCTGTGAAAAGCACTTGGTTTTTAAGGTAGGTGTGAGGATTATAGAACACATCAAACAGGTACTAAAAGTATCTTATACATAGTAAGTGCTCAAGAAATGTAACCTGTAATTTCTGTGTTTCTCTTTATTCAGTGTTATTTCTGGTTTTTTAAAAATACTTTTTCATCCCCTTTAACTGCATTTCTGTCTTTTTTTTTTTTTTTAACCCTACTTTAGGTGCTCCAGAGGCTGGTGGACCTGAGCGGAGGCTGGGACGCCCTGGTGGGCCCCGGGCCCTGGAAGGCGGGTCCCGGTGGCCGGTGGCCCAGAATGAGGCCAGCTCCCAGCATGCCCTGCAGCCGGACGCCAGCCCCTCGGCCAGCAGTACTGGTGATAACAACCCAGTCATTCTTCAGGCATCCAAGGGGGAGCCTGGGAGTGGGACCATGCAGAGCAGCCCCTCCCCTGCTCACCCTCAGCTCCCAGTCCTACAGACACAGGTTTGAAAGTGGGAAGAGTTCCTTCTCTGCTTCTGCTTTGTGGATTGTTGAGTGTGAGGCAGAAGAAATGTGGCAGGGGAATATTTGTGGAGAGTTTTGGAGAATCTTTGGTGCTCGGGGGCTGGGCTGTAGTATATCAGGTCTGTTGGATACTCACATTCCATTTAACATTAGTGTAATATTATCTCCAAGAGTGTAAAAGCGCCTCGTTACCTGAAAAAGGTTGAATTAGGCTAGGCTGGAAATGGAGGTCGTGGCACCATGCTTCTAATACCATACGCTTTAAGAATAGTTTAACTTCTATCAGTACTGGAGTAGGATAAGCCTATGGATGGTGTGTAGTGTTCATTCCTTTCTCATACCAAGGAAGGGTGTGGGGTAGGAAAAAAAGCATGACTTTTAAACACATCTAGGTGTGTGTACAGTCAGCTTTCTATTTTAATTTTTTAAATTTTTCTATAAAAAGGGTTTCTTTATTGTGTCATCCTTGCACAGGGGCCATGCTAATCTTTTCTGTATCCTCCCAGTTTTAGTATATGTGTTGCCAAAGTGAGCAGTACAGTAAGCTTTTCATGTTTGTAAAGTTGGTATTTATAGTTTTCCTGAGAAACTGGGGAAATTTGTGACATACAGTCTTGTCATTTAGCCGAGGTAGGAATTTGAGTGGCGCAGTGTAAGGCTTATGTCCTGGAGTGAATTTGTGAATTCCCTGAGTATCCACCTTTCAGTAGGACTTTGTTTTCCATTTTTTTCTTTTCTTTTTTTTTTTTTTTGAAATGGAGTGTCTTTCAGCCAGGCTGGAATGCAATGGCGCGATCTCGGCTCACTGCAACCTCCGCCTCCTGATTTCAAACAGTTCTCCTGCCTCAGCCTTGCGAGTAGCTGGGATTATAGGCACCCACCATCATGCCTGGCTAGTTTTTATATTTTTGTAGAGATGGGGTTTCACCATCATGTTGGCCAGGCTGGTCTTGAACTCCTGACCTCAGGTGATCCACCCACCTTGGCCTCCCAAAGTATTAGGATTACAGGTGTGAGCCCCCAGGCCTGGCCTATTTTCCATTTCTTTCTTTCTTTTTTTTTTTTTTATTTTTAAGATGGAGTCTCGCTCTGTCACCAGGCTGAAATGCAGTGGTGTGATCTTGGCTCACTGCAACCTCCGCCTCCCGGGTTCAAACAATTCTTCTGCCTCAGCCTCCTGAGTAGCTGGGACTACAGGTGCGCGCCACCACGCCTGGCTAATTTTTGTGTTTTTAGTAGAGATGGGGTTTCACCATGTTTGCCAGGATGGTCTTCATCTTTGACCTCGTGATCCCCGCCTTACTCAGCCTCTCAAAAGTGCTGGAATGACAGGTGTGAACCACCGCGCCTGGCCCAGAGTTTCGCTTTTGTTGCCCAGGCTGGAGTGCAGTGGTGTGGTGTTGGCTCACTGCAACCTCCACCTCCTGGGTTCAAGTGATTCTCCTGCCTCAGCCTCTTGAGTAGCTAGGATTACAGGCGTCCGCCACCACGCCCAGCTAATTTTCTGTGTTTTTAGTAGAGATGGGGTTTCACCATGTAGGTTAGGCTGGTCTCAAACTCCTGACCTCTGGTAATCCACCCGCCTCAGCCTCCAAAAGTGCTAGGATTACAGGTGTGAGCCACCGTGCCCAGCCCTGTTTTCCACCCTCCTTCCCTCCCTCCCTCCCTTCCCTCCCTCCCTCCCTCCCTTCCCTGCCTTCCCTCCCTCCCTCCCTCCCTCCTTCCTTCCTTCCTTCCTTCTCTCCCTCCTTCCTTCTGAGTGCAATGGCACAATCTTGGCTTACTACAACCTCTGCCTCCTGGTTCAAGCAATTCTCTGCCTCAGACTCCTGAGTAGCTGGGATTACAGGCTCACGCCACCACACGTGGCTAATTTCTGTATTTTTAGTAGAGATGGGGTTTCACCATGTTGGTCAGGCTGGTCTGGAACTCCTGACCATGTGATCCGCCCGCCTCGGCCTCCCAAAGTCCACCGAGCCCAGCTTCCATTTCTTAATGCTTTTGCAGTACCTTGTAAAGTGACGTGTTGGGTGTTTGAGAACATTGGCTATGCCTGCAGCCCATGCCTGTCCAGTGAAGAGGTTAAGGTGGCCTGGGATTTATTGGTGGCTGTTGAATTTAGTGGTAGCTCACATTTATTGCATAAGTGAGTTTGCCACACTTGTTCTGAAAATGGAGGGTAAATAGGGAGTTGTTTATGTGCATGAAATCACTGAGGCTCTGAAACGATCAGAATTTGAAATCATATGCTATATATATATATATATATGTATGTATATAAATTTTTTTTTTCCTTTTCCTTTCCGAGACAGAGTCACCCTGTCATCCAAGCTGGAATGCAGTGGCGCGATCTCGGCTCACTGCAACCTCCGCCTCCCACGCCTCCCAGGTTCAAGCGATTCTCGTGCCTCAACCTCCTGAGTAGCTGGGATTACAGGCTCCCGCCACCACGCCCAGCTAATTTTTGTATTTTCAGTAGAGACGGGGTTTCACCATGTTGGCCAGGTTGGTCTCAAACTCCTGACCTCAGGTGATCCACCCACCTTAGCCTCCCAAAGTGCTGGGATCACAAGCATGAGCCACCACCCCCGGCCTATATATATATATATTTTTAAGTTTGGGAACTGTGTAAATGTCAGGACATAATTCTTGCATGTCAAGCATCTATAAACTTGGCTCTGCCATCTTGAGTCCCTTATTAAAACTTTATCCCAAGGCCGGGCGTGGTGGCTCACGCCTGTAATCCCAGCACTTTGGGAGGCTGAGGTGGGCGGATCATGAGGTCAGGAGATCGAGACCATCCTGGCTAACGTGGTGAAACCCTGTCTCTACTAAAAATACAAAAAAATTAGCTGGGCATAGTGGCGGGCGCCTGTAGTCCCAGCTGCTCAGGAGGCTGAGGCAGGAGAATGGCATGAACCCGGGAGGCGGAGCTTGCGGTGAGCCGAGATCGCGCCACTGCACTCCAGCCTGGGCGACAGAGCGAGACTCCATCTCAAAAAAATAAAATAAAAACTTTATCCCGAACGTTTGTGTTTATGAAAATAAGGTTTATACCTTACTCTACACAGTTTTTTCTTGTGAAGATCGGATGAAATAATGTATCTAAAACACTCAGCACAGTGCGAAGCATTTATTTTCTCCATCATTTTCCTCTTTTCTAGATGGTGTCGGACGGCATGACAGGCAGCAATCCTGTGTCCCCTGCCTCATCCAGTTCCCCAGCCTCTAGTGGGGCAGGCGGCATCTCCCCGCAGCACATAGCTCAAGATTCCTCACTGGATGGACCTCCAGGCCCCCCAGATGGTGCCACAGTGCCCCTGGAGGGGTTCAGCTTATCCCAGGCTGCTGACCTGGCTAACAAGGGCCCGAAGTGGGAGAAGAGCCATGCCGAAATTGCAGAACAGGCCAAGCATGTACGTATTAGAAAGGCTTATGAAGATTCTTGGGAGTTATCTTCCGTAAACTCCCACGTCCTCTTGAGTATTTTATGTTTCTTTTCTTTTTTGTCATGGATTTAGGGTATAGGTTCTGCCTTAATGTATATGATCGTGAGCAAACTGCTTGAATATTGAGTCTCATTTTCCTTGCTGTAAATAAAATAGGAATGATATAATAGTTTATAGGCTATTAAGAGGTTTAAGTTATAGGAGCAAGGCCAGGCGCAGTGGCTCACACCTGTAATCCTGGCACTTTGGGAGGCTGAGACAGGCAGATCTCTTGAGCCCAGGAGTTCAAGACCAGACTGGGCAATGTGGTAAAACCCCATCTCTGTAAAAAGTACAAAAAATTAGCTGGGTATAGTCGCACATGCCTGTAGCAGTCGCAGCCACCCAGGAGCCTGAGTTGAGAGGATCACCTGAGCCCAGGAGGTCAGGGCTGCAGTGAGCCACGATTATGCCACTGCACTCCAGCCTGAGCAACCGAGTAAGATCCTGTCTCAAAAAAAAAGGAGAAAATAGACACAAAAGCACTTTGTAAACTGTGATGCTCTTAAGATTTACTGGTTTCTATTTATTTCTATCGTGCAGTCTGTATTACATTTATCCAGTGGTAAGTGTGGTCTCTGGGCCAGCAGCATCAGCATCACCTGGGAACTTAGTAGAAACACAAATTCTTTGCCGGGCGTGGTGGCTCATGCCTGTAATCCCAGCACTTTGGGAGGCCGAGGCGGGTGGATCACCTGAGGTCAGGAGTTCGAGACCAGCCTGGCCAACGTGGCAAAATCCCATCTCTGCTAAAAATACAAAAATTAGCCTGGCGTGGTGGCGCAGGCCTGTAGTCCTAGCTACTCAGGAAGCTGAGGCAGGGAAATTGCTTGAACTGGGAACCGGAGGTTGCAGTGACCTGAGATGATGCCACTGCACACCAGCCTGGGTAACAGTGAGACTCTGTCTCAAAAAAAAATGCAAATTCTTGGTACCTCTCACCCACCGACCCATTTGAAACTATGAGGGTAGGGCCCAGCAATGTTTTTATTTTTTATTTTTATTTTTATTTTATTTATTTATTTTGTTGAGACGGAGTCTCGCTCTGTCGCCCAGGCTGGAGTGCAGTGGCAGAATTTTGGCTCACTGCAAGCTCCGCCTCCCGGGTTCACAGCCATTCTCTGGCCTCAGCCTCCTGAGTAGCTAGGACTACAGGCGCCCGCCATCACACCCGGCTAAATTTTTTGTATTTTTAGTAGAGATGGGGTTTCACCATGTTGGCGGGATGGTCTTGATCTCTTGACCTTGTGATCTGCCAGCCTCGGCCTCTGAAAGTGCTGGGATTACAGGCATGAGCCACTGCGCCCGGCCACAATTGGGTTTTTTTTTTTTTCCTTGAGACGGAGTCTCAGTCTTTCGCTGAGGCTGGAGTGCAGTGGCATGATCTCGGCTCACTGCAAGCTCCGCCTCCTGGGTTCACGCCATTCTCCTGCCTCAGCCTCCCGAGTAGCTGGGACTAAGCGCTCGCCACTATGCCTGGCTAATTTTTTGTGTTTTTAGTAGACACGGGGTTTCACCGTTTTAGCCAAGATGGTCTCGATCTCCTGACCTTGTGATCCACCCGCCTTGGCCTCCCAAAGTGCTGGGATTACAGGTGTGAGCACAACCTGTTTCTAAAAGTCCTCCAGATGATTCCGGTGCCTCCTCAAGTTTGAGAGCAGCTGGTCTAATATCCACGTCTTTCTTGATGTTTCCTTCACTGTCAGGCCATTTAGTCCTGTCTGGTCTCTGGCTGTCATTTTCTCTGATTTAGTTTTTATCAGGAGAGGACAGAAATAACAAAGACAGAGGCTGGGTGCGGTGGTTTTCGCCTATAATCTGAGCATTTTGGGAATCCCAGGCAGGCGGATTGCTTAAACCCAGGAGTTCCAGACCAGCCTTGACATTGTGAAACCTCGCCCCTACGAAAAATACAAAAAAATTAGCTGGGCATGGTTGCATGTGCCTATAGTCAGTCTCAGCTACCTGGGAGGCTGAGTTGGGAGGCTGAGTTGGGAAGATAACCTGAGCCTAGGCAGCAGAGTGAGACCCAGAAAAATCTCACTCAGATTTCTGAGTGAGATTCAGAAAAAGAAATAAGGCAGTTGTCCTGAATTTTTTGAGTCGTCTCTGTCAAAAAAATTTTAAATGCTTTTTAAATAAAAGACAATCAGTGTAGAAGCTTTAGTAAAAATGACCACTCTTTTTTACACCTAATCAGTGTTAAACATTTCACGTATAACGTTTCAGTATTTTTTACATAAACATATGCATTTTTACAAAAGTAGTATTTTTAAAAACAACAGTGTGTCAGTTGGGCATTATAGCATATTTCTAAGCTTAATGCATCATGAAAATACTCTGAGTAAGTAGAATTCTACAATGATGATGACCCCTTGTATCTAGAATCAAGAGGGAAGTATGTGTTCCCTACTCCTCTGGGAAGCTCCTCTTGGGATATGATTTCCCAAGTCTCTCCTATGTCTATGGGGTGTGGAGATTGTGTTAAATAATGGAAAGAGCATGAAATTTGCTGTCTGGAGTCCTCAGACCTATTTTTGATTCACATTTTCTATTACTTTCTAGCTGTGTGATCTTGGGCAAATCACTTAATCTCCCTGATCTTTTTTCCTTCTTCATCTCCCTGATCTTTTTTCCCTTCTCTGAAGAGAGTATGATACCTGCCTGTAAGTTTGGTATGTGGACTAAACATAAGCATAACACACTCAGCCCACTTAGTGCTCAGGAATTCAGCCGTGGCAGTGAGATGGAGTGTGTGTTTAGAACTGTTGATTGATCTGGCTCTCCCTGATTAGGAGGCCGAGATCGAGACTCGGATTGCTGAGCTGCGGAAGGAGGGTTTCTGGTCACTGAAGAGGCTGCCTAAGGTGCCAGAGCCCCCTCGCCCCAAAGGTCACTGGGACTATTTGTGCGAAGAGATGCAGTGGCTCTCTGCTGACTTTGCTCAGGAGCGCCGTTGGAAACGGGGTGTGGCCCGGAAGGTAGGTCTTCCGCTGGGACTTCCTTCCTTTTCCTTTTCAGGTCTGTTCCTTCCCGGTTTGTTGGAAGGGGACCAGACAGAATGGTGTAGGCATTAAGAGCAAACTCTTGATTTTCCAGATTTCTTGGCCTTGATTATTTTCTTTGCCTTTGGGTGGGGAAGTCTGGCTTTGAGTGTTTTCACCCTGGGTCTTCATTCCCACAGGTGGTGCGCATGGTGATCCGGCACCACGAGGAGCAGCGGCAGAAAGAGGAACGGGCCCGGAGGGAGGAGCAGGCCAAGCTGCGTCGAATTGCTTCCACCATGGCCAAGGATGTCAGGCAGTTCTGGAGCAATGTGGAGAAGGTAGACAGTGGGGATCAGGAAAGGAAAATGGCCTTGGATTAGATTGGTAGATGGCGTGGTAGTAGGAATGATCAAAACTTCTTGAGGGAGTAAATATAATTTCAGGCAACTCTAATGACGTTTATGTTGTATGGATAAAAAAGTATAGTGGCAAAATATGGGTCCTGCCTTTGGGGATTGTTAATAGTTCTCCTTGACACCTCTAGGCCATCTGTCCCTTGCAGGGCATTTAGCATGTGTTTACTGAAATGTATTTGTGCCACTTAGCACATGCTTAAATTCCGTCAAAGTTCCCACTGCCTGTATAGTAAGTTGTAATTATTTCTTAAGTACTACCCAGTTTCCGTCTGTATTTTCGGTCTTGCCTCCTGCCATGTTCATTCCTTCTCCCTTCCACTCCACACCCACCTTTCTTTTGTATATCTCTGTCCATTTACACATAGACTTTATGCTGCTGGGAATGCTTTTTTCCTCATGTGTACTTAGGGAACAGCCACCTATTTTTTAATTGTCTTGGACAGAGTCTTGCTGTGTCTCCTAGGCTGGAGTGCAGTGGTACGATCACAGCTCACTGCATCCTCAACCTCCTGGGCTCACGCGATCTTCCTGCCTCGATCTCCCAAGTATCTGGGACTACAGGCGCGTGCTACCACATCTTGCTAATTAAAAAAATTCTTTTTAATTTCTTTTTTTTTAATTTTTTTGTGAAACAGAGTCTCACCCCGTCACCTAGGGCAGTGGCGCAATCTTGGCTCACTGCAACCTCTGCCTCCCAGGCTCAAGTGATTCTCCTGCCTCAGGCTCTGGAGTAGCTGGGATTACAGGCATGTGCCACTATGTCTGGCTAATTTTTGTATTTTTAGTAGAGACAGGGTTTTGCTGTGTTGGCCAGGCTGGTCTTGAACTCCTGACCTCAGGTTATCCACTCGCCCCAGCCTCTCAAAGTGCTGGGATTATAGACGTGAGCCACCGCACCTGGCCTAAAAATATTTTTTTGTGGAGACAAGGTCTCGCTGTTACATACCAAGCTGATCTTGAATTCCTAGGCTCAAGCGATCCTCTCACTTTGGCCTCCCAAAGTGTGAGCCACTATGCCTGGCTTCACCTACCTGTTTTTTTGTTTTTGAGACGGAGTCTCGCTTTGTTCCCAGGCTGGAGTGCAGTGGTGCAATCTGGGCTTACTGCAACCTCTGCCTCCCAGGTTCAAGCGATTCTCCTGCCTCTGCCTCCGGAGTAGCTGAGTTTACAGGTGCCCGCCACCACGCCTGGCTAATTTTTTATTTTTAGTAGAGATGGGGGTTTCACCATGTCGGTCAGGCTGGTCTCGAACTCCTGACCTCACGTGATCCTCCCACTTCAGCCTTCCAAAGTGCTGAGAATACAGGCATGAGCCACTGTGCCTGGCCCACCTACCTATTTTTTGAGACCCAGTTCCAGCTGGGTGTGGTGATGCATGCCTGTAGTTCCACCTACGTGGGAGGGTGAGGCAGGAGGATCATTTGAGCCCAGGAGTTTGACACTAGTCTGGCCAACATAGTGAGATCTCATCTCTTTAAAAAAAAAAAAAAATCCAGCTTCAGATTGCAAACCTTCCCTCCACCTGAGGCGAAGCTGGCTCTTCTTCCTGCATGCTCCCTTTGTGCTTCCTTTAGACCATAGTGAGCCCCTAAGGTTATTTAGTTTTACTTTCCTAAGAGGCCAGCCCAGGATCTGGTTAAAGAAGGTCTCCCTAAACATCGGGTAAAAGTACATAAATAAAATGGTTATCTTGGTGAGCAGTCCCTTTCACATCTGTGGCAGGTGGTGCAATTCAAGCAACAGTCCCGGCTTGAGGAAAAGCGCAAAAAAGCCCTGGACCTGCATTTGGACTTCATTGTGGGGCAAACTGAAAAGTACTCGGACCTTCTGTCTCAGAGCCTCAACCAGCCATTAACCTCCAGCAAAGCAGGCTCTTCCCCTTGCCTCGGCTCTTCCTCAGCTGCCTCCAGTCCTCCACCCCCTGCTTCTCGCCTGGATGATGAAGGTGTGTGTTCTCTTTGGTCCTGTTACTCTTCCTCATGTACCCTTTCCAGAGCTGAAAAACCCACCCTGTGGCTTGCAGGGCCCGTGGACTTTGTGACCTTGTTCTCCTGCTATAGATGGGGACTTTCAACCCCAAGAGGATGAGGAAGAGGATGATGAGGAAACGATTGAAGTTGAAGAACAACAGGAAGGCAATGATGCAGAGGCCCAGAGGCGTGAGATTGAGCTGCTTCGCCGTGAGGGAGAATTGCCACTGGAAGAGCTGCTCCGTTCCCTTCCCCCTCAGCTGTTGGAAGGGCCTTCCAGCCCCTCTCAAACCCCCTCATCTCATGATAGTGACACCCGAGATGGGCCTGAAGAAGGTGCTGAAGAAGAGCCCCCTCAGGTGTTGGAGGTATAGGCAGAAGGAGCAGAGGGAGGGTTCAGAGGGGGAACAGAGGGAGAGGTTCAGGGTCTGAGTTCCGGGCTGTGAGGTTGGTTATGAGTTTTAGGAGTTCTGCTAGTAATGGACATTTGGGCTCTTTGGGGATGACTGGGGAAGAATCTGTTTGGGGCAAGTTGCATTTTGTGATTGGCAGGTTTTGGCGCTATAGTGGAAGAGCGTATTGCACTTTCCTCTTTAAATTGCTGTGTGGTCTTGAAAAAGTACTTCCTCTGACCGTTACTTGCCACTTCTCTGAACATGCCCTAATGTTCCCTTATTGGCTTACAGGTTGGAAGCTGGCATGGTACCCTTAAGTCTTTTCTGTTTCTCCATATGTCTCAAGTGCATGGGGAAGTGTTGGGTGCCTTTATTTGTTACCTGGCACTTTCACAGTTCCTTCCCCAGGCAGTGGGGCCAGGATTTGGTAGCTGGTGCTGAGAGAAAACCCTTGATTGTATTCTTGCCCTGGGATTATACCAGTGGCAACTGTCACTCAATGGGACAGTGATTCTCCTGTGACACCTTTTTCAAGTTTGTGCCATTCTTCTGCTACTGTAACCTTAGACCCTTCCCTTTTTTATCTTTTGCCATACAGATAAAGCCCCCACCCTCTGCTGTCACACAGCGCAACAAACAGCCTTGGCATCCAGATGAAGATGATGAAGAGTTTACTGCCAACGAAGAGGAAGGTCAGGGCTGTTCGGTTTGTCCTATTGCCCCTTACCCCTTGAATGAATTGTCTGGACCTAACCTTTCAGGCTTTCTCATCTGTTTCATTTGGACTGTGTCCTGTGCCTCTAGCCTCTATCCCTATTAATCTTGCTTCTGTCTCTTTCCTAGCGGAGGATGAAGAGGATACTATAGCAGCTGAGGAACAGTTGGAAGGGGAGGTGGATCATGCCATGGAGCTGAGCGAGTTGGCTCGAGAAGGTGACATTTACCAGACATTTTACTAAGCATCCACTTGGTGTCTGCGGTGTGCAGTACCAAGGATAAAGAGATGAATAAGGCACTTTGTATCCACCCTGGAGGAATTCCATGTCTAATGACTAAGACAGACTTGTAAACCAGTAATGATAAGTAGAAAGTGATGAGTGCTTATGATAGAAGTTTAAATGGTGATGTGGGAGTGAAATGGAGGGAAGAGCTAATGTAGGAAGATACTGACAGCATTTGACCTGGACCTTGAGAGGCTCACCAGGTTGATAATGTTCTTCCCAATTCCCATGGTACTTCCCCCAGGTTGTGGGGCTTGGCTTTGCTAGCTGATGCTGAAAGTAAGCTCTTTTGCCTCCCCTCAGACCTGGGCCTAGCAGTATCTACAGAGACCTAGGTAAAATTAACTGGTACTACTCAGACCTCCCCTTCTCCCTCCCCTCAGAGCAACCAAAAGCTTTTTGTTTCTCTTCCAGGTGAGCTTTCCATGGAGGAGCTATTGCAGCAGTATGCAGGAGCCTATGCCCCAGGCTCTGGGAGCAGTGAAGATGAGGATGAAGATGAGGTTGATGCTAATAGCTCTGACTGTGAACCAGAGGGGCCCGTGGAAGCGGAAGAGCCTCCTCAGGAGGATAGTAGCAGTCAGTCAGGTGAATATGTGGTCATGAAGCAGGAGCTGGGGAGGGTGGCCATTGGAAGAGCAGGTATGATGAGCAGTAAGCCTTGGTCTTACCCTTTAGACTCTGTGGAGGACCGGAGTGAGGATGAGGAAGATGAACATTCAGAGGAGGAAGAAACAAGTGGAAGTTCAGCATCAGAGGAATCTGAGTCTGAAGAGTCTGAGGATGCCCAATCACAGAGCCAAGCAGATGAAGAGGAGGAAGATGATGATTTTGGGGTGGAGTACTTGCTTGCCAGGGATGAAGAGCAGAGTGAGGCAGATGCAGGCAGTGGGCCTCCTACTCCAGGGCCCACTACTCTAGGTCCAAAGAAAGAAATTACTGACATTGCTGCAGCAGCTGAAAGTCTCCAGCCCAAGGGTTACACGCTGGCCACGACCCAGGTATCCCCAGGTTCTGGCCTCTCCTTTCTCATGTCTTGACTTTCTCATGTCCCCACAACAAATGCCTCATTTCCATTGTGTTACCTATATTTCCTCTCTGACAGGTAAAGACGCCCATTCCCCTGCTTCTGCGGGGCCAGCTCCGGGAGTACCAGCACATTGGGCTAGACTGGCTGGTTACCATGTATGAGAAGAAGCTTAATGGCATTCTTGCTGATGAGATGGGGCTTGGGAAGACCATCCAGACCATCTCTCTGCTTGCCCACTTGGCTTGTGAGAAAGGTAAGTAGGCAAGGCCCCTTCTTTTGTTCCCCCTAGTCTAGCTCCCTGGGAGCTTGTTCAGTGATGACTCCAGCTTCATTGACTTTTGCTTTATTGACTCCGGTCATTAACTGTATAGAGAGGACAGTGTAGGTGCTAGGATTCCTAGGAAGGGCCAAAGGGTGGCCAGGGTTATAACTGAGAAATCAGAACCACAGAATTTACATTTCCTTACCATCTCTGATTTTTTTGCCTAACAGGTAACTGGGGTCCCCATTTAATCATTGTTCCCACCAGCGTGATGTTGAACTGGGAGATGGAGTTGAAACGGTGGTGCCCCAGCTTTAAAATCCTCACTTACTATGGAGCCCAGAAAGAGAGGAAGCTCAAGCGGCAGGTTCGATGTTTCATGTGGTCACTTTCCTCCCATTGATGCCTCCTTTATTTTTAAGCCCTTTCCTCAGGTGAATTCCTTTCTCTCCTCTTTCTTTTTTAAAAAAAATTTTTTAATTTTTTGTAAAAATAAAGATGGGGTCTCACTATGTTACCCAAGCTGACCTTGAACACCTGGGCTCAAGAGATCCTCCCACCTCAACCTCCCAAAGTACTGAGACTATAGCTGTGAGCCACCGCACCCAGGCCCCTCCTCTTTCTGTCGCTCCATTCTTTTGCTGGGACTTTCTCTTTTCTTCCAACCTGATTACTGTCCTTTGAGGAGTTTAGCATGTCTTCCCTTTGCTCTCTTCTTTTCATCCCACTATCTGCTACTTTCTGTCTTTGATCCCTCAGGGCTGGACCAAGCCCAATGCCTTTCATGTGTGTATCACATCTTACAAGCTGGTGCTGCAGGACCACCAGGCCTTCCGTCGCAAGAACTGGCGCTATCTCATTCTGGATGAGGCGCAGAACATCAAGAACTTCAAGTCACAGCGCTGGCAGTCACTCCTCAACTTCAACAGGTGGAGATGGAGATGGGGATTCATGGGAGGGTTGACTTGGCTAGAAGGGAGGGCTGCCTGGGTTGAGGAATGTATCAGAATGCTCAGAAGGTTGGGAGCTTGCTGACCATACTCTCTCTGATTCTCTCTGTCTCTTTGCAGCCAGAGACGCCTGCTCCTGACAGGAACTCCCTTGCAGAACAGCCTCATGGAGCTGTGGTCCTTGATGCACTTTTTGATGCCCCATGTCTTCCAGTCTCATCGCGAGTTCAAGGAGTGGTTCTCTAATCCCCTAACTGGCATGATTGAGGGCAGCCAAGAGTATAATGAAGGTCTAGTCAAACGCCTCCACAAGGTAGGGCCTGCAACAGTTTGTCAGGGTATTGGGAATGGTAAGGAACCATTCCTGAGCACCTGGGCAGTGCCCAGGAAACCCTTGGGGAGAGGGAAGTCAGTGCCAGGCTAAACTCCTTTGTCAAGCTGCAGTGTTCTAGTGACTAACCCATTGCCAGATTGAGTGACCTCATCTTAGTCATCAATTCTGTTTTTTTTTTTTTTTGAGACTGAGTCTTGCTTTGTCGCCCAGGCTGGAGTGCAGTGTTGCAATATCCATTCACTGCAAACTCCGCCTTCTGGGTTCACACCATTCTCCTGCCTCAGCCTCCCGAGTAGCCAGGACTACAGGCACCCGCCACAAAGCCTGGCTAATTTTTTTTTTTTTTTTTTTGAGACAGAGTTCACTCTGTCGCCCAGGCTGGAGTGCAGTGGCGCGGTCTTGGCTCACTGCAAGCTTTGCCTCCCAGGTTCATGCCATTCTCCTGCTTCAGCCTCCCGAGTAGCTGGGACTAAAGGCGCCCACCACCACGCCGGGCTAATTTTTTGTATTTTTAGTAGAGACGGGGTTTCACCGTATTAGCCAGGATGGTCTCCATCTCCTGACCTCATGATCCGCCTGCCTCGGCCTCCCAAAGTGCTGGGATTATAGGCATGAGCCACCGCGCCCGGCCTACGCCCGGCTAATTTTTTGTATTTTTAGTAGAGTCGGAGTTTCACCGTGTTAGCCAGGATGGTCTCGATCTCCTGACCTCGTGATCTGCCTGCCTCGGCCTCCGAAAATCCTGGAATTAAAGGTGTGAGCCACCGTGCCGGGCTTTTTTTTTTTTGAGACAGAGTCTCTCTCTGTCACCCAGGCTGGAGTGCAGTGGCGTGATCTGGCTCATTGCAACCTCCACCTCCCAGGTTCAAGCGATTCTCCTGCCTCAGCCTCCTGAGTAGCTGGGGTTACAGGTCTGCACTACGATGCCTAGCTAATGTTTGTTATTTTTAGTAGAGGCGG
This sequence comes from Homo sapiens, assembly GCF_000001405.40. NCBI lineage: Eukaryota > Metazoa > Chordata > Mammalia > Primates > Hominidae > Homo > Homo sapiens. The sequence continues at coordinate 30,714,693 of NC_000016.10, forward strand.
ATTTCGCCATGTTGGCCAGGCTGGTCTCGAACTCCTGACCTTAAGTGATCCGCCCTGCCCCCGCTTGGCCTCCCAAAGTGTTGGGATTACAGGTGTGAGCCACCGTTCCCAGCCTGTTTGTTTTTTGTTTTTTTTTAAATGGTGATGTTTTTGTCCTTACTGTCTTTGAGTAGAATGGTACTGCTGATTGATCCCTGCTTGGATTTCTTCAACTTCATATTGTTGGTGTTTTCTCTCTCTGGTCTTCTTTGGCTCTTCCTTTTTCGCCCAACTTTTAAATCACAACATCTTTCAGCATTCTGATCTTTACTTTTTTTGTCTTCTCAGTCTGCATATCTCACAGGCCTACTCATTCCTAAGGCTTTGACTATTTCTTATGTGATAAAGACTCTCCAGTCTGTACTAAAATTCCTTGACTTTCTAGATCACTTGACCTGTATTTAAATTTCTGATTTGCTATCATTAATTGAGAGTTCCTCTTGAACTCAACACTGTTCTAAGCTAGACATCTCTGGCCTTATAGCCTGTTATTTCTACTTCATCTTGGTCAATCACTATCATTCGGTAAACTAAGCTAGAAAACAGGAAGTCGGCCGGGCGCGGTGGCTCACGCCTGTAATCCCAGCACTTTGGGAGGCTGAGGCAGGCGGATCACGAGGTCAGGACATCAACACCATCCTGGCTAAAATGGTGAAACCCCGTCTCTACTAAAAATACAAAAAATTAGCCGGGCGCGGTGGCGGGTGCCTGTAGTCCCAGCTACTCAGGAGGCTGAGGCAGGAGAATGGCATGAACCCGGGAGGCAGAGCTTGCAGTGAGCCAGGATTGCGCCACTGCACTCCAGCCTGGGTGACAGAGCGCAACTTTGTATCAAAAAAAAAAAAAAAAGAAAACAGGAAGTCTTCCTTAACTATTACTTTTCCTTCATTTATCTCTGTTCCTTTACTTCTTCCGTGTCACTGTAGACATTGATGACTGTGTCCTATTAGATTTTATCTTCTGAGATTACAGATTTGCCTTTTGTTTTATCTCCTGTCAAGGCCACAGTTTTTATTCTCCTCATCTTCTAGATTTATTTGCATCATCTTGTAAACTTAACAATTACTCCTCAAAATCTAGTTTGAGTTTTCTATTCTGCGTAGTTGGTCTGCCCACAGTGCTTCCTTATATCACTTCCTGTGTCATGGTATCATTTTGTGTCTGTCTCCTTCAGCAGACAGCAGATCCCTTGAGGGCTTGCAGTTGACTCATCTTTGTGTGGTTGGTGTCTGATATGGTGTGCCGTATGACTCCATTAGTGTTTGCTGAGGGGCTTAGGCTGGGGCTCGGTGCCTGAGTTCTCCTGTTTAGCCTCCAGCTTAATTTGCTTTTAGGTTTTGAGGCCTTTTTTACTGCGCCGAGTTAAGGTGGATGTTGAGAAGCAGATGCCCAAAAAGTACGAGCATGTTATCCGCTGCAGGCTCTCCAAGCGTCAACGCTGTCTCTATGATGACTTCATGGCACAGACCACGTAAGGGAGGAAGGAGGGTGGGCCCTGGGACTCGAGATTGGAGTGTAGGTGGCTGTTAGGACGTCTCATTTATTTTTCCTCTTTCCCCAGAACTAAGGAGACACTAGCCACAGGCCATTTCATGAGCGTCATCAACATTTTGATGCAGCTGAGAAAAGTTTGCAATCATCCAAATCTGTTCGACCCTCGACCGGTTACCTCCCCTTTCATCACCCCAGGCATCTGCTTCAGCACCGCCTCTCTGGTGCTAAGGGCCACGGATGTCCATCCCCTCCAGGTAAGTATGATTCCATTAATATGAAATGTAAAGGTTATCGGCATTACTCCAACCATGTACCTCTTTTCGTTAGACTGGGGTCTGACTTTTGCATCCTCATGACTCCCCTATCATTCCCTTAGTTTTATTGTACTCTAGCCATGTGACTTAACGATGGTTCAACTTAATATTTTTTTGACTTCACTGTGAATTTATCAGGATGTAACCCCATCGTAAATTGAGGAGCATCTGGACTTAGAATGATTCAGCTTACAATTTTTTACTTTTTGATGGGCTTATCAAGGGTATTAAAGGGTATTAAATTCTTTACTTGCTGAGGGTTTGTTGGAATGTAACCTCATTGTAAGTCCAGGAGCGTCTGCATCACATTTTGTTTATCCACTTATCTGTCAGTGGGCACTTGGATTCTTTCCACCTTTTGTCTCTTGTGAATAAGGCTATGAACATAGGTGTACAAATATCTCTGCTTTTTATTTTGGGTATTTACTTAACAGTGAAATTGCTGTAACATGGTAATTCTATTTCTGCATGTTGGGAAAACCTCCACTGTTTTCCATAGTAGCTGCATGTTTTACATTTCCACCCTAGCAGGGCACAAGTGTTCTAATTTCTCCACATCCTTGCCATTACCTGTTATTTCTTTTTTTTTAATTACACCCATATTAATGAGTGTGAATTGGTATTTCATTGTGGTTTTGGTTTGCATTTCCTTATTTCCTTAGTGATGAGTGCTGTCAAGGATCTTTTCATGTGCTCATTGGCCACTTGTCTATATTTTTGAAGAAATGTCTTTTGAAGATTTGTTAATTTTGGGTGTTTGTGTGGTGGTTGTTGAGCTGTAGGACTTCATTATATGCTTTGGAAATTAACCCATTATCAGATGTATGACTTGCAAATATTTTGTCACATTCCATAAGTTGCCTTTTCGCTATGTTGATAGTGTTTTTTGATGCACAAACACTTGTTTTTGGTGGTTTTTTTTTTCGAGACAAGGTCTATCTCTGTCACCCAGGCTAGAGTTCAGTGGTATGATCATAGCTTACTGCAGCCTTGAACTCCTGGGCTCAAATAGTCCTCCCGCCTCAGCCTTCCAACTAGCTGGGACCACGGGTATGCGCTACCAAGCCTGGCTTTTTTTTTTTTTTTTTTTTTGAGGCGGAGTCTCGCTCTGTCCTCAGGCTGGAGTGCAGTGGTGCCATCTTGGCTTACTGCAACCTCCGCCTCCCAAGTTCAAGCAATTTTCCACAGCCTCCCGAGTAGCTGGGGATACAGGCACGCACCACCACACCCAGCTAACTTTTGTGTTTTTAGTAGAGATGGGGTTTCACCATGTTTGCCAGGATGGTCTTCATCTCTTGACCTTGTGATCTGCCCACCTTGGCCTCCCAAAGTGCTGGGATTACAGATGTGAGCCACTGCACCCGGCCCTGCTGATTTTTTTTTTTTTTTTTAGTTTTCTGGAAGAGATGGTGTCTTGCCATGTCGCTCAGGCTGGTTTCAAACTCCTGGACGAGTAGCTGGAACTATATGCGTGCACCACTATGCCTGACTGATTTTTTTATTTTAATTTTTTTGTAGAGATGGGATGTTGATATGTTGCCTAGACTAGTCTTGAACTCCTGGCCTCAAGTGATCCTTCCGCCTTGGCCTCCCAAAGCCCTGGGATTATAGGCGTGAGCTACCACACCTAGTTTTAATTTTTTTTTGGGTGGGGGGGGCAGAGTTCTGCTCTTGTTGCCCAGGCTAGAGTGCAATGGCACAATCTCAGCTCATTGCAACCTCTGCCTCCCGGGTTCAAGTGATTCTCCTGCCTCAGCCTCCCGAGTAGCTGGGATTACGGGCATGCGCCACCACGCCCAGCTAATTTTTGTATTTTTAGTAGAGATGGGGTTTCGCCATGTTGGCCAGGCTGGTCTTGAAATCCTGACCTCAGGTGATCTGTCCACCTCGGCCTCCCAAAGTGCTGGGATTACAGGTGTGAGCCACTGTGCCTGGCTTTTTTTTTTTTTTTTAAGATGGAGTCTTACTCTGTCGCTCAGGCTGGAGTGCAGTGGTGCGATGTCAGCTCACTGTAACCTCCACCTCCTGGGTTCAAGTGATTCTCCTGCCTCACTCCCAAGTAACTGGGACTACAGGTGTGTGCCACCACTCCCAGCTAATTTTTGTATTTTTAGTAGAGATGAGGTTTCACCACGTTGCCCAGCTGGTCTCGAACGCCTGACCTCAGATAATCTGCCTGCCTTGGCCTCCTAATGTGCTGGGATTACAGGTGTGAGCCACTGCACCTGGCCCCCAGTTTTAAATTTTGATGTAGTTCAATTTATCAATTTTTTTCTTTTGTTGGCTGTGCTTTTGGCATCATGTCCAATAAATCATTGTAAAATTGGCATCTTTGACACTGCATTGTGTTGTTATTACTACTTTTTTTTTTTTTTGATACAGAGTCTTACTCTGTCACCCAGGCTGGAGTACAATGGTGCAGTCTCAGCGCATTGCAACCTCTGCGTCTTGGGTTCAAGCGATTCTCGATTCTTGTGCCTCAGCTTCCTGAGCAGCTGGGACTACAGGTGTGCACAACCATGCTGGTTGTATTTTTAGTAGAGATGGGGTTTCACCATGTTGGCCAGGCTGGTCTCGAACTCCTGGCCTCAAGTGATCTGCCCACCTTGGCCTCCCAAGGTAGTAGGATTACAGGCATAAGCCATGGTGCCCCGCCTATTATTTATTTATTTATTTATTTTTATTTTTTTTTTTGAGATGGAGTCTCACTCTGTCACCCAGGCTGGAGTGCAGTGGCACGATCTTGGCTCACTGCAAGCTCCGCCCCTCCAGGTTTAAGCAATTCTCCATTTCAGCCTCCTGAGTAGCTGGGATTACAGGCACGTGCCACCACGCCTGGCTAATGTTTTGTATTTTTAGTAGAGATGGGGTTTCACCATCTTGGCCAGGCTGGTCTTGAACTCCTGACCTCGTGATCCACCCGCCTCGGCCTCCAGAAGTGCTGGGATTACAGGCGTGAGCCACCGCACCCGGCCTTTTTTTTTTTAATTTTGAGGCAGGGTCTTGTTCTGTGGCCCAGGCTGGGGTGCATTGGCATGATCATAGCTGACTGCAGCCTCAGCTCCCTGGGCTCAAGCAGTCCTCCCGCCTGAGCCTCCTGAGTAGCTGGGACTACAGGTACATGCTAACATGCCTGGCTAATTTTTGTATTTTCTGTAGAGACGGGGTCTTACTATGTTGCCTAGGGTGATCTCAAATTCCTGGGGTCACACAGTTCCCCAATCTTGGCCTCCCAGAGAGCTGGGATTACAGGTTTGAGCCACCGTGCCTAGCCTTTTATTTTGGAGTAAGGGTGTACATGTGCAGGTTTCTTAAATGGGGTATATTGCATGATGCTGAGGTTTGGCGTACGATTGATCCTGTTACTCAGGTTGTGAGCATGGTACTCAACTGGTAGTTTTTCAGCCCCTTGCCCGCCACAGTCGTTTCTGGCGTATATTGTTCTCATCTTCATGTCCATGCGTACCCAATGTTTAGCTCCCACTTGTGAGTGAGTACATGTGGTATTTGGTTTTCTGTTTCTGTGTTAATTCACTTAAGGATAATGGCCTCCAGCTACATCTGCGTTGCAAAGGATGTGATTTTGTTCTTCTTTATGACTGTGCTTTCTTTCTTGTGGCAGCGGATAGACATGGGTCGATTTGACCTTATTGGCCTGGAAGGTCGTGTCTCTCGATATGAGGCAGACACATTTCTGCCCCGGCACCGCCTCTCTCGCCGGGTACTGTTAGAAGTGGCTACTGCTCCTGACCCCCCACCCCGGCCCAAGCCAGTCAAGATGAAGGTCAACAGGTACAAGGACTAAGGAATGAGGGGATGGTTCCTAGAATAAGTGGCTGAAAGCTGCCCAGAGGGGCCTGGGGTGGGAAGAAAAGAGTTGGATGCAAGGCTGGAATATTTATATGGGATGGGTGCAAACGTGGAGGGAATCAGGGAGAGAATAACTAGAAGAGGGTACTGGGATGGGCTTCTGTGTTAGTCACTTTTTCTCCCTTTCTCTCTGTTCGGTGCTTTCTGATTGTCTTAAATTCCTATTCCTTGTTCTCCTTTGGGTCTCTTTCCTTTTCTTTGCTTTTATAATCTGTCTCTCTGTTTCATTTTCTTCTTTTCTTTGATATTGCTACCCCTTATTCTCCTTCTGTCCCTACCCACTCTCTTAATTTTTTCTCACAGGATGCTGCAGCCAGTACCTAAGCAAGAAGGCCGGACAGTGGTGGTGGTGAACAACCCACGGGCGCCCCTGGGCCCTGTCCCAGTTCGACCTCCTCCAGGTCCTGAGCTCTCAGCCCAGCCCACCCCTGGCCCAGTCCCCCAAGTGCTGCCAGCATCACTGATGGTTTCAGCCTCACCTGCCGGGCCCCCGCTTATTCCTGCATCTCGGCCTCCTGGCCCTGTCCTCTTGCCTCCACTGCAGCCCAACAGTGGTTCTCTCCCCCAGGGTGAGTTGAAAGGGAGCCAAGGATGATGCGTGGTGCTTCAGAAAGGTTGTTCAGACTGAGGAGGAAGTAGTGAAATTAAAGGGTTTGAGGAGCTGGGCTGGGGACACGGGTCTAGTATTTGATGGGTTGGAAGGGAGTATGGAGGCTTCTGGCACCAGGCTAAGGCTTTAGTCAGGGTATATCTGACAGGTGTTTGCTTTGTGTCTGCAGTGTTGCCATCCCCCCTGGGGGTCCTGAGTGGGACCTCACGGCCTCCCACGCCAACCTTGTCCCTAAAGCCAACACCACCTGCCCCAGTTCGCCTGAGCCCAGCCCCACCTCCAGGCTCCTCTAGCCTGTTGAAGCCCCTGACAGTGCCACCAGGCTACACCTTCCCTCCTGCTGCTGCCACCACCACTTCTACCACCACGGCAACTGCTACCACCACAGCAGTGCCAGCTCCGACTCCTGCACCACAGCGCCTCATTCTATCTCCCGATATGCAGGCTCGCCTGCCCTGTAAGTTCCCAGGGCTCTGTGGTGAGGGACTTGAGATGGGAGGAAAGCTCAGGACCATGAGAGCATCAAATTTTAGGCAGCTGGGTCAGGCATGATGGCTCATGCCTATAATCCCGGTGCTTTGGGAGGCCAAGGTGGGAGGTTTGCTTCAGCCAGGAGTTTGGAGCTGCAGTGAGCCATGGTTACGCCACTGCAATCATGAGCAAGACCCTGTGTCAAAAAAAATTGAGGCAGCTAACATATGTTAGGCATTATGCCAGACATTGTCAGATCATAATTAAGAGCCCTTAAGAAATTGACATAGGGAGATGACACATAGATGAATAAATAGTGGTAAGCCTAGCAGTAGAAAAGTATTGGGGTAAAAGGACAGTGTAGAGCAGATGGTGGTGATTAGCTCAGTCTGGTGGCAGGCCATGTTAGAGGATATAAAAGAGATTGCTAAGCAAATGGGATTGGAAGGAGTAGCACATGAAAAGCTCAAAGGCTGTAGGTGGAGGCTGAGTTTATTGGGACATGGTAAATTGTGGGAAGGGCTTAGTTGTTTGAACTGGACACTCGGGGGAGAGGTGTGCTTCATGGGGTCTGTGAAGTGGTGTTGAGCAGGATGAGCCTTGTGTACAATAAGGCCTTCTCTGTTTTTAGCAGGCGAAGTGGTCAGCATCGGGCAGTTAGCCTCACTGGCACAACGTCCAGTGGCTAATGCAGGGGGAAGCAAACCTCTCACCTTCCAAATCCAGGGCAACAAGCTGACTTTGACTGGTGCCCAGGTGCGCCAGCTTGCTGTGGGGCAGCCCCGCCCGCTGCAAAGTAGGTAAAACCCACCCCCTGTCCTGCCTTTTTCCTCCTCTTCCCTGTCTCTTTGTTTTTGTGACTTTTTTGAATGTCAGCCTTTATGTTTCTTACCCAAGCTTTTGGTGGGTGGGGCCAACGGGCATGGTTGGAGGGATCTTGGATAAAGATAGGGAAGAGGTCATTCTAGAGAATGTATTCCCTCTCTGTTCTTTTCTTCTCTTCTTGCCTTGCCTCTGCCCTCCTCAGGCTGATAGCTGCTTCTCTCTCTCTTTCTCTCTTCCCTTAACCCAGGGAATGTGGTGCACCTCGTGTCAGCAGGGGGGCAGCACCATCTCATCAGCCAGCCTGCCCATGTGGCCCTCATCCAGGCCGTGGCCCCGACCCCTGGCCCTACCCCTGTCTCTGTGCTGCCTTCTTCGACCCCCAGCACCACCCCTGCCCCTACTGGCCTCAGCCTTCCGCTTGCTGCTAACCAGGGTGAGGCTCCTGGCCTTCCTACTTAGCCCTTGCTGGCCTTGGTCCTTCCAGGCATGCGCTGGGCTACTGTCTGTCCAGCCTTCCCTCAGTGTTGTTTTCCCTTGCGAATATCTATGATACCTGTCTGCCACCTTCTCCTGCCCCTGGACTTCTTCCATTCTTTGGGTCTTTTGTTTCTTTTCTACCTTCCTCTCAGTGTAGCTTCCTCTTGCAGTGCCACCAACCATGGTGAATAATACAGGCGTGGTGAAGATTGTAGTGAGACAAGCCCCTCGGGATGGACTGACTCCTGTTCCTCCATTGGCCCCAGCACCCCGGCCTCCGAGCTCTGGGCTTCCAGCTGTGTTGAATCCACGCCCCACGTTAACCCCTGGCCGGCTACCCACACCTACTCTGGGTACTGCTCGAGCCCCCATGCCCACACCCACTCTGGTGAGGCCTCTTCTCAAGCTGGTCCACAGTCCTTCACCTGAAGTCAGTGGTGAGTCCAGGTGGCTGAGGCCAGAAATCCTTGCCAGGAATGGAGACGAGATGGGGTCGCCTCAAGGTTTCTTAGTTTTAGTACAGGTTTTTTCATATCAGCGTACTGCCTTGATTTGTAGTGGGCCCCAGAACTGGGCTGCCTGAGCCCTGACCTAATTTCAAGATCTATTTGCTGGAATCTTGGAGGGGAAGAAAATCTAAAGTTGTCAGATTACTTGGATGTTTGACTTCATGTTGTGGGAGTGAATGCCTTCTGGGAAATGGGAAGCTTGGGGGTATGGGAAAGATGGGACAGGGAGTAGAAAGGCTCAGGAAAAGAATTCTGGGGCTAACTCATCCTCTCTCTCCACAGCTTCAGCCCCCGGAGCTGCCCCCTTGACCATCTCTTCTCCTCTCCACGTGCCATCCTCCCTCCCTGGGCCAGCCTCTTCTCCAATGCCAATTCCCAACTCCTCTCCCCTTGCTAGTCCTGTGTCCTCTACAGTCTCAGTTCCATTGTCATCTTCACTCCCCATCTCTGTCCCCACCACACTTCCTGCCCCAGCCTCGGCTCCACTCACCATCCCCATCTCAGCCCCCTTGACTGTTTCTGCTTCGGGCCCAGCTCTGTTGACCAGTGTGACTCCACCATTGGCACCTGTTGTCCCAGCGGCTCCTGGACCTCCCTCCTTGGCACCATCTGGTGCTTCCCCGTCAGCATCAGCCTTGACTCTAGGTTTGGCCACAGCTCCATCCCTGTCTTCATCTCAGACACCTGGTCACCCTCTGTTGTTGGCTCCCACCTCTTCACATGTTCCAGGGTTGAACTCAACCGTGGCCCCAGCATGCTCACCTGTCCTGGTGCCAGCTTCGGCTCTGGCCAGTCCTTTTCCGTCAGCACCAAATCCAGCTCCAGCTCAGGCTTCCCTTCTGGCTCCAGCATCTTCTGCATCTCAGGCTCTAGCCACCCCTCTGGCTCCTATGGCGGCTCCACAGACAGCAATTCTGGCTCCTTCTCCAGCTCCTCCTCTGGCTCCTCTTCCGGTCCTGGCACCATCGCCAGGTGCTGCTCCTGTCCTGGCTTCATCACAGACTCCGGTTCCAGTTATGGCTCCATCGTCTACTCCAGGAACCTCTTTAGCCTCAGCTTCACCGGTACCAGCTCCAACCCCTGTGTTGGCTCCATCATCAACTCAAACTATGCTACCAGCCCCGGTTCCGTCACCTCTCCCGAGCCCGGCTTCTACGCAGACACTGGCCCTAGCCCCAGCTTTAGCACCCACTCTTGGAGGCTCATCTCCATCTCAGACACTCTCTTTGGGAACGGGGAACCCCCAGGGACCCTTTCCAACTCAGACATTGTCATTAACTCCAGCATCATCCCTGGTACCAACTCCAGCCCAGACACTGTCTTTGGCACCAGGACCACCACTGGGTCCAACTCAGACGCTGTCTCTGGCTCCAGCACCCCCTCTGGCTCCAGCTTCTCCAGTGGGCCCAGCCCCAGCTCACACGCTGACTTTGGCTCCAGCATCGTCATCTGCTTCACTCCTGGCCCCAGCTTCAGTGCAGACACTGACCTTGAGCCCTGCCCCAGTTCCTACCCTGGGCCCGGCCGCAGCTCAGACCTTGGCGCTGGCCCCAGCCTCCACACAGTCCCCAGCTTCCCAGGCATCTTCCCTTGTGGTTTCGGCATCTGGTGCCGCTCCCTTGCCTGTCACCATGGTATCCCGGCTGCCTGTTTCCAAGGATGAGCCTGACACACTGACATTGCGCTCTGGTCCCCCCAGCCCTCCCTCCACTGCTACCTCGTTTGGTGGCCCCCGGCCTCGACGCCAGCCCCCCCCACCACCTCGTTCCCCTTTTTATCTGGTAAGTTTTACTTCCTCAAGAGGGAACAGGAAGTTGAGTTTCTTTGGAGTGTTGGTAGGGTGGATGGAACAGTGATGTCACATTTAACCTGGTGAATTACAAAGCTTAATGTTATGGACCAAGTACTTGAGTGACATTTGGACAAGTCCCTTCTCTTCCCTGGGCGTGTACCTCATGATCCGCCTGCCTCAGCCTCCTGAAGTGTTAGGATTACAGGGGTGAGCCACCACGCCCGGCCTCTTTTCCCGTTTTTTAACCCGCACGGTAATAAATGGGCAGTAAAAGGAACTCTTCTCTGTCCCTTTTATGATTTCCGGTAGCTGTTTCTTTCCTGTACTATGTATATAGGCCCATGTCTGTGTAGTACTTGAGTTAAACTCACAGTTCAGCTTAAGTAAACCAGAACTAAGGAGAAGGAAGGTCCAGTGGGTCCCTCCACGCCCTCTGGCTTTTCCCCACTGTAATCAGAGCTGCTGCTTAGTCTTTGCTTCATGCCTACTCCCCCACCTTCCACCAGTGCCATTGACTCCACCTTTGGTTTTTACCTGACCAGCCGCTAGGTTGGTCCTGGCTGGTTGGAAGTAGAGAGTAGAGGGATTGCTCTGCAAGTAGATAATAGCCTCTTGCCACTTGGTTTTTTTTGGTAACAGTTTGTGCTATAAATCATATACCATTCGATTTACCCATTTAAACTGTACAATAGTTTTTGGTTTTTTTTTTAAATACAGATGGGGGTCTCCCACTCTTGACCAGGCTGGTCTCGAATTCCTGGCCTCAAGTGATCCTCCCATCTCGGCCTCCCAAAATGCTGGGATTATAGGTGTGAGCCACCATGCCTGGCCCTAAACTGTACAATAGGTTTTTAATATATTTATAGGGTTGTACAATCATCAACACAATCAACTTAGAACCTTTCCGTGGCCCCAAAAAGAAACGCTGCACCTGTTAGCCAGCATTCCCCAATCCCTCCGTCCCTCCTAGTCTTGAATGACTACCATCCTACTTTTTTATTTCTCTAGTTTTGCCTATGGAGTCATAATGTATAATGTGTGGTCCATTGTGACTGGCATCTTCTACTTAGATTAATGTTCTTTGAATTTTATTGTGTTATAGCGTATATCAGTACTTCATTTGTTTTTATGTTGAATAATAATGTATGAATACCACATTTTATCCTTGAGTTGATGGAAACGTGTGTTACTTCTGCTTTATGGTTGTTATGAACAATGCTGCTGTGAACATTTCATGTACAAGTTTTTGTATGGACAGGTGTTCTCAGTTTCTGTTAGATACATACTGAGGAGAAGAATTGCTGGGTTATATTGTAACTAGGTTTTAACTGTTTAAGGAACTGCCAGACTTTTCCAAAGTGGCTGCAGCATTTGACATTACCACCAGCAGTCTGTGAGGATTCCAGTTTCTCCACATTTGAGCCAATACTTTTTTTTTTTTTTTTGAGAAGGAGTCTTGCTCTGTTACCCAGGCTGGAGTGCTTTGGCACGGTCTTGGCTCACTGCAACCTCTGTCTCCTGGGTTTAAGTGACCCCACCTCAACCTCCCTCGTAGCTGGGATTACAGGCATGTGGCACCATGCCTACCTAATTTTTTTGTATTCTTATTATTTTATTTTATTTTTGAGACAGAATCTTGCTCTGTTGCCCAGGCTGGAGTAAAGTGGCACCATCCCGGCTCACTGCAACCTCCACTTCCCAGGCTCAAACGATTTTCCTGTGTCATCTTCCCGAGTGGCTGGGACTACAGGCATGGCGTCACCACGCCTGGCTAATTTTTTTATTTTTAGTAGAGATGGGGTTTCACCATGTTGGCCGGGCTGGTCTCGAACTCCTGACCTCAGGTGATCCGCCTGCCTTGGCCTCCCAAAGTGCTGGGATTATAGACATGAGCCACTGCACCTGGCCAGATTTTTTTGTATTTTTAGTAGAGATGGGGTTTACCATGTTTGCCACGCTGGTTTCGAATTCCACACCTCAAGTGATCTGCCCGCCTCAGCCTCCCAAAGTGCTAGGATTACAGGTGTGAGCCACCATGCCTGGCACATCATCACTTTGATTATAGCCATCCTGCTGGGTGTGAAGTAGTAGTTCATTGTGATTTTGATTTGAATTTCCCTGTTGGCTAATGTTGAGCTTTATTTCATGTGGTTGAAATACCATGCTGGCCATTTGTGTATCTTTGAAGAACTATCTGTTCAGATCCTCTGCCCTTTTAAAATGGGTTGTCTTTTTATTATTGAGTTGTAAGAGTTCTTTATATATTCTGATTACAGATCCTTTTTCAGACGTATGGTTTACAAATAGTCTTTTTTTTGAGACAGTGTCTCACTTTGTCAATCAGGCTAGAGTGCAGTGGCACAGTCTCCGCTCATTGCAGCCTCCTGGGCTTAAGTGAACCTCCCATCTCAGCCCTCCAAGTAGCTGGGACTGTAGGCTTGTGCCACCATGCCAGGCTACTTGTTTGTTTCTTTTTTTGAGATGGAGACTCACTCTGTCACCAGGCTGCAGTGCAGTGGTGCGATCTCAGCTCACTGCAACCTCCGCCTCCCAGGTTCAAGCGATTCTCCTGCTCAGCCTCCCAAGTAGCTGGGACTACAGGCTTGCACCACCACGCCCAGCTAACTTTTTTGTAATTTTAGTAGAGATAGGGTTTCATCATGTTGGCCAGGATGGTCTTGATATCTTGAGCTCATGATCTGCCCGCCTCGGCCTCCCAAAGTGCTGGGATTACAGGTGTGAGCCACCGCGCCTGGCCCTTGTTTGTATTTTTTGTAGAGATGCGGTTTTGCCATGTTGCCCAAACTGGTCTTGAATAGGAGGCTCAAACCATCCACCTAGGCCTCCCAAAGTGCTGGGATTATAGGCTTGAGCCACTGCTCCTGGCCAGATTTTCTCTTTTTGCTACTATTGGGAGCTAGCCTCAAAAGGAACTAGCTCTTTGAGTTTATTGGTTTTTCCGTCTGCTAGGACACCTTTTTTCCCTCACATAGAGCACTTCAAGCCAAGAGGTGAAACTTGGTAGCAGTCAGGAAGGAGATTTGGAACACTCCTCTTTTCACAACTATCTCTTGGGGTCTAGTCTCCCTCATTTGTTCATTTTGTTAACAGATAAATGTATTGAGAGCTTAATTGTGCTAGTTACTGAGTGATTATAGTGAGCAAGGCACAGTTCATGTTGTATGGGGCCTACCGTGTAGTGGATAGATATTAGTTAAATAATCATACAGATGTGTAACTACAAGCATAATAAGTGATACAAAGAAGTTTTTCAGACTGTGAAACTGGAAGCACAAAGATGGGAAAGGATTGGGTCAAAGTCATCCAGGTGTCCTCACTGCCGGGTTGCCCATTTTCTGTCTCAGAGTGATGAGACTCGGATGTCCGGTTAGCTGTTCCCATTCCACCCCATTCCAGTCTGGCCCTTGGCAAAAACCTGGTCTGGATTTGATTGGCGCCTCTGTATCCTGGTCAGTGATTTGAAGAAGGCTATAGTCCTGGAGTTGAGTGTTACGTAGGAAAATACCCACAAATCGTCCATTCTATAAACTTGTTGGAATTGTAGATCTTAATTTTGAATATTCAGTCATTCTGCTTTGGTAGCATACAAGGAAAGATCAGTTTTCTCTAGGAGAGAAGTTACTTAACATAACTTCTGAGAAAGAATAGTTATTTAACATAAAAAAGAAAGTTATTTAACATAACTTCTGAGAAAGAATAGTTCTCATTGATAACTTGGAAAACTACAAAAAGCATAGTGTATTTTTGGATCCCATGGTTTCTATATATTTATTTCCATCTGGGAAGAACAGTCAGGTTTTGATGTGGACTCTGAGGGTGCTGATTACTTCCTCTTTTTCTCTCACCCCCAGGACTCCCTGGAGGAAAAGCGGAAGCGGCAGCGGTCTGAACGCCTGGAACGGATTTTCCAACTTAGTGAGGCTCATGGGGCCCTGGCACCTGTGTATGGGACTGAAGTCCTGGATTTCTGTACCCTGCCCCAACCTGTTGCCAGCCCCATCGGCCCTCGTTCTCCTGGCCCCAGCCACCCCACCTTTTGGACTTATACCGAGGCTGCCCACCGGGCTGTACTGTTTCCCCAGCAGCGACTAGACCAGCTGTCAGAAATCATTGAGAGGTTGGCAGGGCTAAGTGCTAATGGGGAGTGGGTCTTGGGGCCTCAGAGTGGATGTAGTGCTTAGGGCTGGTGAAGGTGTTAACTTCTGGGGCATTTCAGAGTCCCATCTTTTACACTGCCTGCTTCTTCCTTTCACAGGTTCATCTTTGTCATGCCTCCTGTGGAGGCACCTCCCCCTTCCCTGCATGCCTGCCACCCACCTCCTTGGCTGGCCCCACGTCAGGCAGCCTTCCAGGAGCAATTGGCCTCTGAGCTCTGGCCCCGGGCTCGTCCTTTGCACCGTATTGTGTGTAACATGCGCACCCAGTTCCCTGACTTAAGACTCATCCAGTATGATTGCGGTGAGTTTGTTGGCCAGTGTAGGACCCTTGACTTCTCTTCTTTTCTTAGTATTAAGACTGTTGTATCAGAGGGATGCTGCACTTAAGTTCTCTTGCGATTTCTGTAAAGCTTTAGATGGTTTTTTAGGTTATGCTTATGGGCAAGATAGAGAAATGTAAGCCTTGTTAGATTCTTGACATTCATAAATATGACTTTCTTCTTTTTTTTTATTTTGAGACAAAGTCTCGCTCAGTCGCCCAGGCTGGAGTGCAGTGCAGTGGTGCAGTCTCAGCTCACTGCAGCCTCCCAGGTTCAAGTGGTTGTCCCACCTCAGCCTCCAGAATAGCTGTGATTACAGACATACGCCACCATGCCTGGCTAATTTTTGTATTTTTAGTAGAGATGGGATTTCGCCATGTTGGCCAGGTTGGTCTCGAACTACTGACCTCAAGCGATCCTCCCGCCTCAGCCTCCAAAGTGCTGGGATCACAGGCATGAGCCACCATGCCCGGCCATGAATTTGACTTTCATGAAAGTTGAAAATGTGCTGCTAACTCCTTCATTCAGTGATCATTTTGTGAACATGTTACATTTTGCTAATCATTTGGGATACAATAGCAAGTAAGACAGTGCAGCATAGAGTTTTTATTTAGCTGTATGGGAAAAGATGTCTGGTGGTACAAGACTGCACAGTAAGTAAACAGTAAATTTTGGTCTTGGAAAAGACAAGGACCTTTTTGTGTTGACTAGAATTATTTGGCGGTAACAGAAAACCAACTAACAGTCATTGTTTTCTTAATGAGCCAATCTGAGAATAGTGGTGTGTAGCTGTTTCAGTAGCTTAACGATATTTTCAGGGACCAGGACCTTTTCTTCCTTCTTTCTTTCTTTTTTTTTCAGATAGAGTCTCACTCTGTCGCCCAGGCTGGAGTGCAGTGGCTCGATCTCGGCTCACTGCAACTTCCGCCTCCTGGGTTCAAGCGATTCTCCTGCTTCAGCCTCCTGAGTAGCTGGGATTACAGGTGCACACCACCACACCCGGCTAATTTTTGTATTTTTAGTAGACACGGGGTTTCACCATGTTGGTCAGGCTGGTCTCGATCTCCTGACCTCGTGATCTGCCCACCTTGGCCTCCCAAAGTGCTGGGATTACAGGTGTGAACCACTGCGCCCAGCCTTTTTTTTTTTTTTGAGATGGAGTTTCGCTGTGTTTCAAGGTATTCTCCTGCCTCAGCCTCCCGAGTAGCTGGGATTACAGGTGCCCACCACAACGCCTGGGTGATTTTTTTGTATTTTTAGTAGAGACAGGGTTTCACCATGTTGGCCAGGCTGGTCTCGAACTCCTGACCTCGTGATCCCCTTGCCTCGGCCTTCCAAAGTGCTGGGATTACACACGTGAGCCATTGCACCCAGCCTTAAGGGACCAGGACTTTATCTTTCTACCCTGCTGTACCATCTTTAGCTTTTTATCTTTTTATTCTCATGCTTTTGTTTCTTCATGATGTTAGGATGGCTGCCATAACTCCAGGGTATACACCAATCCTCTAAACAAGAAACAAGGGGTTGAGACAAAACACTCTGAGAAGGTTTTCTGGGAACAAAAGACCTCCAAGCTGACTTTGCTTCATAACTCATTGGCTCAAACTGAGCTATATGCCCATACTTAGAGCAATCACTGACAAAGGGGAATAGCAAAAAAGACCTCTGGCTTATTTAGATCAACTTGATTTATTTTCTGGGTTTGGGTTGGGGCCTTCTTCACCTGGGAGCAAAGAACCTCTGCCAGCTGTCCAGGGTTAATCAGGTTCTTTTACCCAAGAATGGCTATTGGGTAAGTGACTAGTTCCACAGCCCTGCACAGACATTTGTATAGTAACATGTTTCGAGATTTTTTAAATTTCCTAGAATATAAGAAAATCAAAATTTTTATTAATATGTGTTCAATAAATGTTTTAGTAAAAAAAAGTGTTTTTGTTACATTTGAAACTATTCAGAGTAGATGAACTGAAAGTCTTGGTTAAAAGTGTTCAAGGCCGGGTGTGGTGACTCATACTTGTAATCCCAGCACTTGGGTAGGCTGAGGTGGGCAGCTCACTTGAGGCAAGTAAAGACCAGCCCAGGCAACATGGCGAAACCCTGTCTCCTCAAAAACTGAAAAATTAGTGGATATAGTGGTGCACACCTATAGTCCCAGCTACTCAGATGGCTGGATTGCAGGAGCCTGGGAGGTTGAGGTGCAGTCAGCTGTGATCATGCCACTGCACTCTAGCCTGGGTGACAGGGTGAGACCTTGTCTCAAAAATAAAATAAGGCTGGGCCTGGTGGCTCATGTCTGTAATCCCAGCACTTTGAGAGGCTGAGGTGAGTGGATCACTTGAGTTCATGAGTTGGAGACCAGCCTGGGCAACATGGCGAAACCCTGTCTCTACAAAAAATACAAAAATTAGCCAGGCGTGGTGACATACGCCTGTAGTCCAAACTACTTGGGAGGCTGAGGTGGGAGGATGGCTTGAGCCCGGGAGGCAGAGGTTGCAGTGAGCTGAGATCGCACCACTGCACTCCAGCCTGGGTAATAGAGCCAGACCTTGTCTCAAAAAATGAAATAATAAAGTGTTCAGGCTGGGCACGGTGGCTCACGCCTGTAATCCCAGCACTTTGGGAGGCTGAGGCAGGTGGATCACCTGAGGTCTGGATTTGGAGACCAGCCTGACCAACATGGAGAAACCCTGTCTCTACTAAAAATACAAAATTATCCGGACGTGGTGGCACATGCCTGTAATCCCAGCCACTCGGGAAGCTGAGGCAGGAAAATTGCTTGAATCCAGGAGGTGGAGGTTGCCGTGAGCTGAGATTCCACCATTGCACTCCAGCCTGGGCAACAAGAGCAAAACTCTGTCTCAAAAAAAAAAAAAGGAAAAGGAAAAAAATAAAAGTTCAAACTGTGTTACCAGAAATGTTGAAGTTATTTCTGTGTTTGATGGAAGGTTGAACTAGATAAACTTTCTAAGAGCCTTTACTGTTCTGATCTGTGACCTTAAATCCCTGTCTGTAAGCTGTGACCATGGATTTGTTGATATCTATCCTGTGAATCTGTTCTGGATTTCAGGTGGTATGACTATTGTAATACTTAAGGATCTCTTGCTCATAAAGCATTGGGGATTCTGTTTTTCCCTCGATGTTATGTATTCCCCTACTCTTTTAGACTCCAAGAAGTTAGATTCTAGGCTGGAGCAGACCGAAGAGGTGAAGCCCTTAAAGGAAGAACTTGTATGGAGTTAAACGTAGATAGATATTTTTTGTGACAGGGTCTCGCTTTGTTGCCCAGGCTGAAGTGCATTGGTGGGATCTCAGCTCACTGCAACCTCTGCCTCCTGGGTTCAAGCCCGAGTTCTCATGCCTCAGCCTCCTGAGTAGCTGGGATTACAGTCACCCGCCATCACGCCCAGCTAATTTTTGTGTTTTTAGTAGAGACAGGGTCTCATCATGTTGGCCAGGCTGGTCTTGAACTCCCGACTTAAAGTGATCCACCTGCCTCAGCTTCTCAGAGTGCAGGGACTACAGGTGTGAGCCACCATGCCCTGCCGTAGTTAAACATTTTTGATCTGCTAGGCTAATTGAAACTTTGGCTTAAAGCATTGATTATCTTTCAACCCCAGCCTTGCATTGCTAAGCATTCTACCCATTGCGGCTTGTAGCTAGCTCCCTGTATCCCTTCATATCTCTTTAGGAAAGTTGCAGACGTTGGCAGTGCTGTTGCGGCAGCTCAAGGCAGAGGGCCACCGAGTGCTCATCTTCACCCAGATGACCCGAATGCTGGATGTATTGGAGCAGTTTCTCACCTACCATGGCCATCTCTACCTGCGCCTGGATGGATCTACTAGAGTTGAACAGAGACAGGTAACCCAGGTTTCTGCAGCTCTTAGAGGCTCACCTCCGCTTCTCTCTCCTTTTCCCAGGATTTGGGCTTCCAGACGGGGTGCCACTAAGCCTTTAGACCTGTTTTGGGGGATAAGTCTCCCAGTATCATCTTTTTTTCCCTTTCCTTCTAGGCCTTGATGGAACGGTTCAATGCAGACAAACGCATATTCTGCTTCATCCTTTCAACTCGGAGTGGGGGTGTGGGCGTGAACCTGACAGGAGCAGACACTGTTGTTTTTTATGACAGCGACTGGAATCCCACCATGGATGCTCAGGCCCAGGACCGCTGTCACCGAATTGGCCAGACCCGGGATGTCCACATATATAGGTATTGCCTAGTCTTCCCTCACCTTACTTTCCGTTTACTGATGGGGTTTCCTGGATATATTTGGCTGCTTACACACGGCCTTCATCACCCCCTAGGCTTATCAGTGAACGGACAGTGGAGGAGAACATCCTAAAAAAGGCAAATCAGAAGAGAATGTTGGGGGACATGGCCATTGAGGGAGGCAACTTCACCACAGCCTATTTCAAACAGGTACTAAGTAAGATCTTTTAGCCTATGCAGGAGAAAACTGCTGCGCCTTCAGGAGTTCCTCCTGTTTATTAAAGAAGACTGCTTTGGACTTTGGGAGGCTGAGGCAGGCGGATCACTTGAGGCCAGGAGTTGGAGACCAGGCTGGCCAACATGATGAAACCCTGTCTCTACTAAAAATACAAAAATTAGCCGGGCATGGTGGTGGGCGCCTGTAATCCCAGCTGCTTGGAAGGCTGAGGCAGGAGAATCACTTGAACCTAAGAGGCGGAGGTTGCAGTGAGTTGAGATGGCGCCATTGCACTTTAGCCTGGGTGACGAGCAAAACCGTCTCAAAAAAGAAAAAACAAAAAGGACTGCTTTGGCCTTCACAGACGTGCGTCTTCAACCAGTGGTACCCCTGACAGTTCCAAGAACCATCAGCCTTACAGCTTAGACCTAAGACTAGCATTCTGTTGACTCTGACACTTCCCTCTGTTCTATCCGATAGCAGACCATCCGAGAGCTGTTTGATATGCCCCTGGAGGAACCTTCTAGCTCATCCGTGCCCTCTGCCCCTGAAGAGGAGGAAGAGACTGTGGCCAGCAAGCAGACTCATATTCTGGAGCAGGTAAAAAAAGAGTGGGCAGTTCGTAAAGTTGAGCTGATTCTTACAGAATATCTTGTCTTTTGTTAGTCTGTTGAGCTTGTCCAGGGGAAAGAGATGTTTCTTCTGCTTCCCAGATTACAGTCAGCCTTTGATAGTTGTAAGCACATTGCTTATTGGTTCACATGATTAAGTAGGAAAAAAAAACAGGATTTTGGAGTCTTTAGTTTTAGGTTTGAATTCCAGTAATGCTTCTTAATTGTGTTAAGACAAGTTACAATCGTCACTCTTCTGAACCTCACTTTCTATTAAAAGTAATGTGGGCAGGGCATGGTGGGTAGCTCATGCCTGTAATCCCAGCACTTTGGGAGGCTGAGGCTCCCAGCTGGAGAGCTCTGAAAACACACAAATGCTCAGACCCAACACCCCAAAATTATGATAGATTTTGAGACAGGGTCAAGGAATAAATCTTTTAAGAACCTTTCCAAATGTGATTTTATTATGTGTAAGTATTTGAAACAG
The DNA here is from genome assembly GCF_000001405.40 of Homo sapiens. Taxonomy (NCBI): domain Eukaryota; kingdom Metazoa; phylum Chordata; class Mammalia; order Primates; family Hominidae; genus Homo; species Homo sapiens. The sequence continues at coordinate 30,735,114 of NC_000016.10, forward strand.
CGTTTCACATTAAGTACAAAGCATTTTTTTTTTTTTTTTTTTTTTTTTTTTGAGACGGAGTCTCGCTCTGTCGCCCAGGCTGGAGTGCAGTGGCGGGATCTCGGCTCACTGCAAGCTCCGCCTCCCGGGTTCACGCCATTCTCCTGCCTCAGCCTCCCAAGTAGCTGGGACTACAGGCGCCCGCCACTACGCCCGGCTAATTTTTTGTATTTTTAGTAGAGACAGGGTTTCACCGTTTTAGCCGGGATGGTCTCGATCTCCTGACCTCGTGATCCGCCCGCCTCGGCCTCCCAAAGTGCTGGGATTACAGGCGTGAGCCACCGCGCCCGGCCACAAAGCATTTCTTATATCCACCTCACCATCTAATCCTCAAAATTATTTCCTTTTCATTAGTATTTCCACTTAAGAGAAGTGTTTAAGTTGGTGCAAAAATAATTGCAGTTTTTGACATTACTTTTTTTTTTTTTTTTTTTTTTGGAGACGGAGTCACGGAGTCTTGCTCTTTCGCCCAGGCTAGAGTGCAGTGGCGCGATCTCGGCTCACTACAGCCTCCACCTCCCGGGTTCAAGTGATTCTCCTGCCTCAGCCTCCTGTGTAGCTGGGATTACAGGCGCGTGCCACCACGCTCAGCTAATTTTTGTATTTTTAGCAGAGATGGGGTTTCACCATGTTGGTCAGGCTGGTCTCGAACTCCTGACCTCATGATCTGCCCGCCTTGGCCTCCCAAAGTGCTGCAATTATAGGATTGAGCCACTGCGCCCGGGTGAATTGTGCATTTTTATTCACATCTTTCTGTGGTGGCTTTTTTTTTTTTTTGAGAGCTGAGGCTGACTTTAAAGGAAGGGAAGTACAGCGAGCAATCTCAAAAATACTCATTTTTCCCTAGTGGGAGTCCTGGTAAAATCCATTCCATCCTTTGTGGACCACTGAGTTGTTGTGGTAACTCTGGAGGCCTAGGAGGTTGTTGAGTTCTGTTGCAAACCTAGTTTGGTGTACGCTTGGTCTCAAGTTCTTGCCTGAATCAAATCACAGGATGTAAAGTACTTGAAGTCTCATGTTTTCTTTTTCTTTTATACACCCTGGTAGGCATTGTGTCGGGCAGAAGATGAAGAGGATATCCGTGCAGCCACCCAGGCCAAGGCTGAACAGGTGGCTGAGCTTGCAGAATTTAATGAGAACGATGGGTTTCCTGCTGGTGAGGGAGAGGAAGCTGGCCGGCCTGGGGCTGAGGATGAGGAGATGTCCCGGGCTGAGCAGGAAATTGCTGCCCTCGTAGAACAGGTCAGTGCTGGACCCACTAGTTCTTGACTTTACTGCTTCCCCTGGGCTTGTGACCCTCCTTTTGTCTTCCCTGGTGGGAATAAATAAGGGTGGTGGGGCCCTGGGTACCAGGTTCCTAAGTTTATCACCACCGCTCCTCCTTGCAGCTGACCCCCATTGAGCGCTATGCCATGAAATTCCTGGAGGCCTCACTGGAGGAGGTGAGCCGAGAGGAGCTCAAACAGGCAGAAGTGAGTATTTCCAGGGGTGGGGCTGGCAGTTGGAAGCTGCTAATTTCTTTTTCTTTTCTCTTTTTTTTGAGACAGTCTCGCTCTGTCGCCCAGGCTGGAGTGCAGTGGCACAATCTCGGGTCACTGCAGTCTCCGCCTCCCGGGTTCAAGCAGTTCTCCTGCATCAGCCTCCCGAGAAGCTGGGATTACAGGCGTGCACCACCACGCCCGGCTAATTTTTGTATTTTTAGTAGAGACGGGGGTTTCACCATGTTGGCCAGGCTGGTCTTGAACTCCTGACCTCAGGTGACCTGCTGGCCTTAACTTCCCCAAGTGCTGGAATTACAGGCGTGAGCCACCGCGCCTGACCTGGAAGCTGCTAATTTCTACTCACTCTCTACTCTGCTTGCCTCCTCCTGACCACTTTTGGACCCTGTTGTTGTAGGAGCAAGTGGAAGCTGCCCGCAAAGACCTGGACCAAGCCAAGGAGGAGGTGTTCCGCCTACCCCAAGAGGAGGAGGAGGGGCCGGGGGCTGGGGATGAGAGTTCCTGTGGGACTGGTGGAGGCACCCACCGGCGCAGTAAAAAGGCCAAAGCCCCTGAGAGGCCGGGGACTCGTGTCAGTGAGCGTCTTCGTGGAGCCCGGGCTGAGACTCAAGGGGCAAACCACACTCCTGTCATATCCGCCCATCAAACTCGCAGCACCACCACACCACCCCGCTGCAGTCCTGCCAGGGAGCGAGTTCCCAGGCCAGCACCTAGGCCTCGACCCACTCCAGCTTCAGCTCCGGCTGCAATTCCTGCCCTTGTTCCTGTCCCAGTTTCTGCCCCAGTACCCATTTCAGCCCCAAATCCAATAACCATTCTCCCTGTCCATATCTTGCCTTCTCCTCCCCCTCCTTCACAGATTCCTCCTTGTTCTTCTCCTGCCTGCACCCCTCCTCCTGCCTGTACCCCTCCACCAGCTCATACACCGCCTCCAGCCCAAACCTGTCTTGTAACTCCTTCCTCTCCTCTCTTGCTTGGTCCACCTTCTGTGCCCATCTCTGCCTCAGTCACTAATCTCCCCTTGGGCTTGAGGCCTGAGGCAGAGCTGTGTGCCCAGGCATTGGCATCTCCAGAGTCCCTGGAGCTGGCTTCTGTGGCCAGTTCAGAAACCTCCTCACTTTCTCTTGTGCCCCCTAAAGATCTGTTGCCAGTTGCTGTGGAGATCCTGCCTGTGTCAGAGAAGAACCTTTCTCTCACCCCTTCTGCACCCAGCCTGACCTTGGAGGCTGGCAGCATCCCCAATGGTCAAGAGCAGGAGGCACCAGATTCTGCTGAGGGGACCACCCTTACAGTGCTGCCTGAAGGTGAGGAGTTGCCCCTGTGTGTGAGTGAGAGCAATGGCCTGGAGCTCCCACCCTCAGCAGCATCTGATGAGCCACTTCAGGAGCCACTGGAGGCTGACAGGACCTCGGAAGAGCTGACAGAGGCCAAGACCCCAACCTCCAGCCCAGAGAAGCCACAGGAACTCGTTACAGCTGAGGTTGCAGCTCCATCCACCTCATCTTCAGCCACTTCCTCGCCTGAGGGTCCTTCACCTGCCCGACCTCCTCGGCGTCGCACCAGTGCTGATGTGGAAATTAGGGGTCAAGGGACTGGTCGGCCAGGACAACCACCAGGCCCCAAAGTGCTTCGAAAGCTGCCAGGACGGCTGGTAACTGTGGTAGAGGAAAAGGAACTGGTGCGGCGGCGGCGGCAGCAGCGGGGAGCTGCCAGCACCCTAGTGCCTGGGGTCTCTGAGACTAGTGCCAGCCCGGGAAGCCCGTCTGTCCGCAGCATGTCAGGGCCAGAATCCTCCCCTCCCATTGGTGGGCCCTGTGAAGCTGCTCCTTCATCCTCACTGCCCACTCCACCCCAGCAGCCCTTCATTGCTCGCCGTCACATTGAGCTGGGGGTGACTGGTGGTGGCAGCCCCGAGAATGGAGACGGAGCACTGCTCGCCATCACCCCACCTGCTGTGAAACGTCGGAGGGGGAGGCCCCCCAAGAAGAACAGGTCTCCAGCAGATGCTGGGAGAGGTGTGGATGAGGCACCCTCATCCACCTTGAAGGGAAAAACCAATGGGGCTGACCCAGTCCCTGGGCCTGAGACCCTAATTGTTGCAGATCCTGTCCTGGAACCACAGCTTATTCCTGGGCCCCAGCCTCTTGGACCCCAGCCAGTTCACAGACCCAATCCCCTCCTGTCACCTGTGGAGAAAAGAAGGCGAGGACGACCCCCTAAAGCACGAGATTTGCCCATCCCTGGGACCATTTCCTCTGCAGGGGATGGCAACTCCGAAAGTCGGACACAGCCACCCCCACACCCATCACCCCTAACCCCACTCCCACCACTGCTAGTTTGTCCCACTGCTACTGTTGCCAACACTGTCACCACTGTCACCATTTCAACGTCCCCACCCAAACGGAAGAGGGGCCGACCTCCCAAGAATCCTCCATCACCTCGGCCCAGCCAGCTCCCCGTCTTGGACCGTGACAGCACTTCTGTTCTCGAGAGCTGTGGATTGGGGAGGCGACGGCAACCCCAGGGCCAAGGGGAGAGTGAGGGTAGTTCCTCTGATGAGGATGGAAGCCGCCCCCTCACCCGCCTGGCCCGCCTTCGGCTTGAAGCAGAAGGAATGCGAGGACGGAAGAGTGGAGGGTCCATGGTGGTGGCTGTAATTCAGGATGACCTGGACTTAGCAGATAGCGGGCCAGGCGGGTTGGAATTGACACCACCTGTGGTCTCACTAACCCCAAAACTGCGCTCGACCCGGCTGCGTCCAGGGTCTCTAGTCCCCCCACTAGAGACTGAGAAGTTGCCTCGCAAACGAGCAGGGGCCCCAGTTGGTGGGAGTCCTGGGCTGGCAAAGCGGGGCCGCCTACAGCCCCCAAGTCCCCTGGGGCCTGAGGGTTCAGTAGAGGAGTCTGAGGCTGAAGCCTCAGGTGAGGAGGAGGAAGGGGATGGGACCCCACGCCGACGTCCTGGCCCCCGCCGGCTTGTTGGGACCACCAACCAAGGGGACCAGCGCATCCTGCGCAGCAGCGCCCCTCCCTCCCTGGCTGGCCCTGCTGTTAGTCACAGAGGCCGCAAGGCCAAGACGTGAGTGGGCTGCCCCTCCACCTAGGCTTTCCACCGTGGCCACTCCCTCCATGACCAGGCCTGACTCTGTTAACCACTACTTGAAGTCTTGAGGGGGAAAGCCTCCAGGGAGACATAGGGGCCTTCTCCCTTCTTCCCACCAAAGTAGGGGGTAGGCAACTGGTTGTCATGGAAATGGGGATCATCACAGTCCCCTTCCCCTTCACCCCACGTGGCTGGGCAGTGTTAAGGGTGGCAAGATAGTCTCTGTCCCCACCCCCTTGTACTTGATTCCCCAGCTGTCTTTCACACAGCCCCCCACCCTTAGGGGAAGGGGGAGGGGCTTCTCTACAATGAGGTTTTTTTCTTTTTTTTTTTTTTTTAAGAAGAAAAAATAATAAACTTAGTTTCTGTATGAGCATCCGCGTAAGGAGGCTTCTGATTTTCTGGTCTGGTGGAGGGTTGGGTGGGAACTTGGGCATCGTTTTTCTCCTCCCTCTTGTTCTTGCAAAGATCCTAGCACCTGATCTCTAGCCCAGGACTATATGTTCCAGGCAGAAATCTACCCAAGAAGAGGGAAGATTGGTGAATTTGATGTGGTAGGGTGCCTTTCCCCAGTCAGTTTGAAGTCACAGATATCCTTTTCCTCTCATTTCTTTTCCCTCGGTTCCTAGACGTTCCTCGGAGCTCTTTGATGCCTCAGACCTTTCCCTTTTATCCCTCTTGCTCAGGTGCTTCCTTTCACAACTTTTTCCAGAGGGCAGGCGTCCTAGCTCCAGTTGCTCCATCCCTTGGGCCCTCCCCTGCTCTTCATCTAGCCAAACTGGTTTGAGTCAGCCACACCCCTTCCCAGCTCCCTGGGCTCTTCACGTGGTGGCTGGCCACTCAACCCCACCCCTGGGCTTGGCTTGGAGCCCTGAGTCAGCTCCATCACCACCCAAGCCAAACCAAAGCTGAGGCAGGAGCCGAAACTCAGAGTCCTTCAAGGCCTATAGCCAGGTAAGAGCCCTGTTCATTTTTACATTCTCTGTTCACTCCCTGGGCCCTCCTTGTGTCCTCCTGTTGACTCTGTGCTTACCTCATCTGAGTTATTTCTTTGTATCTACTTCCCTGCAGCTTCTTGGCACACATCATTCTTTGCTCTCTACTTGTCTCGCCCCTTTCACCTTTCCTATCCTTCGTTACTTGGGTTCAGGGAGCCAAGGTGGTTTCATTTTGTCTGGGTTGTAGGGGAATGGTTGGAGATAAGGGTAGAAAGGTGGTTTGATGCCAGGGCCTAGAGGACCTGAGAAGTAGGGAGACAAGAAATGATTAAGTAGGGCATCATTTTGCAGGTTTCTGTGTGGTAATGAGGTCATTTAGACTCAGTGTACTAGTCTGATTGTGTTATGTGGCCTGGGTTAAATTGGAGAGAGGAGGTGGCAGGGAGGCAGCATAGCAGAGGAAGCCCTGACTTAGGGAAGTAAAGTCTTTCTGATGTTTGGTTTTAGTGGTAATAAAGGGCTTACTTGGGTACATTTTCCTTACCTTTCTCCATTCCCATAACTGTTTTCATGTAAAATGGCTGCTTTGCTTGAAACGGGTTGCAGTACCTAGGGTCCTGCTCTCTGACATCTATAATACTCAGGGGGCAGCCTCTTGGGAATTTGGGGGAATTGTAGAGTCCTTTGAAATACAGATTAAAATAACAGATTCATAGCAGCTTTCAAGAGTTTGTATTTTTCCTCCTTCTCGGTGTGCACCTGTCATTTGGCTTCTTCCCACTTGTTGAAACACTAAATAATACAGATAATGCCTTGTCTACACTGGCTTGCTTTCAAAGACTCAGAACCTCAAGCTTAGGTAAAAGGATTCCAGCCACACATTTCCTCTCCTGCTCTGTGAGTCACTAGAGGAATTCCCCAGTAAGGCAACATTCCTGAGTGCCAGGCTAGGCCATGAGAACAGAATGCTCTGAGAGGGGTGGAGTCTGAGCAAGCAAGGCCAAGGGCTCTGTTGTTGGGCTCACAAGTACCTTGACTATCGCCCACAGGTGATGGAGGACGAGGAGAAGGCAGTGGAGATCTTGGGCAACACGGAAGCTGCTCATCCTCCATCCCCCATCCGCTGCTGCTGGCTCCGCCTCCGCTGCTTGGCAGCTACTAGCATTATCTGTGGCTGCTCTTGCCTGGGAGTCATGGCTCTGGTGTTTGCCATCAAGGTGAGGAGTGCAATTCCCATGGGAATGGGGGTGGGTATAAGGCAATGGTTTCATGTATCTGATCTATCTACATTGACCAGTCACTGAATACCTATCAGTGCTCTGGGCCTAGTGCCAGAAATAAGAATAAGACAGGGTTCCTTGTCGTCAGAGGACCCATAATCTAATGAAAGAGGTGACAGTGAAAATGGGTAATTAATAGAATGCAGTTCATCAGTACCGTAATACAGGAAGCACAGGACAGTGTGGGAGCCAGGGAAGATCTATGTATGTAATTATATATGTGTATATGGTAGAATAGGTGACTGGAAAGGCATCCTAGGAGAGGTGACAGGATTAATCTTAAAGGGTGAGTGAGTAAGTGTGGAAGGGCATTCCAGATAAAAGGAGCAGTGTGTACAAAGGCCTGTGGAGCATGACTGGACCAGTGAGGAATAGTGAGAGATGAAGCTAGAGGACCCAGATTCCCAAGGGCCTCCAGTTCTGTGCTTAAGAGTTTTGACTTTATCTTGAAAGTACTGGGGAGGCATTGAATGGCTCCTGCAGGGGAAAGTGACATGGTCAGATTTGAGTTTTAGGAAGATCCACTCTCAAGGCCTACATCGAGGGTGAATTGGAGGGGGCAAGGCTGGAGGCCGCTGAACGGTGATGAGCGCAATCTCTAGGAGTCTGAAAGACACTTGGGTTTTTGAGAGGGCTTCACCATTTCAAAAAGCCTATTAGAAACAGCACATGTCCGCCGGGCGTGGTGACTTAGGCCTGTAATCCCAGCACTTTGGGAGGCCGAGGTGGGCAGATCACGAGGTTAGGAGATCGAGACCATCTAGGCCAACATGGTAAAACCCCGTCTCTACTAAAAATACAAAAATTAGCTGGGCGTGATGGTGCGTGCCTGTAATCCCAGCTACTGGGGAGGCTGAGGCAGGATCATTGCTTGAACCACGGAGTCGGAGGTTGCATTGAGCTGAGATCATGCCACTGCACTCCAGCCTGGTGACAAAGCAAGACTCTGTCTCAAAAAAAAAAAAAAACAAAAAAAAACAGCACATGTCCTTTAGGAAAGGCTACACAGGCTAACTTAAACTTCATGCTGGAATCTTCTCAACCCTAGACATATTTTAACAGTCAGAAACTGTAAGAACTCCTGGGTTCCATTAGGGCAAAATCCTAAAAAGGGCCCTTAATGATAACAAAGAGGCTGGGCGCAGTGGCTCACGCCTGTAATCCCAGCACTTTGGGAGGCCGAGGTGGGCAGATCACTTGAGGTCAGGAGTTCGAGACCAGCCTGACCAACATGGTGAAACCCCGTCTCTACTAAAAATACAAAATTAGCTGGGCGTGGTGGCACGTACCTGTTATCCCATCTATTTGGGAGGCTGAGACACGAGAATTGCTTGAACCTGGGAGGAGGAGGTTGCAGTGAGATTGCACCACTGCACTCCAGCCTGGGTGACAGGAGTGAAACTGTCTCAAAAAAAGAAAAAAAAAAGATGGAAAAGATGAGGCCCATTGGGCTATGAGAATGAGGTGGTGTTTGGGCATGAGTGAAGTTACTCTAGCCTCACTGTTTCTTGCCAATAGTTACAAATTCTGAATCAATCTTGGATAGTTGGAAAGAATGGGGAATAACAGAATTGGAAAGTACTTTCCCATAGGCGATCTTGTGAGCTATGGCCACCCTGAGAAGTAGGCAGGGCCCAGAGATGGGTACCTTATTTTGCAGATGAGAGGTTAGAATCAGAAACTGGAAAGGGAGGTAGAGGGTTTGGATGTGAGATTTTGATCCGTGACAGGGAAGGGGGAGCGGAGTGGGGAAATGGGCACCTTGGGGCAGAAGCAGGGGGAGAACCTAACCAAGAACCTGCCCCCACAGGCGGAAGAGCGGCATAAAGCAGGCCGGTCCGAGGAGGCAGTGCGCTGGGGGGCCCGGGCCCGGAAACTCATCCTGGCCAGCTTTGCTGTCTGGCTTGCTGTCCTCATTCTGGGTCCCCTGCTGCTGTGGTTGCTCTCCTACGCCATCGCTCAGGCTGAGTGACCCTGGATGGCCTCTGCTGAGAGCCAGCCGAGACCTCCTGGATCCTGCAATGCGGCATTGCTAAGGTCCTGTGACAGCAGTGGTTGGAAGGATCCTGGTTGGAAGGATGGGGACTCTCTCAAGGGGCTTTGGAAGAGCTCTTCTAGCCCTTTATAAAAGGAGGGCAGCAGCTGAGACTGATGAGAGGAGGGCAGCCTGCTCTGTTCTTTCAGGGCCCCCCACCCCCATCTCCCCTACCCTAGCCCACCCTAGGGCCTCTACCCAGCGGGAGGGGTTGAAGACCAGGCCTGGTTTTATTAGAATTCATTTTGTAATAAAAGCCTTTTTTAGTGGTGAAATACTCCTGTCTAATTGTTCTCCTCCTGCTTTCCCTTGGGCCCTTGGTGAGAGCCAGACTGGACATCTGACTGATAGCAGAAGCCAGCATCCACCTCATCCAGGAGCTCCAAGAGAAGGAAACAATTTTTATTTTCTTCTTCTGGAAGTTTCCCTTCTTGGAAAGACCCCAGCTTCTCCCTTGTACGTCCACAGAGACTCTGAGGCCAAGAGTAGTAGCAGCTGCTACTATTTATTACTTACTATATTCCAGGCTGTGTTCTAAGCACTTTATATTTCTTAACTTCCTCCAGTTTTCAGTCACTCAGTAGATGTCTGTACTATCATATCCATCATATGAATATATCACATATGATAGGTACCAACTATCTGAGTGAAAACTGGAAGAAATGTTCTAAAATGACAGTGTTCTCGTTTTATACTTGAAGAAACAAACAGATTTGCACAAGGTCCTCAGCTACTAAATGGTAGAGCTGAGACTGAACCCAGACAGTTTGGTTCCAGAGCTGAGAGAGGAGTGAAAGAGTTGGGTAACAGCAACAACCATCCTGTACATGGAGATTTGAGTGATTAAAATGGATTTTCATATCTTTTATCTTGGACCTCATAATATTTCAAATTTTTTTTAAAATTATGAAGTATATCATACATATAGGAAAATACCCAAAACAAGTATACAGTTCATTAACACAAAGCAAACGTGAATAACCACATTCAGTAAAGAAATTGGAACACTGTCAACACTTCAAAGCCTCCTTTATACTCCTCCCAATCACTGCTACTTCCTTTCTTCCCACAGGTAACCACCATTCTGACTTCTAGCAGTGTCATTTAATTTTGTCTGCATTTGAACTTTATATAAATGGAATCATGTATTCTTTTCATGTTAACATTGTGAGATTCGTCAATATTTGGAATAGGTGTAGTTTTCATTGCTGTGTAGTATTCAGTCATATGAATGTATCACAATTTGTCCATTTACTGTTGGTGGACTTTGGGATGTTTGCAGTTTGGGGTTATTATGAGTCATGCCTTTTGGAGTACGTCTGTCCTGGCAAGCACCTTACCATAATTCAGAGTCCAGAAGAGCACCTAAAGGAACTGGAGATGTTGCACACTGAAGAGACTAGAGGGGAAGGAGAGGCACATGATGGCTGTCCTCAGTGTTCCCAAATGCTCCAGGAAGAAGGAAGAGAATAGATTGGTGGTCTCAGAAGTTAGAATTGAAACAGTGGGTAGAAGATAAATATACAGGGCAGTGTTCTCAACATAGCTTCACAGTGGAACCACCTGGAAGCTTTAAAAAGTAGTTAGGCCTGGGCTTTATCCAGACTACATTCTGACTTAATCGGTGTGAGGTACAGCCTTGGCATCAGGATTTCTCAGTTTCCCAATTAATTGTAGTACACATAGTTTGAGAACTACTGCTCTATAGATAAGATTTTATTGTATTCCCTCTGCAATTTCTAAATCAGGAAAAAAGGGTAACACATTTTAGAAAGTGTTTTTGTTTTTTTGTTTGTTTGTTTTGAGAAGGAGTCTCGCTCTGTTGCCCAGGCTGGAGTGCAGTGGCACAATCTCTGCTCACTGCAAGCTCTGCCTCCTGGGTTCACACCATTCTCCTGTCTCAGCCTCCCAAGTAGTTGGGACTACAGGCGCCCGCCACCATGCCCGGCTAATTTTTTGTATTTTTAGTAGACGGGATTTCACCGTGTTAGCCAGGATGGTCTTGATCTCCTGACCTCGTGATCCGCCCACCTCGGCCTCCCAAAGTGCTGGGATTACAGGCATGAGCCACTGCACCTGGCCTGTTCTTTGTTTTTTTTTTTTTTTTTAACTCTTAAGTTCTGGGATACAAGCAGAACATGCAGGTTCGCTACGTAGGTATACATGTGCCATGGTGGTTTGCTTCACCCATCAACCTGTCATCTAGGTTTTAAGCCACCATGCCCTGCTAATTTTCGTATTTTTAGTATAGACGGGGTTTCACCATGTTGGCCAGGATGGTCTCGATCTCTTGACCTCGTGGTCCACCCGCCTCGGCCTCCCAAAGTGCTGGGATTACAGGTGTGATCCACCGCGCCCGGCCCAACGCATAGATCTTAAGTGTGCAGCTTGATTATTATTATTTTTTTTTGAGATGGAGTCTCGCTCTGTCACCCAGGCTGAAGTGCAGTGGTGTGATCTCACTGCAACCTCTGCCTTCTGGGTTCAAGTGATTCTCCTGCCTCAGCCTCCTGAGTAGCTAGGATTACAGGCGTGTGCCACCACGCCCGGCTAATTTTTGTATTTTTAGTAGAAATGGGATTTCACCATTTGGTCAGGCTGGTCTCGACCTGACCTTGTGATCCACCCACCTCAGCCTCCCAAAGTGCTGGTATTACACGCGTGAGTTAACCGTGCCTAGCCGACGAATGTTTTAACGTAAATAAACCTGTGTAGTCAGTCACTCACCACCTATAGGAATATAACATTTGCAGCACATCAGCAAGTTCCCTCATGCTCTTCATTATTATTTTTATCCCCGATATTGACCTATGGAAACCCTTTCAATCTGGTTCCTGTGTCCTTGTGATAAGCCCCGCTCATTAGTAATGTCTGGCACAAATCACTCCAGACTCACCTTGTACTTTCCCTGCTGAAGCCTAGAAATTGGCCATTTCTCCTGAAAAGACTTAGTTCCTTTTATTGGGTACTGTTATTGAGAAATCAGCATCTAGACACTAGGCGTTCTACTGGGAAGTTACTGCTTAGGGCATTCTGAAAGCAGAGGTAAGAGCCAGTAAATAGTTAATGTTATCTACTTTACATCTTTTAAAAATCTTTTTAAAAATTCCAGTCAATCATAGGGTTCTTTCTCCACTTTCCCCATTCCAGATTCCAGATTCCAGATTCCCACAGTTAAGAACCTTGGCTTCCAGTCACATCAATATATTGATTACTCAGCTTCAGAATTATTATCCTGTTATATTACCAAACAACAAATCTAAGTAAAGTTCAAGATTTTTTGCAATTTTGCCTTTAGATTGATGGTATAGAGTCATAGTACTCTATAAAAAGTTACCTGAATTCATTTTTCTTCCCTCATAATTGTAATCCCAAAGTGTCATTTCTAAGATAGCTGTAGGGAGATAAGTTAATTCTTTTCCTCTTTGGCTGGAACATAACCTCCACAGGGTAGGGGTGTGTGTGTTGTTTCATTGCTCTCAGTCTAGTTCCTAGGTCTTAGACGGTCATAAAAATTTGTTAGTGAATGCCAGGTTTGAGCTATGCACTGAGTCACTCCTGGCAGAATCTAACAACCTGGTGGGTTTAGAACAGAGTGTGATACAAGGCTTTTGGGAGAGGGTGGAAGATTGAGAAAGTGTGTAAATCCCAGATAGTAAACGCTAGGGCTTTGGATGTATTTAGGAGGAGTTGAAGCGGACACAGAAAAGGCTTCCTCTGGCATTTTAAGTCCGAACTAAGAGGCCAAGCTGGAGTCCAAGCTGCGTGTGTCCAAATGTTTTAAGGGCTGGAGTGTACTCAGGACAGGCGCTTTGGGCCAGGCTGCTAATATTGAAAAGAGCTTGCTGGGCGTTGTGGCTCAAGCCTGTAATCCCAGCATTTTGGGAGGCTGAGGCGGGAGGATCGCTTGAGCCCCGAAGTTCAAGGCTGCAGTGAGCTATGATCGCGCCACTACACTGCAGCCTCAGCGTGGGCTACAGAGCGAGACCCTGTCTGAAAAAAGAGAAAATGCTGAATTCAGTTAGGGATGCTTGGAGGAGACCGAGGGAACCCTGCTCAAGTCTGGGAACTAGAGGCGCGGGAAGGTCCTGCTTCCCCGCCACCCAGAGATCACGTTTCCCAGTAAACCCAACTTCCGGGTCCCATTCCAGGCCTCCAAGCCCACGTGACAACAAGCTCCGCCCTCTGCTGTCCCGCAGATGCCACTCGGTGATTGGCCGCGTCTGAAGCCGCGCCCCGGCGTCGCGTTGCAGCCTTAGGTCCAGCCGAGCGCCGACTCACGCCCCAGCCCCAATTGGGCGGCCGGTTTCCAATTGGAAGGGCTTCTGAGCCTCAGTCTTCGGGCGGCGCTGACCATTGGCGGGCAGGATGGAGGCGGAGCCTTGGGTTGTCGCCCGCCGCCGGGGGTTAAGGTGAGCGACTGCAGGCAAACCCGGCGACAGCGCAGCTCGCGTCGACCCTGGCTCCTCTGCCTGCCCCCTCAGGTGAGCCTGCGCTAGACCCCCGTCCCCTTCCTGCGCCCGCCCGAATGCGCCTGCGCGGCAACAGCCGCCTGCCCTTGCGCCCCTTCCCCCTGCCTCCTGGGCACATCTCCCCACTCCCCTCCCTGCCCTGCCATCCTCCCGCCCCCAGGCTCTTCTGCGGGGTCTCCCCAGTCCGGGTCCTTCCCCCACCCCCCCCCACCCCCCAGGACCCTGGCGCCCCAGCTGCAAGGGCTGCGCCCCCGGGAGCCGCCATGCGGGTCGTCTCAGAGCCTGTGGGCCTCCCTGCCCTCACTGCCCTCCTCCTCCGCGCAGGCCCCCGCCTCCTTCAGGATGACGCTGGACGTGGGGCCGGAGGATGAGCTGCCCGACTGGGCCGCCGCCAAAGAGTTTTACCAGAAGTACGACCCTAAGGACGTCATCGGCAGGTAAGGCCGCGGCCAGGGAAACGGAGGTCCAAAGAGGTCGAGCCCCAGCATTCCCGCTTCCGTTTGAAGGCTGGAGAGTTCGCGGGTGGTGGTGGTGGTGGTGGTGGTGGTGGTGGTGGTGGTGGTGGTGGTGGTGGTGGTGGTGGTGGTGGTGGTGGTGGTGGTGGTGGTGGTGCTGCTGCTGCTGCTGCTGCTGGTGGTGCTGGTGCTGGTGGTGGTGGTGCTGGTGCTGGTGGTGGTGCTGGTGGTGGTGGTGCTGGTGGTGGTGCTGGTGGTGGTGCTGGTGGTGGTGTGTGTGTGTGTGTGTGTCTTTCGGTGGTGGTGGTGCTGGTGCTGGTGGTGCTGGTGGTGGTGGTGTGTGTGTCTGTGTGTGTGTGTGTGTCTTTCAAGTTCAGGTTTTCTCAGGAGAAGACTGGATAGTTGGTTTTGTTTGTTTGTTTGTTTGTTTTTGAGACGGAGTCTCGCTCTGTCGCCCAGGCCGGAATGCAGTGGCGCGATCTCGGCTCACTACAACCTCTGCCTCCTGGGTTCAAGTGATTCTCCTGCCTCAGCCTCCCGAGTAGCTGGGATTACAGGCGCGCGCCACCACGCCGGCTAATTTATATTTTTAGTAGAGGCGGGCGTTTCACCATATTGGCCACGCTGGTCTTGAACTCCTGATCTCGTGATCTGCCCGCCTCAGCCTCCCAAAGTGCTGGGATTACAGGCGTGAGCCACCGCGCCTGGTTGACTGAATAGTTCTAAATGGGAAGAATCAGTGATCAGTGGAGAACACCTAGTGACTAGACTCTTACCTTGGGTCAACCCCATTTTTTCACGGATTCATTCATTTATGCCTTCAACACAAAGCTCAACACGGGGAGGGCAGAAAAGATGCGTATGCCCTGGAGGTACTCCACCCGAAGTGACTGAAATTGGCACGTGAACGTTAAAAAGGCATCAGGCTAGATAGGTAGAGGTCTGTATCAAGTGCTATGGGATTCCAGAAAAGCACACCTTCTCAGGAGGAGTCACCTTTGGGCTGGGTCTTGAGGTATGAGTAGGAGTTCAGGGGGGGGTCTTTAAAATCGCAAAAATGTATGCGTGTGGTAGATGTCTCCAGCTTTCATCAGATTCTCAAAGAGGCTCATTAAAGCTGGGTCATAATTAAAACATGGCCTCAAACTCAGATGCCCTTAGTGGTTGCGCAGGAAATTGAAACTGTGAAGTGGCCAAGAGTAAGAGAGTAGGAAGTGTTGTGGAAGGTGGAGGGTTTTGCCCCACCTATGATGTATGAATTCAGATTTGTGTAAAAAAATAAAAAAAAAATTGCACCGGCCAAAACGTAACACATCTGAGGGCTGTGTTTGGCCTGTGGATCAATAGTTTACATCCCTTGATTTAACTAGATGTGGGTGGCCGAATTCCCAAGTGAGTTATGTGAGGCCAAGGAGGCCCCAGAGAGCATAACAGTAAGGCTCTGCGAAGGGCAGCCAGGGAACCAGGATAAGAAACAGGATTTGAGGCTGGATCCTGGAGGGATTTGCTCCTTAGTCTGAGGAATGTGTAGGGTCATATGGAGTTGGTGATAGCCTGAGCAAGGAAATCCTTGTCTAGGACTTTGTGTGTGCCTCATGAATGCCCTTCAACATCCCTTCAGGATGCTGTTGGCTGCATTTCACAGCTGAAGTCCAAGAACCTTATGTCAGGGGACCACTTAGGTTAATTGGTAGCAAATCTGGGGTCTGCACTAAGATCTAATTTTCAGCTTTGGTCTTCTAGTCAATGGCTTCCTACTTATTTGGAGCTTCCTACACTTGAGGGAACTTTGGGATTTGGATGGGGTAATCAGGCAAGTGTAAGTGGAATATAGAGGGAGACTTAGATCTTTCTTTCCCCTTCCTGCAAGGAACAGGTGCTGAGGCTCAGTGTGGGAAGGACTTGCCTAGGCTTTCCCATGGAGGAAGTGGCAGAGCCTGGATTTGAACCCAGGCCCTACCTGCCTTCCCTGTGAGCTTTGTGTTGTGCCTTGCTGGGTACTCAGGTTTCTGAGGCTGCTGTGAAGCCAGGGTGAGCTCCTAAGCTTGTTGCCCTGTGATCCAGATGGGTCTTCAGAGTCTGGCACAGCGGGCATGAGGATGCTGAGGCCCCAGCCTGTGCGGAAATGTGAGCACAGAGGCCCTGACTTGTGCTATTTTCCGGCTCTTGCAGAGGAGTGAGCTCTGTGGTCCGCCGTTGTGTTCATCGAGCTACTGGCCACGAGTTTGCGGTGAAGATTATGGAAGTGACAGCTGAGCGGCTGAGTCCTGAGCAGCTGGAGGAGGTGCGGGAAGCCACACGGCGAGAGACACACATCCTTCGCCAGGTCGCCGGCCACCCCCACATCAGTGAGGCTGTCTTCCTTGCTCCTGTTAGCAGACGACCCCCCACCTCCTGCTGGCCCTGCCCATAGCCCACTTCCGCCAACATTGCCTCCACACCTCTCCTCCCTTCATTCCACTAAAGAGTGGCCATCCGTTGGGCGCCCACTGCCTCCTCTGGTTCTCCTTTCTTCCCAGTAACAGCCCGCTGCTGTCCCAGGGTGGCCAAGCCCCGTTAATGTGCATCCACTCCTTTCCATCTCTGTCTCTCTGCCTCTCTTCCTCTCTCCCTAGTCACCCTCATCGATTCCTACGAGTCTTCTAGCTTCATGTTCCTGGTGTTTGACCTGTGAGTATCTCCCTGCCACCATCTGAGAAGCCTCCTCCCCACCTCCATGTATGGCCCAGCATTTGTGGTGCAGTGGGCTGGACCCATCCTGCTCACACCTTCCTGTTCCAGCTGGGGCTCTCTATCACCTGGGCCTGCCTGCTAGCGCATGGCTCTGGCCTTCTCCCTTGGTGCCATGATTGAGGCAAATTCTTTAATAGTGACTAGTGGCTGGGTGCAGTGGCTCACGCCTGTAATCCCAGCACTTTGGGAGGCCGAGGCGGGTGGATCATGAGGTCAGGAGATCGAGACCATCCTGGCTAACACAGTGAAACCCCATCTCTACTAAAAATACAAAAAATCAGCCGGGCGTGGTGGTGGGCGCCTGTAGTCCCAGCTACTCGGGAGGCTGAGGCAGGAGAATGGCATGAACCCGGGAGGCGGAGCTTGCAGTGAGCCCAGATTGCGCCACTGCACTCCAGCGTGGGCGACAGAGTGAGACTCCATCTCAAAAAATAAAGTAATAGTGACCAGCCAGACGTGGTAGCTCATGCCTGTAATCCCAGCATTTTGGGAGGCTGAGGCAGGTGGATCACCTGAGGTTAGTAGTTTCAAGACCAGCCTGGACAACATGGCGAAACCCCGTCTCTACTAAAATACAAAAAATTGGCCAGGCATGGTGGTCGGTGCCTGTAATCCCAGCTAATCGGGAGGCAGGAGAATTGCTTGAACCCGGGAGGCGGAGGTTGCAGTGAGCTGAGTTCGTGCCATTGCACTCCAGCCTGGGTGACAGAGCGAGACTCTATCTCCAAAAAAAAAGAGAGTGTTCAGCAGTGGACTGACCACTTAGAAAATAGATCCTCACTCACCAGCCTCTCGCGCTGCTTAACACGCTAACTATTCTGGTGTCTGTCTCTGCCCATCAGTTCTTTTTCTGGTCAGAATCTGAATGTCCGATGCAATTGGTATAATGCAAACCAACTGCAAAGGTATTTTGAAAGAGAATGATTTGAATTCCAAAGATTTAAAAGAGGCCCTTGGAAAAAATTCATGAAGGCTTCGATATATTTACAGAAATGGCCCTCTGCAAAAGTCAGAGGGGACGTAAGGATGTCTATTATGCCATCCTGCAGCCATGCAGAGTGCCTACACTCCCCAAAACAGCACCTGATAATGTTACTTTGAGGACTGATGCAGAGTGCAAGTATAACCTCAATTTTGAAAGTATTATTTTTAATTGACACATAATTATAACCTCAGCTTTTAAAGACGAAACTTCAAAATAAGGTCCTATTCAACCTTTGTGCCACAAAAAACTGAAATTTTGGTCCATTTTCTTTATAGATTCACTTTGAGAGGCCTTTTTCAGGCATAGTTACTCTCAACAAGAACCTCCTATAAATTATATTGTCACAAGAAGTCTCTTATTTTTGCCATAATTGCCCCATCATGGCATAATGCAGGTATTTCAGCTGCCAACACACCAGGCCAAACTGCCTTGTTGGAGTGCTGTGTTTCTAGACCCTTTGGTTTGTCTGCAGAGATCTATCTTTAGTGGCCTCTTCCACAATATTTTGTATGAGCACTGGTCTGTTTTCTCAGCCCCCACTGTGGGATGCAGCTGCCTCCTATGCCCCTCCTTCCCTTAGGATGCGGAAGGGAGAGCTGTTTGACTATCTCACAGAGAAGGTGGCCCTCTCTGAAAAGGAAACCAGGTAAGGGTTGAGCCTGAAGCCCCAGGGGTGAGCAGGGGGTGGGACAGGGCAGGGAGGAGCCGAGGAGGAGACTGCACCCGCCTCCCCTTCCCCCAGGTCCATCATGCGGTCTCTGCTGGAAGCAGTGAGCTTTCTCCATGCCAACAACATTGTGCATCGAGATCTGAAGCCCGAGAATATTCTCCTAGATGACAATATGCAGATCCGACTTTCAGATTTCGGGTTCTCCTGCCACTTGGAACCTGGCGAGAAGCTTCGAGGTGAGGGGATCTAGTGCCCTAATAGGCTTGGGAGGGGAGACCCAGGCCTGATGAGATTGGTTGGCTGGGTCTGAGTACCAAGTCCCTGGTGCCAAGAAAAAGGGAGAAGTCATTGGGCACTTGCCAAGTATCCTGTGGGCGCAAAGCCTATGTTTACCTCAGAGTGGGCATCCTGACCTGGGAGGATGGAGACAGACAAGCAGGCAGACAGACAGTGGTGCACAGTGGGCAGAGGGCCAGGCCAGGGGAACCCGGAGGAAGGAACGCCAATTCAGCCTGAGCCCCATAGAGGAGGTAAAAAAGGGAGCCACATGTTCAGCCACGTTTGGGGTCTGGAGTGCAGGACCACAAGAGCCTGATGTGATGTGTCCAGACTGCACTTCCCACCTGGGCCCTGGGCCTCAGGTTCACCTGATGTGAATACAGTTGTTGTGACAGGAATGTTTCTACTGCAAATGGGAAACTTCAAATAAAATTCACCTGTGGGATTCTTCAGAGCCTTTAGTCTGCCACTGACTCTCTCCCTCAATGGTTTGTACTAGACTTATGAAAAGCTACCGTTTACTGGGCATTCACCTGTGAGGCAGGCACCAGTCTTTTTTTTTCTTTTTTCTTTTTTTTTTTTTGAGACAGAGTCTCACTCTGTCACCCAGGCTGGGATGCAGTGGCATGATCTTCACTCACCGAAATCTCCACCTCCTGGGTTCAAGCTATTCTTCTGCCTCAGCCTCCCAAGTAGTTGGGATTACAGGTGCCCACCACTACGCCTGGCTCATTTTTGTATTTTTAGTAGAGATGGAATTTCACAATGTTGGCCAGGCTGGTCTTGAACTCCTGACCTCAAGTGATCCTCCTGTCCCAGCCTCCAGAAGTGCTGGGATTACAGGTGTGAGCACTGTGCCTTGTCGGCACCAGTCTTTATATGGCTTATTCCCCTAAATCCTCTCCACAGCCCTGTGTGACAGACAGTATTTGTGTCTCTTTTTTTATAGATTGGCTCAAAGAGGTGAGATGACTGCTCTAGGGTCCTAATGCTAGGATTTGAACTTGGACAGTCTGACTCCAGAGTTAATACTCTTAACCTGTGGACCCACATGTCTGGTGGATGTTGTACTTTAAAACCCTTTGGCTTCCACATGTACTTTTCCCGTTTGTGGAATCATCTTTGCCTCTGCCCACTGCATCCTCTCCTTGGCTTGGGTAATTCAGGCTTCACTTTAAACCTCCAGGGCAGCTTAGGTCCCCTTGCTTTCTGTTCTCCCATCTTCTTCATTCACAACACGTCTTACTGTATTGTTATTTCTCACTTGCCTTCAGGTAGACAGTGAGCTCGGTAAGGGCTCATCTCATTTGCCACTTGGCAAATCAGTGCAACTTGGCATTCAAGAAATACTTGGTGTAGGAATGAATTTCCCAACAAAGTCAGTTTCAATTCGGGGCTGTTAAAATCTCCTGGAAGTGTGCCATGGAACAAGGTTCAGAAAGTACTGGAAGAATTGGTGCCCGAGTGGTAGAACAAACTAAAAATACAGACTTGAGCCAAGCGTGGTGGCACGCATCTGTCACCCCAGCTACTCGGGAGGCTGAAGGAGGAGGCTCACTTGAGCCTAGGAGCCCAAGGCTACAATGAGCTGTGATAGTGCCACCACACTCCAGCCTGTGTGACATAGCGACCCTGTCTCTAAAAATAAATAAATATAAAAATACAGACTTGGATAAAGTTTTGGAGGGCTCTGGACTTTAGAACTGTAGATTTGATCATGTGTCATGATGTGGAATCAGGGAAGGGTTTTAAACAAAGGACTTACCCATTATGTGCTTTAAGAAATCCCATAGCTCGCCGGGCGCGGTAGCTCACGCCTGTAATCCCAGCACTTTGGGAGCCCGAGGTGGGCGGATCACGAGTCAGGAGTTCAAGACCAGCCTGGCCAACACGGTGAAAGCCTGTCTCTACTAAAGATTCAAAAAATTAGCCAGGCGTGGTGGCACGTGCCTGTAATCCCAGCTACTCGGGAGACTGAGGCAGGAGAATCGCTTGAACCCAGGAGGCGGAGGTTACATTGAGCCGAGATCATGCCATTGTACACCAGACTAGGCGACAGGGCAAGACTCCATCTCCAAAAAAAAAAGAAAAGAAATTCCTTATCTCCACTTCTTCCCCTTGGGTTGAGTGATAGTTGGAGATTATAGGAGGAGGAAGAGGTTTGGGCAGATAGGAATGCAGAAAATTTTTTTTTGCGTATGTATTATGATGTATGTAAAAATACATAATCTTTCCATATGCATTATGATATATATAAAACTAAGGTAACAAGTTGTGAGGAGTGGGTAGGTTGGCTTGGATAGTGGGTAGGTAGGGTTGGAGGAGGCAAATGATATGGTGGAACAAGGACCTTGAAATCAATCCAAAACCCAGGTTTTCCTAGGAAGGCCACCAGGAGCCATGGTGAGCCAACTGTTGCGCAGGGATAGTGCCTCAGCAGGAGACTTGGCAGAAGGCAGACAGAAGGAAGATGGGAACACTGGTAGTCCTGGCAGCGTTGAGGAGGCTCCAGCAGAGATCCAGTGCTAAGGGCCCTAGAGGGGCTGGTGGCATCCCCTCAATCTTGGTCCTCTCTCCCCAGAGTTGTGTGGGACCCCAGGGTATCTAGCGCCAGAGATCCTTAAATGCTCCATGGATGAAACCCACCCAGGCTATGGCAAGGAGGTCGACCTGTGAGTTCCTGGTCTCCCCCTCCCTCCCGTGCTTGCTGTCCTTTGCTGGGTCTGCCCGTCACCTAGTCCCGCCTGACTCCAGTCTCTTTCCCAGCTGGGCCTGTGGGGTGATCTTGTTCACACTCCTGGCTGGCTCGCCACCCTTCTGGCACCGGCGGCAGATCCTGATGTTACGCATGATCATGGAGGGCCAGTACCAGTTCAGTTCCCCCGAGTGGGATGACCGTTCCAGCACTGTCAAAGACCTGGTGAGCGGGGGCTGAGAGGACAGTAGGGGAGGCCCAAGAGCTGCCCCTCATGCTCTGGGTCTCTCCTAGATCTCCAGGCTGCTGCAGGTGGATCCTGAGGCACGCCTGACAGCTGAGCAGGCCCTACAGCACCCCTTCTTTGAGCGTTGTGAAGGCAGCCAACCCTGGAACCTCACCCCCCGCCAGCGGTTCCGGGTAAGCCTGAGTGTATCAGGGTCTGGGCCCGTTTCTCTGTCCCATGATCTTTCCCCTGCACTAGAGCTCACCCTGCCCCCCTTCCCAGGTGGCAGTGTGGACAGTGCTGGCTGCTGGACGAGTGGCCCTAAGCACCCATCGTGTACGGCCACTGACCAAGAATGCACTGTTGAGGGACCCTTATGCGCTGCGGTCAGTGCGGCACCTCATCGACAACTGTGCCTTCCGGCTCTACGGGCACTGGGTAAAGAAAGGGGAGCAGCAGAACCGGGCGGCTCTCTTTCAGCACCGGCCCCCTGGGCCTTTTCCCATCATGGGCCCTGAAGAGGAGGGAGACTCTGCTGCTATAACTGAGGATGAGGCCGTGCTTGTGCTGGGCTAGGACCTCAACCCCAGGGATTCCCAGGAAGCAGAACTCTCCAGAAGAAGGGTTTTGATCATTCCAGCTCCTCTGGGCTCTGGCCTCTGGCCTCAGGCCCACTAATGATCCTGCTACCCTCTTGAAGACCAGCCCGGTACCTCTCTCCCCACTGGCCAGGACTCTGAGATCAGAGCTGGGGTGGAAGGGAGCCATTCTGAACGCCACGCCTGGCCCGGTCAGTGCTGCATGCACTGCATATGAAATAAAATCTGCTACACGCCAGGGAGAACAGGTGTCCTGTGTCTGTCTGGCTTGGGCAGGAAAGCCCAGAAGGTGCTCAGCAGGGTGCAGGGATGGTGCCATTCTGGCCCAGACCTTTATTGGGGAAAATGTTGGGGGTCACTTGGTCTTGCTCTTGCCTTTACCCGGAGGTAGCTGGAAGGGCCGCTCTAGTGCAGTCAACTTGCTGCTGAGCCTTTCCTCGCTGGCCTTGAGCCGCTCCTCCACCAGCCCCTGGAGCTGCTCCAGCTCTTTGTTCACTTGGGTCTTGATGTAGGCTCGGAGGACGTGGATGTGGCCTGCAGGGGCAGGGAAGAAGGGGCAGGGTGAGGAGAGATGCTGTCTGGCAATGGGGGGATGGTCCCTAGTTGGGCAAACAGTCCCCAAATTTCCCCTGGTGGGGATATAGAGGTAGCAATGTTGTTTCCCTTTAGGAAATGTTAGCAAGCCCTTGTGTGAGAGGTAGTTGGGTAGGGTGGCTATGCTGGACTTTGCAGCTTCAAATTCTGATCCCTACTCAGTAGCTGTGTGACCTTAGGCAGGTTATTTAACCTATCTGTGCCTCAGTTTCCTTGTATGAAATGTGGATAGTGATACCTAGCACATAGGATTGAGGGAGGATTAAATGAGTTAATTTATGTAAAATGCTTAGAGCAGGGCATGCACTGCACACCTATTGCCAAGTATGTGCTGGCTGTTATTGTCATTGGCTTTCTCTTTTTTTTTTTTTTTTTGAGATGGAGTCTTGCTTTATCCCCCAGGCTGGAGTGCAGTGGCAGCGATCTCAGCTCACTGCAAGCTCTGCCTCCCAGGTTCATGCCATTCTCCTGCCTCAGCCTCCCAGTAGCTGGGACTACAGGCACCCGCCACCACGCCCGGCTAACTTTTTGTATTTTTAGTAGAGACGGGGTTTCACAGTGTTAGCCAGGATGGACTCGATCTCCTGACCTCGTGATCCGCCTGCCTCAGCCTCCCAAAGTGCTGGGATTACAGTTGTGAGCCACTGCACCTGGCCTGTTCTTTGTTTTTTTTTAACTCTTAAGTTCTGGGATACGAGCAGAACATGCAGGTTTGCTACGTAGGTATACATGGGCCATGGTGGTTTGCTTTACCCATCAACCCATCATATAGGTTTTAAGCCACCGTCATTGGCTTTCTAATGATCATTTCTCTGGAGCCACTTCAGCTGTGCTTTTTGTTTGTTTGTTTGTTTGTTTTGAGACAGAGTCTTGCTCTGTTGCCCAGGCTGGAGTGCAGTGGCCAGATCTTGGCTCACTGCAGTCTCCACCTCCTGGGTTCATGCAGTTCTCCTGCCTCAGCCTCCTGAGTAGCTGGGACTACAAGCGCGCACCACCATGCCTGGCTATTTTTTGTATTTTAGTAGATAGGGGGTTTCACGGTGTTGCCCAGGCTGGTCGCGAACTCCTGAGCTCAGGCAATCCGCCTGCCTCAGATTGTGCTGGGATTACAGGTGTGAGCCACCACGCCTGGCCTGCAGCTGTGCTTTTATCTGTCATCTTGGACTTCTGCATAAGGGATCATTTAGAGAAAGGACTCTGACTAAAAACAAAAAGTCTGAAGTCCTGATGTCATCCAAACCCTTCATTCTACACCTGCTCAGAGGGACAGGGCAGCCTGCCCTCTCCAGATCCTCACTTGGCTCTGGCTCTGGTGGGGCCACTGTCTCTAGTTCCTCTTTCTGCGGGGTAACTGCCTGCTCCTCCATCTCCTTGCTTTCTTCTTTCTCTGCAAACCAGAAGCAGGAAGAGACTGTGGCCCCAGGCCTGGCCCAGCCCAGCCCTGCCCTGGCACTCTCCCTTACCCGTCTCACTCTCTGGCCACAGTTTGGGTGGCTGTAGCCCCATGTAAGTCAAAGACAGATCCAGCCGCACCTGGGAAGCAAGGCAGAGGGAGGCTGAAAGGAGTGCACCTGTGCTGAGGGGAGGGGCGGTTGAGGGTGGCTCCTCATGGTCCACCACCCCCTACCTGGGGTGTGAAGACGTATTTATAGAGCTTGAAGTGGCGGAAGTAAGTGTTGACCACGTAGTCTTCCAAGGCCAGCAGCTGTTCCTCTTTGAAGAGGTCGATGCTGAAAGGAGGCCGCTGTGGTGGTGACTCGGAATTAGAACCCTGACTACCTTCCGGAGCCCTGGCTTTGCCTCCAAAAGCCCAGCAACAGGAGCAAGGAGAGCCCACTGGGGTCTTCACAAGAAGATAAGGGTGATGAATGTGAGAGAGACTGGGTGAGACCTTGTCTGGGGATGGGTAAAGTTTCCAGAATGTTCCAGGGGAACTGACCCTGACTCCATGGCAAAAAAGGACACTGGTGAAGTAGCGGTAGCACTCCTCCACGTTGCCCAAGGGGGTTGCTGGTAGGGAAAGCAAGATGCAGCAGTGAGGCCCTCTCTGGTATCCATTCATTCACTTCACTCAACAGCTGTTTATGACCATGAGCTTCAGAAGCAGACAGATCTGGGTTTCAGCACTGGCTTGTTTCCTTAACTCATGTAACAAATACTGAATACCCACTATATGCCCACTGTATGGTTTTCGGCACTGAACAAGACAGACAAGGTCCTGCCCTTACGAAGCTTATATTCTAGGGGAATAAACCAAGAAATAGATCATTTCAGCTATTAAACATTCTGAAGCAAGAGCTATTAAACATTCTAAAGCAGGTGTTATTGTGCACTATGCATATATTTGCATATATTATTTCTCAGAACAGTCCTGTAAAATGTGTGCTGTATCCTTAATTTCTAGATAAGGAAGCAGTGGATTGGAAAGCTGATGGCTTGTGTATGATGATGCTACTAATAATGACATATTCCAGGCAGAAATCCCCTGCTTCTGCTTCCCATGGTCACTTGTGCCAGGCCCGGTTCCTCTTCTCCCTGGGGCTCAAACCTGGTAGCTGCCCCCTCTCACCAATACAAGCCTTGTGAAGATCCTGGAGCAGGGCACAAGCCGCTGACGTCTGCTCCAGTGAGAAGCCCTGCTGGCGGCAGAAAATGAGCGCGTGGCAGAAGAGGTCCAGGGTGATGGCGTCCCTCAGGCTCTGCTCAGGACACCCTAGCTCCAGCAGCTCAGCCAGCACCCTTGGGAGGGAGAGAGGAGTGAGTGACAACTGGGCCTCCTTTCATCACCCTACACCCACCACATGCTTTGGAGTCAGCCATTCCTCATGTTTTCCCAACCTGACCCCTCAGCCTTTGCCAAGAGCTCTTCCCACGCCCCCCTCAGTCCCTACTCCCTCATCTCAGCATTGGTGGTCTTCTCCAGCTGGTGCATGGAATGGACGTCCAGGTACTTCCTGTTATAGTAAAAGAAAAAGAGTATTGGTGGCCGTTACCTATCATGACAAGGCTGTGACAGCTAGTGCGTGAGACTGGGAGTTGGCCACCGGCGTGAAGCTGGGCTCTTTTGCCAGCTTGCTGTGTGACTATGCAAATCGTTAACTCTCTGGGCCTAAATGAACTCTTATGAGCCTCTCCATTTCTAAAGCCTAGGGTTAGGAATCTTGAATTCTTTTTTCTGCTCTGCCACTACCTTGTATGACCTTGGTCAAGTACTCCCTGTGGCCCTCAGTGTCCCCCTCTGTACAATACTCCTTAGCGGCCATGAGACTCCATTTACATTCTGTCTTTGGCTCTTTTTTTCTCACACTGCCTCCTCTTTGGACTGGAGAGGCTGGAAAGCCAACTTCCAGTCACCTGGAGTAATTGCATCTCCAGGCCTCAGTCTCATCTGTAAAATGGGGATGCCCTGGCCACAGACAGGACTGTTGGGGAGACAATAAAGAACGCAAATATTCAGTGTAATTTTTGTCTCTTCACACTCACCACATGCAGATCCGGGGTCGGGGCAGCGGCGGCTGCGGAAAGAAAGCGAATTGGGGAAGGCAGCTGCGGTGTCCTGGCCCGTAGCGAATCTCCAGCAGGCCGGAGAAGCCGCTGTAACTTGCCATCTCATCTCAAGGACTAAGGAGAGGCGCGGGCGAGGGAGGGCTTCAGCAGGCCCTAGGTGCTCTACGCGAGCACAGTAACCACCGGGGTCACACACCCCTGCCTCTCCTCGCCCAAGCAGCCCGGGAGACGTCCCGAACGTTAGTAAGCATAATGACAGGTGGCGCCTGCGGGGGAGCCGGTTTATAAATATTCACGAGCAGACCAGACTGTCCCGCCCTCACCGGAAACAAGTTGGCTCCGGGGTCTTCATCCGCTTTCGCCGCCGCCGCCGTCGTCCACTGAGTCCGCACACTCGCACGCGTCCGCGCGGCCGACCCATGCACTGAGCTGCGATCCTTCCCCGCTTCCCGCCGCAGCTCGGAGAGATGTTCAAGCTCCGACTGCACCCTCATTCCCAAAAAGTGGCTGGTCTTGCGGTTGAGCATCTCGCCGCTCTTCCGTGCCGCGAGGCGCCCCGGGCTCCCGCCGCCTAGGTTCCAGGACAGCCAGCGCTCGGTCGGCGGCTACCAAGGCCGGGCCCGTTCGCCTCGCTCCGGCCAATCTACGCGCGGAGAGGCGCGGCGGGGCGAATCCGTGGGGGCGTCTCCCTCCGTCTCAACGGCGACGGTTGCCAAGGGGGCTTGTGAGGGAAGGAAGGCGGAAAGCGCAGGCTCACGCCAGTGGGAGCGAAGAGAACGCGCAGATACGTGAGAAGTTGCGAGTGCCCACCTGGGCGCCCTCTCTTCCAGGTTGCTAATACGAGGGCCGGTGCTGTCCTCCAGGCTGGGAAGTGGGAGCGCGGTGTCAGTTACTATGGGAACTGCCTCTTGGCCAATCACCGAGAGAAAGAGGAGGTGTTTGGGAAGAAGCCAGAGGACCCGAGTGGCGGGACCAAGCGTAACCAATAGAAGCAGAAGATAAAGAAGTTTCCTCACATCCGGGGCTGCCTTTGGCGCCTGCGCCCTGCGCACCGTTGGGGGGGGGGCAGTGGCGTCCAGTGACGCCCAGTGACGTCCGGTGAAATCCAAGATGGCGGCGCTAGGCTGACCCTCCTGCTGGTGAGGGCTCTGGCGCCGGGGGGGACGGGATCCAGCAGGTGTGTGCAGGGTGGAGGGTGTTTGGGGCTGTGGAACACCAGCCGTTCCCACATCTCTGCTCTGTGTCTTCTGCAGGTGACGGAAGTACCGCCTCCTCCCGTTTGACGCCCCTCAGGGGACCCTGCATCGCTCCAGCCGCCGCGGCCATGTCTGGGCCAGGCAACAAACGCGCCGCCGGCGACGGGGGCTCAGGGCCCCCGGAAAAGAAGCTGAGTCGTGAGGAGAAGACCACCACGACTCTTATCGAGCCCATTCGTCTTGGAGGCATCTCTTCCACGGTTCGTGGGCTCTTGCCTTAACCCTCAGAACTTCCCAGAGCCCTCCCTCTGTTCTCTGGCCAAACTGTGCGGAATCTTACACCCACTTCCCCAAGTTTAGCAAGGTCCGCGTTACAGGACCTTGAAAGAAAGGTTAGAAAGAAGCTCAGAACACGACGCCTGTCTTCCCTTTACAGATAGGAAAACAGGTTTCCAGGGGGCGTGTGACTTGTCAAAGACTAAGGATTTACAAGGGGACAGGCAGAAACAACGTGAGCCTCCTCACAACAAAGACACTTTCGCTGTGTGTTGTCTGAGCCTCCTTAGATTCTGTTAGCGGTTAGT
The DNA here is from genome assembly GCF_000001405.40 of Homo sapiens. NCBI lineage: Eukaryota > Metazoa > Chordata > Mammalia > Primates > Hominidae > Homo > Homo sapiens. Next base: position 30,763,002 of record NC_000016.10, read on the forward strand.
GTGGGAATACCTCCATCTCCCATGCATTGCAGATGCTCTGCTCCTCTTTCTCTCTCTGTGATTGGTTTGTGGGCCCTGCTTGACGCTCTCGTCGGCCCCTTTGTTTCCTTTGGTAGGAGGAGATGGACCTGAAGGTACTACAGTTCAAGAACAAGAAACTGGCAGAGCGGCTGGAACAACGGCAGGCTTGTGAAGATGAACTCCGAGAACGAATTGAGAAGTTGGAGAAGCGGCAGGCCACAGATGATGCCACACTCCTCATCGTCAATCGCTACTGGGCCCAGGTGGATACCTTCTGCTTTCAAAGACCAGGCCTTGATTCAGCTGCCAATCCCCAGATTCCCCTGCTAGGAAAGGAGTATCATGTTGGAAAGCACTAAGGGATTCATAACATTTTTGATGTTTTCTCCTTCCAGCTGGATGAAACTGTGGAAGCCCTTCTCCGATGCCATGAGAGCCAGGGGGAGCTGTCTTCAGCGCCTGAGGCACCTGGGACCCAGGAGGGGCCAACATGTGATGGGACTCCTCTCCCAGAGCCGGGGACATCAGAGCTGAGAGGTAGGACCAGAGTGCTGGGATCTGGGGAGCTTAAGTTCTGGGAGAAGTCCTGGGGAGGAGGGGACTTTGGTGTTGGGCCCCTGAATTGCCTATCTTACTACTTCTCACGAAATGGATTTCATGTTTGGGCAGTAAAGTGCAGTGCACAAAAACACAGGCTTTAGACTCTGACTAACTTGGTTTATAGAGCAATTCATGTTTTGACACCCATTTGTTTCAAAACAGTATTATGGTTGAGTATTAAATATGTATTTGACGCTTCCTAGAAATGAGTGTTGCACTTGCTATAAGGGAGGAAATTATAAACATAGTAAGCAGAAAGTACTGGGGCTCCTGAAACGGAATGATTGTGTGTGCATGCATGTGCGTGTGATTCTAATTATATTGGTAAAGTACAGGAAGCTTCCCTGAGGATGTGATACGCAACTCTGTAGCTTTGAGGAAATTACTTTACCTCCCTGAATTTCATTTGTCTCACTTTCAGGATGGAGATAATAGTGCACTATAGGTTGTGTTGATTAAGTGAACCATGAGTATTGAAGGGCTCAGTCTGGAACTTGGTACAGAGTGGTAGTAACTGCTGCTCTTATCCTCATGAGGGTCTGTCCATTCCTTCCAGACCCCTTGCTGATGCAGCTGCGGCCCCCTCTCAGTGAGCCGGCCTTGGCTTTTGTGGTGGCACTGGGTGCCAGCAGCAGTGAGGAGGTGGAGCTGGAGCTGCAAGGCCGAATGGAGTTCTCCAAGGCAGCTGTGTCTCGTGTGGTAGAGGCCTCAGACCGCCTACAGCGCCGGGTGGAGGAACTCTGTCAGCGAGTGTACAGCCGAGGTGGGTTCTTTGTGCCCATACTGAAGGGGTGTCCATCCCCACCTGCATCTTGATGGCACCCCTTCCTGATTCCCCTAATGCCCGAGTCCAAGGGCGGCCAGAATTTCCCAAGGAATAAATCAGCCATGTTCTTGGAAGAGGTAGGTTAGGCTGTAGATGGGGGTTCCAACTTTGATTCCGGGATTGAATGCTAGAGAGATGGGTTGGAGGAGTTGTTGATGCCGGTAGAGGCTCCTGGCCAGAGGCCCCTCTGGAGCACTTGGTGTGGGTTGCGGATCCACAAGGCATAGCTTCAAGGGCTCAGGCCTTGTAGGTTGACAGGCTTCTCCCACCTTAGTTCTGCCACCCTCACCTGGACATGCTGGGAAAGTGGCTCCCCTCTCTGAGCTGGTTTCCTTCTCTGTGCAGTGGGGATAAAGACTCCTGGCTTTGTCATGAGAAATGGGCAAGACAGCTGGTGGATCACACTGGGTATATAGCAGACTCCAGAATGAGTTAGTTGTTTGCCCCATTGCCCTGAGCTGGGCTCTTACCTGGGCCCTGCCTTCCCAGGGGACAGTGAGCCCCTCAGTGAGGCGGCTCAGGCACACACCCGAGAGCTGGGCCGTGAGAACCGGCGACTGCAGGACTTGGCCACTCAGCTGCAGGAGAAACACCACCGCATCTCATTGGAGGTGAGGAGCCGGGGGCTTTGGGGGTGTGATTAGAATCAGGCAGGATTTGGGTTAGATGGGCACTCAGGGACCTCAGGAACCAAGTCCCCCATCCAAGCATCTGCTCCCTCATTGTTCCCAGTACTCCGAGCTCCAGGATAAAGTGACATCGGCAGAGACCAAGGTGCTGGAGATGGAGACAACAGTGGAGGACTTGCAGTGGGACATCGAGAAGCTGCGGAAGCGAGAGCAAAAGCTCAATAAGCACCTGGCAGAGGCCTTAGAGCAGGTGGGGCAGGGGTGCTGGGGCAGGTGAGGCAAGGCTGGGCCCTTGGGCCTTAGCTCCTCCCCTCTACATCCATTGCCTGTCTGTTTTCTCTCCACAGCTTAACTCTGGCTACTATGTATCTGGGAGCTCCTCAGGCTTCCAGGGGGGCCAGATCACACTCAGCATGCAGAAGGTGAGCGGCGTTTTCCTCCCACCCCTTCTCACAACCTCTTCTCTGTTGCACTCTTGAAATTCCCCTCAGGACAAAGGACAAACATCCATCTCTGAGGCCCTTCCTGGTCACTCCTGCTGCTCTTTTTTTCATGCATTCATATACTTGTTGAGTAGATTTTTGAACACTTAGTGCTAGGCACTAGGCATATTGGCGAGAACAAAATAGAGGTCAAAACTTTCATGGACCAGACAAGAAATAAATAAAAGAATATATCTTTAGGTTCTACTTGTGGTAACAGACAAGAAATCAGTAAAATAGCATATCAGTGTGTTATGAGTACCACAAAGATAAAGCACAGAAGAGAGAGCTAAGAGTGAGTTGGAGTCAGTTGGCATCTGGTGGTCACTGTGCCCTTTTTCCCTTTATTAGCACTTTAGGCCTTTCTGGAATGCCTTCCGTGACTCCCCATCAGTTAAGAGCCTTAGTTCCCAGCACCGACCATGCAGTATTGAATTTTCTCCCATTTTTCTGGGAGCCCTTAGGAAAGTACTTGGTTTGGGGTGTCAGAATCGATCATTGCCCTGCACGGGGTGCTTGGGGTGGAGTGTATGCTGGGGATGTAAGGGAGGCCTGCTGCCACGTCTGGCCCTGCCTCCCATGGCCCTGCCTCCCACTCCTTAGTTTGAGATGCTGAATGCAGAGTTAGAGGAAAACCAGGAACTGGCCAACAGCCGTATGGCAGAGCTGGAGAAACTGCAGGCCGAACTTCAGGGGGCTGTGCGGACCAATGAGCGCCTCAAGGTGGGCTGCTGTAGGGGCTGAGAGGTCCTGGGCCTGTAAGGGAGGGACTGAGCCCTGAATCCTGTTGCTGATCCCATTTGGGCATCCCTGCCCCAGGTGGCCCTGCGGAGCCTTCCTGAGGAGGTAGTGCGGGAGACGGGGGAGTACCGCATGCTGCAGGCCCAATTCTCACTGCTCTACAACGAGTCTCTGCAAGTGAAGACCCAGCTAGACGAGGCTCGGGGCCTGCTGCTGGCCACAAAGAACTCCCACCTGCGACACATCGAGCACATGGAGGTATGGCCCTGGAACAGGCGTTAGGGCTGGGCTAAGGGCCAAACCGTTAGTGTTGACGTGTTTGTGCCTTCCGAGGCCCTGTGTGCCAGCCAGGGGTCCCTGGGGAATAGATTCTTCCTAAGATACTGAGTCCTGAGGTGGGACCGAGGGGCTGTGTGGGTCCTTAACACATCAACCCACAGAGCGACGAGCTGGGGCTGCAGAAGAAGCTACGCACAGAGGTCATTCAGCTGGAGGACACGCTGGCCCAGGTACGCAAGGAGTATGAGATGCTGCGCATCGAGTTTGAGCAGAATCTGGCGGCCAACGAGCAGGCGGGTATGTGGTGAGGATAGGGCGGAGGTGGGGCCTTATCTGGGAGTGCTGGGCCCTGGTGTGGGGCTGCTGCTTATCCAGATGCAAGAGGCTAAGGCCTTTTTTTTCACAGAGCCTCGGCTTCCTATGCAAAACAGGGCCTGCACTGCTTGGCTCCCAGGCACAGTGAGGGTCCGCCAGCTGGGGTGGCTGATGGAGCAGGCACATGCAGAGTCTGAGCTGTCAGCCCTGTCCTCATTCTTCTGGTCTGATGACGTCTCTGTCTCTCAGATACTTGTGTTACAAAGATTTATCAAATGCCACCTCTGAGCCAGGCTCTGTTCTAGGGTTTGGGGTTATGCCAGTGAACAAAACAGAATTCCTGCCATGTGGAGCAACATTCTGATAGAAGACAGACTAGAGGAAGACGAACTAGTAGAAGAAAAATGGAAAATGTGTTAGCTCTTGACAGATAGGAAAGTAAAGCAGAAAAGGAAGATAGGAAGTATCAGGAGAAAGGGTGTTGCAATTTTGAATAGGAGGCCAGGGAAATGTACTGGGAAGGTGATATTTAAGAATCTAGAAGAAGTTAACTAACTTTTGTGAATGTTACAGTTACCTTCTCTATTAAAGGGAATTGGATGTATAAAAAAAAAAAAGAAAAAACCTAGGCCAGGTGTGGTGATTCATGTCTGTAATCCCAGCACTTTCGGAGGCCAAGGTGGGAGGATCACTTGAGGCCAGGAATTTGAGACCAGCCAGGGCAACAAAGTGAGACACTGTTTCTATTTAAAAAAAAAACAAAAAACCCCACATATTCTATATTAGCAAAAATCGTATGAATAGGCAGTGTCAAGTTAATTTTGGGTGAGTTTCCTTGAAGTCAGCATTATTTACTTTGATGAGTTCATGCTCCGTTGAGGCCGCAATGTTCCCCTCCTGCACAGTGGGAGTGATGGCATAGCCTCTTACCCCACTGAGGGGTTGGAGTCCTAACCCAGGAACTGGTTCTGACACCTTTACTTGCTGATGCTCCTCCAGGGCCCATCAACCGTGAGATGCGCCACCTGATTAGTAGTCTTCAAAACCACAACCACCAGCTAAAAGGGGACGCCCAGCGATACAAGCGGAAGCTTCGAGAAGTACAAGCTGAGATTGGCAAGGTGAGAAGGGGCCTGCCTGGGAAAAGGTTTGGCTAGACTCCAGTGAACACCATCTGACTTCATCCCTCTTCCTCTCTGCCTTTGCAGCTCCGGGCCCAGGCCAGTGGCTCTGCCCACTCCACCCCCAACCTGGGCCACCCAGAGGATTCTGGCGTCAGTGCCCCAGCCCCAGGGAAAGAGGAGGGTGGGCCAGGCCCTGTCAGTACCCCCGACAACAGAAAGGAGATGGCTCCAGTGCCTGGCACCACCACTACTACCACTTCAGTGAAGAAGGAGGAGCTGGTCCCCTCTGAAGAGGACTTCCAGGGTATAACCCCTGGGGCCCAGGGCCCTTCCTCCCGGGGCCGAGAACCTGAGGCCAGGCCCAAGCGGGAGCTTCGGGAACGGGAAGGTCCCAGCCTAGGACCTCCACCTGTAGCCTCCGCTCTCTCAAGGGCTGATCGGGAGAAGGCCAAGGTGGAAGAAACCAAGCGGAAGGAATCAGAACTCCTCAAGGGTCTCCGAGCAGAGCTCAAGTGAGGCTCTGTTCCTGTCTCCTTCCTGACCCTGCCAGGTGGCCTCCAGTCCCACTCACTAAGACTTCCTCCTGTACCTTCTTGCCAGGAAGGCCCAGGAGAGCCAGAAGGAGATGAAACTGCTGCTGGATATGTACAAGTCAGCGCCCAAGGAGCAGCGGGATAAGGTGCAGCTCATGGCAGCGGAACGCAAGGCTAAGGCCGAGGTGAGGGCAGCTGGGGCTTGTGGGGCATTCAGAAAGGCAGAGCAGAGTCCTAGCTCAGCAGGAAGCAGTGTCAAGAGAGTTTCTTCTTCCCTGTGCTATAGGTTGATGAGCTGCGGAGCCGCATCCGGGAATTGGAGGAGAGGGATCGAAGGGAGAGCAAGAAGATCGCGGATGAGGATGCCCTGCGGCGCATTCGGCAGGCAGAGGAGCAGATAGAACACCTGCAGCGCAAGCTGGGTGCCACCAAGCAGGTGCGGCCCATGTGGTGCCCTCGCGTCGGAGCGCAGGGAGTTCCCTTCATACCCTGTTTGGTGCCTCTAGTGCCTGCAGGACCTTGATGATCTGGGTCCCCTCTGTAGTTCTTTGCTTCGCTGCGTTTTCCCATGGTTCCCCCACAGCCATCCTGTCCACTTCCCACGTTCCATCTTGTCTCTGCCCACTTGCTGCAGGAGGAGGAGGCTCTGCTCTCAGAGATGGATGTGACAGGTCAGGCTTTTGAGGACATGCAGGAACAGAACGGGCGGCTGCTACAGCAGTTGCGGGAAAAGGATGATGCCAACTTTAAGCTAATGTCAGAGCGGATCAAGGCCAACCAGATTCACAAGCTGCTGCGGGAGGAGAAGGATGAGTTGGGCGAGCAGGTCCTTGGCCTCAAGTCCCAGGTATGGCCGCCGCCAGCTTGCAGACTGGAGCTGGAGAGGTGGGGGTCATGGCCCTGAGTCCTCCTCTGGTCCTTAGGTGGATGCCCAGCTGCTGACTGTGCAGAAGCTAGAGGAGAAGGAGCGAGCCTTGCAGGGCAGCCTCGGGGGTGTGGAGAAGGAGCTGACGCTGCGCAGCCAAGCCCTGGAGCTCAACAAGCGGAAGGTGAGGCTGGGCCAGGGGGACACACAGCTTGGGCTGCTGGCTCACCTCCTCACCTTCCGGTTCTGCTCAGAGCACCCGATGCAATAGCCTGAGGTGAAGCCAGGCTGTCACAGAACAGCTCACACATATTGAACATTTACATGTGCCAGACCACATGCTGAGTACTTGACATGCTTGGTCACATTTCAGTCTCACTAATCCTATCAAGATGGTGTTTACGGGCGTGGTGGCTCACGTCTGTGATCCCAACACTTTGGGAAACAGAGGCGGGAGGTTTGCTTGAGGCCAGGAGTTGGAGACCAGCCTGGGCAACATAGTGAGACCCCATCTCTACAAAAAAATTTTAAAATTAGCTGGGTGTGCTGGTGCACGCCTGTAGTCCCAGCTTCTCGAGCAGGCTGACAGGTGAGAGGATCACTTGAACCCAGGAGGTTGAGGCTGCAGTGAGCTATGATCGCACTGCACTGCAGTCTGGGTGACAAGAGCGAGACTCTGTCCCTAGGGAAAAAAAACAAAAGATTTTTGAGTTGGAGTCTTGTTCTGTCGCCCGGGCTGGAGTGCAGTGGTGCGATCTCGGCTCACTGCAACCTCCGCCTCCCAGGTTCAAGCAACTCTCCCAACCTCAGCCTCTCAAGTAGCTGGGATTACAGGCGCGCACCACCACGCCTGGCTAATTTTTGTATTTTTTTTTAGTAGAGACAGGGTTTCGCCATGTTGACCAGGCTGGTATCGAACTCCTGACCTTGTGATCCACCCACATTGGCCTCCCAAAGTGCTGGGGTTACAGCGTGAGCCACTGCACCTGGCTGGATTTTGTTTTTAGCCTCGTTTTATAAATAAGGAAACTGAGGCTCAGGGAGGTGGATTGTTCTGCTCAAGAGGGAGTGGCCCTAATATTTGGGTCCAAGCCTCCTTGACTCCAGGCTCTACCTTCTAACCACTCGCTGGTGAACTGTAAAGTGGGGATGATGTTCTTTGTCACATAGTTGTATTAAATAGAAGAAATGTCTAGCTTTGGCTAAAGGCTTAAGATTAACATTGATTTCCATTTCCTCTGAAGCTGTTTTCTTCTCCAGTTAGTTCATTCATTTAAGCAGTATGTTTGTGGTTTTTTTGTTGTTGTTTTTTTTAGACGGAGTCTAGCTCTGTTGCCCAGGCTGGAGTACAGTGGCTCGGTCTCAGTTCACTGCAACCTCCGCCTCCCAGGTTCAAGCGATTCTTCTGCCTTAGTGTCCCGAGTAGCTGGGACTACAGGAGCCTGCCACCTCGCCCAGCTAATTTTTGTATTTTTAGTAGAGACGGGGTTTCACTGTGTTTGCCAGGCTGGTCTCAAACTCCTGACATCGTGATTTGCCCGCCTTGGCCTCCCAAAGTGTTGGGATTACAAGTGTGAGCCACTGTGCTTGGCCCATTTAAGCAGCATATTTTACATCCCTGCTATGTACTAGGCCTTGCGCTGATTGCTGTGGAGACATTGGGAACAAGAAGGTCCCTGCCTTCCAGTCAAAGCTGGAACTTCAGGTCTTGGCAGGCAGAGCAGGCCAGTAATCCCCCAAATAAAATAGTGCATGTCACAGTAAGCCTTGTGCAGGAATCTGAGGTGCTGTCAAAGAAAAATAGGGGAGCCTTTTAGGAGGTGACACTTGAGCTGAGGCCCAGGGGAGCTGCATGTGTGGTGGGGAAGTTGAGGGGAGCAGAGAGGAGAGCCTTGTGAAAGCTCAAAAACCAGACAGCAGGCCAGGCGTGGTGGCTCACGACTGTAATCCCAGCACTTTGGGAGGCCGAGGCGGGCAGATCATGAGGTCAGGAGATCTAGACCATCCTGGCTAACACGGTGAAACCCCATCTCTACTAAAAATACAAAAAATTAGCTGGGTGTGGTGGTGGGCGCCTATAGTCCCAGCTACTCGGGAGGCTGAGGCAGGAGAATGGTGTGAACCCAGGAGTCGGAGGTTGCAGTGAGCTGAGATCGTGTCACTGGACTCCAGCGTGGGGGACAGAGTAAGACTCCGTCTCAAAAAAACAAAAAACAAAGAAACCCCAAAAAACAGCATCACACGGGAGGAACTGGAGAGGGAGAACAGGAGGGGAGGGCTTAGGGCTCAGGAGGCAGGAGCAGCTCCAGGGCAGGTGTCACTGGGGCCCTGGACAGAAGCATTGGTGGGCCGTGACTCCACATGCCTGAGTCACCAGGCTCAGACCAGTGCCTCCTTCCTGTTCCACCCTACTCAGGCTGTAGAAGCCGCCCAGCTGGCCGAGGACCTGAAGGTGCAGCTGGAGCACGTGCAGACTCGGCTGCGGGAGATCCAGCCCTGCCTGGCAGAGAGCCGGGCTGCTCGTGAGAAAGAGAGCTTCAACCTCAAGAGGGCTCAGGTGTGTGCAGGGGTGAGGGGCCAGGCCAGGGTGGTCCACGGTCACGGACCTATCCTGGGGGCAAGCGGCTCAAGGTTGAGGACCCTTGCCCTTAGCCAGGCCTCTCCTGCCCCAGGAGGACATCTCACGGCTGCGGCGCAAGCTGGAAAAGCAGAGGAAGGTGGAGGTCTACGCAGATGCCGACGAAATCCTCCAGGAGGAGATCAAGGAGTACAAGGTGGGGCTGTGGGCCAAGTTGTGCCCTATCCACCTGAGAATTGTAGATGCAGGATTGCTGAGACTAGTGGAGAGTCTGGGGACCCTGGAAGTAATGTAGGGCAGCAGAAAGTGGGCAGCACAGTGGTCACAGAGTCAAATGCTGTTTGCTGTACATGTACTGTGAGCCAGGCACAGTGCTTGGCTGGGTGTGGGTTGGGAGGCTAGGAACTGGCCCTGGTCTCTGACTTCTTGAAACTGACAGTCAGGGGAGGAGGCAGCCAAGTAATTCTCTCATCCCAGATGTGTAATATGATGGCAGAGGCCAGAGGGGCTGAGGGGACTCAGGGGAGGCCCTTCCCCTGGCCCTGGGGTCAGCAGGCTTCCTGGAGTGAATGTCACCACAGCAGACCTGAAGAATAGGCCAGACGTGGCTGTGAGGAACGGGAGTGAGTAGCTTTAGGCAAAGGGAACAGCAGATGTGGACGCTTGAGCGGAGGGGTTGCTGGGACAGCACCGGAGGTTGTAATCAGAGGAGCCAATGTGGAGAGGTTGGGCCGTGTCACCTCCTGAAGAGTGCGGTACGCCAGGTTGAGACCTCAAAGGGTTTTAAACAGGAGAGTGATGTGGTTAGATTTGTTGTTGGTTTTGGGCTGGAAGAGGTAGACTGGAGGCAGGGAAATTGTTAAGGTATTGCAGTCACTGAGGCAGAAACCAGAGTAGATGGGTTCAGGAGACATTTCAGAGGCAGAATTGCTTGGACTCGGGGGTGGATCGAATGCATGGAGTGAGGGAAAGGGAACACTTGGAGGACTCCTGGTTTCCTGGTTTGAGAAACTAGGTGGATAGTTAGTACCATTTAGGGGGTTAGGAGGCCTGCGGGGGAGCAGGTTCTATGGGATGGTGTCAAAGGATGCTGAGAAGGTGCCTGTGGGACCCCTTTGGGAGGCTGGGAAGGTGCTCAAGGCAAAAGGGCCGGGCTGGAGAACAGGCTTGGGGAATGTCAGTAGAGGCAGAGGTGGAAGCCACATATGACTTGGTCATCCCTTGGAAGCAGTTGAGCCTTGAAGGGCAGAGGCAGCTGGAGGCAGCCATGGGGTAGAGGCAGGCTTGGGAGCCTGTTCAGTGCTGGTGTGTAGGGTCCTGGGAGACAGGAGTGATGGCAGGGAGGCTGCTGAGGCGGCAGGCTGGGCTGGGATTTTAGCAGGCTGGAGGAGCACTGTTGGGGGATGCTGAGTTGAGTCAATCCATGTCTGGAGTTGGAGGTGAGACCCTCCTGGTGGCGGAAGAGAGGTCTCAGGCTAAGAAGGGACCCACGGCAGGGTCTCTGGCCAGTGTCGAGGCTGGGCCCAGTTGAGGGTAGAGAGAACAGATTTCTAGTTGCATTGCCATTCCAGCTGTGACTTAGCAAGTGCAGGTGAAGAGGTAGACAAGATTGGGATTTCACCAGAGGCGGCCAGTGGGGCAGGAGATGAAGCCCCAAGGCAGAGTCCAGGCTGGGCCTGTGGGTCCTTGTCCTTTTGAGGGGACACATGATAGCCATCACTGCCCAGTGATGAATCCGGACTCTGCTGATTTCTAGTGTTGAGACCTTGGCCTCTGCACCTCAGTTTGCTCATTCATAGAGTGCTCGTCCTTACCTCCAGGGTTATGGGAGGATGAGGTGCAGTCTCCAGTGTGGTGGGCTTGGCCTGGACTCCTCCTGCTGTCAGCTTGGGGTCTGGGCACTGTCAGAGTTGTTCCCAAGCTGATGCCTTTGCCTGGCCCAGGCGCGGTTGACCTGCCCCTGCTGTAACACCCGCAAGAAGGATGCAGTCCTTACCAAGTGCTTCCACGTTTTCTGCTTCGAGTGCGTGCGGGGCCGCTATGAGGCCCGCCAGAGGAAGTGCCCCAAGTGCAACGCGGCCTTTGGTGCCCACGACTTCCATCGTATCTACATCAGCTGAACCTGAAACTCAGGGGACTCTGGAACACCATGGACCCTGGGGGCTGTGCCCCCATCTCCTCCCCACCCCAGGTCTAGTGGCCCCACCCTCCATTCCGGACCCCATGGGCCCAGCCCCTGCCCATCTAGTTGGTTTGGGGACCCTGGTGCATGCTAGTGGGCATGGGATCAGCCAAGCTTCGTTCCATCTTTTCCTAAAGGTCAGAGCTGCAGCCTAGGGGGCACTGCCCTACAGAAAAGGTCTGCCTGAGAGGCCTGAGGAGCCCAGAGCACTTGACTGAGCTTCCCGGAAACTGGCCCTAACCTGTCTGTCTCCGTGGATGCATCCTAACCCTAAGGAAAATTCCCCAGGCTGTGATCTACCCTAGAGAAGGCTCGCTCCCTGCCTACTGGCTCACAAATGAGGACCAGTGAGCCATGTCCTTGTTCCTTGTTTGAGACTGGGCTGCAGGCCCCAGGAAGACTTTCCTTCACCCACCATCCCCCTAACCTCGGCAGGGCTTCTGTCCTGTGGAGTTCCCTGGACACCTTGGTCTGGCTCTTGTGCCAAGGGCTGAAGGAGGTACCCTCTTGGCAGATGGGGGCATCACTTGCTTCCTTTGGGAAGCTCTAAGGTTGCTGCAGTCACCTTCCTCATCTTGCAGGTGCTGAACCAACATCATCAGTTTCTATTCTAATCAGGCCCCTTCCCAATCTCCATTTCTCTGCCAAGCCCATTTACCCCCACCTCATGCATCCCAAGGCTCTACTGGGTCCCTGGACCTAACCCTGCTTTCATCCTGGTGGCCTTAACTACAGTGGAGGTGGAACTTCCCAGGAGGGGAAGGGACAGACCAGCCCCAGCCGCTGGGCCAACTTCCAATCATTCCAGCTAGAAGAGCTTCCCCCTGACACCCTGTGACTGAGCCTGTGTCCTGTCTGCCTGCCCAGCCATGCTCCATCGGCTGTGAGGGCAGTGCCCGGAGAGGCCAGAGGGTTGGAGCTGCAGGGACCCGTTTGGACCCACAGCCTCTGTTCTAGAGATGCTTGTATAGGCTGTTAATTGTGATGAATAAACGTTCAACCCTCGGCCTGCAGCCAGAGTAGCCAGGCCGCGCACCCCAAATGTAGTCCCCCGATTTTAGCTGCAGCAGCTGAGCAGCACTTTGCTGGCTTGGTGTGAGCCTGGGAGGGCTCAGACTTAACGGCCGGCAGGGATCCCGGACTGGGCCTGAAGGGGAGAGCGTGGTGGTCGTCGCGGAGCCGCCTGTCCTGCTCCCACCGACCCCGGTCTGACCACGTCCTTGGCTGTCATGGCCGGGGGATGCCGGGACTCCTCGGGCTGCATCCTGGGAAGTGTAGTTCCTGGTCCGCACATGGTTAGGAGGTTCTCGGAGAGAGAGCTAGTTTCCCGGTTGCGCTGGCCAAAGGCCGGCCTGAACTGGATCCTGCGGACCGCTTCTCAGCGGCTTCACCCCCACACCACTCGAATGCACAGATCGGGACACCTCAGCTGGGTGACTTCCCTCGTTGCAATCGGCCTCGGGAGCGGTGCGGCGTGTACCGAGCGGCGCCCCTGGGCTCAGCGCGCTGCAGGCGCCCCGGGCGGATCCTTCACCGAGGCAGGACTGGGGCTGGCGCCAGAGCCGGTGCGGAGCGGTGTTGGTTCAGGCGCTGGCGACAGTGCTATGGCCACGGCAGGGGCCGCGTGCGTCTCAGCGGTGGCGCCTTCGGACCCTATTGGCGCCCGGGACTTAAGCGGGGCCGCCGCTGCTGGACCAGGACGAACTGGAGAAGGAGACGCGGGCCGCCACGGTGACCTCGGGCGTAGGGCCGGCGGCGGCGGGCACGCTGGTGGAAGCGCGGGCCGCGGCAGGGGAGGACATCGGGCCGCAGAGAAAGTGCCGATGGCCTGGGGCAGCGGTGCGAGGGTGGGAAAAACGCAGGATATTGCATCATAGAGACGCGGCCACCTTCGCCCCTGGAGAGCGCCAGTCTCAGGAGCGCCGCACCGGTCACGGGTGGAGGTCAGCCAGGCCTCCGTAAGCGCGGTCCCCTTCCAGGAGTAGCCTTCGCCTGGGCTCTTGAGTAGATGCCAAGTAATTCCGCATCGTCTCTCTAGATATCTGCGCTAAAGGCCACCCGGTCTCCTTATCAGAGGGGCAAAACTCTCCTCGTGGGTCTTCATACCTAATAAAAGTCGGCATCAAACCACTTTTTCAAGGTCAAGTCCAAGGGAACGGGGTGAAGATCCCACAATGTCAGTGAGGCAGCAACCACTGATGTGGTGGCAGGAACCAAACCTTTTTTTTTTTTTTTTTTTTTTGAGACGGAGTCTCACTCTGTCTCCCAGGCTGGAGTGCAGTGGCACGATCTCGGCTCACTGCAACCTCTACTTCCCGGGTTCAAGCGATTCTCCTGCCTCAGTCTCCCGAGTAGCTGGGACTGCAGGCGTGCACCACTGCGCCCAGCTAATTTTTGTATTTTTAGAGACAGGGTTTCACCATGTTGGTCAGGCTGGTCTCAAACTCCTGACATCATGATCTGCCTGCCTCGGCCTCCCAAAGTGCTGGGATTACAGGCGTGAGCCACTGTGTCCGGCCAGGAACCAAACTCTTAATAAACATTTCCCATGAGGCTCCGGTGCCGGGAGGATTTGCCTTAATTTTTTGACTGCTTACCACCCCTAGTGGTCCCAGTGGCAGCGGTACCCTGGGCTGCTGCCCAGGGACTGGCAGACCAAAACTACTCCTGGGCCCACCCCGACCTTGGCTGTCTTCTTGGGAGTGAACAGATGTTGGCATCAGTGGTGGACATGCCCGTTTCAGCCAGACCTTGGGCACTGCCTGTGATTGGCCAGTGGGTTGCCTGATGTAGACCGCTGTCTTCTCAAAACTTCCCTTGCATCCGACGGTGCTACGCTGTCCTGTCCTGGTTTTTCTCATACTGTCTTCTGCTGGTCCTCTTCCTCCACCCCTAAACTAGACCTTCTACTTTGCCACTTTGTGTGTGTTTATTCATGGTTATGGCTATAGCTAAGCTGATAAGGACCTAACTGCTCCAGCCACTCCTCTTTCCTGAGCTCCAGACCTGGAGAATCACCACTGTTCTTGTGGAGAGAAGAGAGATCATGTCACTCTCAAATATCCCCAAGTGGTACCTTCCCCGAGCTCCTCCAGGGGCTCCACACTGTGGGCTCTGCTCTCTGCCTCTGTCTTCCCATAGTCCCCTCTCTGCTCTAAGCCCATACCCAACTGTTATGCACCCCTGTCCTCCATCCCACCCCCAGCCGATACACCTACTCTTGGGTCTTCTTGCAGCCCTCATCCTTCAGGTCACTTTCCCCGGAAAGCTTCCTGACCCTCCACTGTGGCAGGCACCATCTCTGGGTCCACAGCCCTTCTGCGAAATCTCTGAGGCAGTCACTGCCCTGTGTCTGCTCTTCTGCTGTAGTCACTTTCCTGCAGATTTCTCCAGCACTGGGACTCCTGATAGACCTCAGTGTCCCCAGGGCTTGGCACACAGAGAATGTAGAGTAGCCTTCATTACTTGCTTCTCCTCTCCTCCCACCCCCCTTTCCAGGTGGGGAAGGGAAGGAGACACTGAACCTGCCCTGGGTTGTGGTCAGAGGGGTACAGGAAAGGTGGGGAGACACTTTCTGGCTGGGGCAGGATTCCCCCAATCCCCCATGGCCAGGCCCAGGGCCCAGGAGACTGAGCACTGAGGCAGGCCTGAGATTGGGATGGAGTGGGCACAAAACATGCTTGAGTTCCTGGCCATTCTGGTTTCCTTCACGGACTTGCTGTGGATCTTGGGCAATTGGCTGCCCTTCTCTGAGCCTCGCCTCTCCACACAGTGAGGGCACAAGGGCTGACATCCTGGCAGTGATGACAAGCCAGGTCTCCACCCACCTCTCCCAGGGTCCCCAAGTGAACCAGGAGTGGTGGATGCCAGCTTCTGAAACTAGATCCTCAGAACTTCCCTGTGGCAGGTTGCGGGTATGGTGGTCAGAGAGGCCTCCCTGGGGCTGCACAGCTGGGCCTGAGCTGGCCAGCGCCAGAGCCACCAGGCGGCCACTCTGCAGTCCTGCTGGTGGGAAGGCCAGGCACCGATGAGAACAGCTTAGCTTGGCTGCCATCTCATCAGATTTATCCCTTTCCGCACCAAGGGACTGCAGCTTAAAACTTCATAAACTCTTCAGCTTCCCACAAGCCAGCAATGGATGGGGATTTTAGGGCCCCTGGGTGAAGGGTGGGCCTGGGGCTGGGCTGAGCTTTTGCAGTCACTCCTGGGCTCCGGCTTAAGGTGAGGCCACACTCTTTCAGCTCACTTTAGGCTGAAAGAAAAAACAAGAAACACCCAGGAAATCTTATTCCCTTTATTCTCTTCAACTAAGCAACATGACCACCAGTGACACAACACTGTTTTGGACACACAACACTCAAAAATGGGGCCTCTCTTCACTCCATGGGGACAAGTCCGGTGACTGGGGCTTCCCTAGTGAGGGCAAAGGAGTCTGGGAGCTGCTGACCTCAGGGCAGGTCATGGAACCCCACCTCTTGGCTGTGATGGCTTCAAGTTTCCCCACCATTCAGGATTCATGCCCAGTTCCAAGTTCCCATCTGACCTCCATGTCCATAGCAGTTTCAAGTTTCACTCTAAGCTCTCCCCTCTGCTTTCCCCACTGACTCCCTGACCCTATCTGTTGGGCTCCTCCCTCCACCAGGGCGTTTCTGAGGGGCCTGGGGCCTGCATGTGATTGGACAAGAGGGTTTGGCTGCACAGTGCCTTCCAGACTCAGTTGTGGTGAGCAAATGCTTTGACCCCTGGGCCTTCATCTGAGCCGATCTGAGCAACTCTAGCCACTGCCACCTCCCTGCTTCAATCCTCCCAAGACGTAGCTCACTCTGGGAGGGAAGCTCCTGGTTAAAGGAGCTTGGGGAGGTGGGCAAGAGAGAACACGCCACACCCCAGAGGTATCGAACCCTGCCCCTTTCCTACCGCAAGACGCCTGACCCTACGAACTGTGCGCTCACATCATCCATCCCGTACAAGAGCCAAGCCCCTTAGCCCTCACCCATCCCTACAACATGTGAGCATCCTACTAAATATGCTACACCCTAGTCCGAAACAGGCCTGCGCCGGCCTTCAGTCACACTGCCTGCCTCCCCCCAGACTGGCCTCTGAGCCCCAAAAGCTGCTCCCCAGGCCTCTTCTGGGAACAGATTCCTTAGGCCTGTTTTTGAGAGCATCTGCTTCTGGCTTTGCGAGAGGTTTGTCTTTACAACTTCAGTTTCTGCTACCATCTTGGGGAGGGGGACATCTCCTTAGACTTGGCAGACTTCTCATTCTTACAGGGCACCCCCTTCGTTGGCGTTCTGTTAGGAAGAGACCCACAGGCAGCACCCCCCTCAGTAGTGCTTCCCTTCCTGGCACTTGGATAGGCTGGGGCGTTATGCAGATGGCAACATGGTTCTCCGCACAATCCTGAGGCCTGCCTTCTCCCTCTCCCCAGCAGGCCTGGCGTTTTCCTCCCACAATGTTTGAGATTTTGATCCTTTTAAATGTGAGGGTCATCCTGCTGGGGCCAGGATAGACAAATGGCGAAGGATTTGCATAAAGGTTGTGTGAAACTTTAGGTCATGGAATTAGAGGTCTCTTCCACAGCTTTGCAAAAATCTGGGTCACCCCTCTCTTGAGACGTGACTCCTGACGGGCCCCACAGCTGGCATCTCAGTCCTCTTACTCCAGGACAGCGCATTACTGGGGTTGGCAAGCACTTCCTTTCTGACCCAGCGCTGAGCAGAGTCCTCTCCTTTTGAAGGGGTCTCCAGGATTAGGGAGTGGGAGTCTTGTTACAGATGTTTCATTCAAGAGTTTTCTGTCTTCCACCATCTCATAGGGCAACAGTCTCTCCCCAGCCACATATGCCCAGGCCTGTGAGCAGGCTTGGCTGTTTATGAATGTGTAACTGTGTGGTGTGGGAGGTGAGATGGGCCTGGCAAGGGAGGCTTTCTCATCCTTCTGTTTCCTTCTGAAGGTTTCTGGCTAAGGAGGAGAGGGGAGCCAAGTGAGTGGAATCCATCCCATCCATCTCAAGGCTGAGATTGGGCTGGATCTCACAACCCTGGAGGGCTCCAGGTACCAGGGTGAAGAGGGTGATACGGCCTCTGCGGACTCTTCAGGGACCTGTGGCTCAGTCTGTGGGGTGTCTGGATCCCCACCAGGGAGGAGGGCTGCCTTATCCTGCGGGGCAGCCTTGCTACCAACAAAGATGAATAGCTGAAGTTTAAAATCAAGTTGCTGGCTAATCAAAGCTTTCTAAGAAATTCTGTGGCCCTGATGACTTGGAGAAGGCTGGGGAGGCCCACACGCAGGCCCTAAGTCTCTGAAGGGCTTTATTCTTTGGAGGTCGACTAGCAGCGGTTCTCCCTCTCCACTGAGGACAGAATTTGAGGAAATGAGCTGCCACTGGCGGCAGTTAGATTTCAGGAAAAACCTCCTGAAGGTGAGACCTGAGAATGTGGTGGGAGGCAACCGCCATCCCTGGAGGCCTTGCAGAGTAGAAGTCCCTGGCTGGGCAGGGAGAAAGGGTGGTCCTGCCTGGTGTGGGGAGAACCCTTGCACTCTGAGAGCTGGGACCTGCCTGCTACTTGCAGTTTCGCAAGCTTCCGGAAGCAAGAAGGGGCCTGGAGTTAGCTGGGTTCCATGTGAGCAGTTTCCCCACCTTGGTTTGCTCCCCTCAAAGCAATCTAACAGAAACTGCCCCCTGCTTCCCCCTAATTTTTGTGGTGGTTTCTCAGTATTCTTATACTGACCATGTTTCTGCACCCCAAACTTCAGCCTTTAAAAAGGCTTGCCAATTTGTTTTTTCTTCCCCATTTTGGGGTTTTGATAAGGGATTCCATAGGCCTCTTTCCCTAAAACACACAATGCATCTAACATTGTCCTCAAACCCCAAGGACCCCAGTGCAGTGAGTGGGACCTTTTCTTCCTAGTCTCTGTCTTATCTCCTCTGGGGGCTCCAGAGCTCCTGGTCACTTATTTTTCTCCTATTTTCTTCCTTTTCAGTTCCACCCAGTTCCCACACCACTCCCCCAGCTGAGCATCTTCCTCCATGAGAACTGTCCAGGGCTGCTGGGAGAGAACATTGTGGAACAGTGAGGGAGAGGTGTTTTCTGCATCATCTGAGGGTCGTTACTCCCGGGTCAGTGCCATTGCGGTACTTCCCCGACCCTATAGGATTTTCCTAAGGATTTTGATACAATTTTATAGGGTTGTTCAGAGACATATTGGGACCTCTTCCTACAATTAATAGGGCTTTTATCCACTATGGTTTATAGGGTTTTTCTGCTACAGACTTAAAGGGCTTTTTTTTTTCCTACATATTTATAGGGTTTCTAACCCAACAGTTTTTCTCTACTGCCTTATAAGTGCTTCCCACCAACAATTTTATAGGGTTTCTCATCACTGATGTAAAAGCACTATTTTTTCCCAGGGTTCTTTCTCCTCCACTCCACTACCATCTGATAGGGTTATCCTCCCTTCCCCATGTAATTTTTTTGGGGGAAAAAATCCAGTGTTCCTCTCTGGAGAGAGCGAGGCCCCTGGTCTCCAGACCCATTTCACAGGGAGACACCTGGGTGGCAGCTCCTATGGAGCAGGAGGGCTGCGACTTCTGTGAAGCCGGCTCCACACTCGGGGCACAGATAGGGCTTTTCTTCCACTAGGGTTTTGGGGTTTTGCCCTTCCCCATGGCTGCTGCTCTCTGTGGGGGTAGGGGTCTCGCCCTCACCTTCCTGATCTGTGGACAGGGTGACTGCCTCTGGAGGGGGGTCCTCGGGATTGGGGGGTTTTTCCTGGGTGTGGGTTTCTTGGTGCCGGGTGAGGGCCACGCGGTCGAGGAAGGAGGCCCTGCAATCTGAGCAGCGGTAGGGTCTGGCCCCCAGGGGGCTCCTGAGATGCTCCAGGAGGACGGAAGAGCTCTTCCCCAGCTCTGGACTCTTCTGGGAGCTCTTCCCGCCTGCATGGACTTTCTGGTGCAGCAGCAGCTCAGAGCTGAGGCCAAAGCTTTGTTTGCATTCAGGGCATTTAAAGGGCTTCCCACTTAAGAAGGGGCTGGGCCCTGCGCCTTCCCCTAGGCCAATTCTATAATCAGGAAAGAGAAAGGGCTTTTCGTTGCCGTGGGTGAGCTGATGCTGGAGGAGCACAGAGCGATCCAGGAAGCTCTCTCCGCAGTGGGAGCAGATGTAGGTCTTGGAGGACAGCAGCCCCCGCCTCTGGCTGAAGCCCTCCTGACCCTCCGGCGGCTTAAGGGGCTGTCCGGGGGCCTCCGCTCTGCCCTCCGCAGCCCCGGGGTAGGAATTCCCTCTGAAAGGGAGCCTTGGGGATCGTAACTGAGGAGGTTTGGGGGCTGCGTGTGCGATGAGGCCGTCTGCATTTTTGTAGGGGTTTTCTCCGATGTGGATCCTCTGATGTTGCATGAAGATGCCCTCGTCGTTGAAGCCCTTTCCGCACACGAGACACTTGTGCGGCTTGGCTCCCGGCGGCGGGGTCAGCAGGGAGGGGTCCCCGAGCCCCAGCAGGCTGTCGCCCTGGGCCCTACGCGCTGGGGTCTTCCCCCTCTCATGGATCACCCGGTGCTGCTCCAGCTCGTGGGCTTCCAGGAAGGCCTTCCCGCAGTCGGAGCACACGAACAGGTTCTCGTCCATGTGCGTGCGGACGTGGGTAATAAGGTTGGAGCTCTGGCTGAAGCTCTTGCCGCACTCGGGGCACTTGTAGGGCTTCTCGCCGGTGTGCGTGCGGCGGTGCTGGATAAGGTGGGAGCTGCGGATGAAGCTCTTGCCGCAGTCGGAACACTTGTAGGGCTTCTCACCGGTGTGGATGCGCTGGTGGCGGATAAGGGTGGAGCTCATGATGAAGCTCTTGCCGCAGTCGGCGCAGATGTAGGGCCGCTCGCCGCGGTGGATGCGCTGGTGGTTGATGAGGTTGGAGCTGACGCTGAAGCTCTTGCCGCACTCTGGGCACTTGTAGGGCCGCTCGCCCGTGTGCGTGCGCTGGTGCCGCAGCAACGTGGCGCTCAGGGTGAAGGTCTTGCCGCACACTGGGCACTTGAACGGGTCCTCGCGCAGGTGAGTCCGCTGGTGCTTGATGAGGGTGGAGCTGTGGCCGAAGCTCTTGCCGCACTCTAGGCACTCGTAGGGCTTCTCGCCTGTGTGCGTGCGCTGGTGCTGGGTCAGCTCCGAGCTCTGGATGAAGCTCTTCCCGCACTCGGTGCAGCGGTATGGCTTCTCGCCCGCGTGGATCTTCTGGTGCTTGAGGAGGTTGTGGTTCTGGCCGAAGCGCTTCCCGCACTCGGGGCACTTGTAGGGTTTCTCGCCTGTGTGGGTGGCCTGGTGCTGGATGAGGTCCGAGCTGCGGTAGAAAGCCCGGCGGCACTCGCCGCACTTGTAGGGCTTCTCGCCGGTGTGGGATCGCTGGTGCTTGATGAGGTTGGTGCTCTGGGTGAAGGCTTTCTCGCACTCCGTGCACTTGTAGGGCTTCTCTCCCGTGTGCGTGCGCTGGTGCTGCACCAGGTTGGAGCTCCAGCTGAAGCACTTGCCGCAGTCGGGGCACTTGTAGGGCTTCTCGCCGGTGTGCGTGCGCTGGTGCTGCACCAGGTGCGAGCTCTGCGTGAAGCTCTTGCCGCACTCGGAGCAGGTGTTGGGCCGCTCTCCCGTGTGGATGCGCTGGTGCCGCAGCAGCTTGGACCACTGGCTGAAGCTCTTGCCGCACTCGTTGCAGATGTAGGGCTTCTCCGCCCCCGCCGGGCGGCCCTGCACCAGCTCCCGCAGGCTGGGCTCGTTGGCGGGGACGACTGGGGGGCTGTTCCATGTGGTGAGAGCGCCCCACTGCCAGCTGGCCTCGCAGGCCTTGGTCCAGTCAGATGGGGTAGGGACTACCTCCGGGGCTGGGGGGTCCAGGGGGATCTGGTGGTCCAAGGGATTGGAGTGACCCAGTGGGGTTGGGGGGTTCTGGGGGACAGAGGGGTCCTGGGAGGATCTCTCCAGGGACATCTCTGTTGAGTCCTTGGATTCTGGACTCTGAGCCGGGTCTCCCATGATGATCTCCTCCCCAGAACTTTCCTGCCGAGGGCTCTCCTCTTCGTTTTCACTCTCGGCACCTACAGAAAGAAAGGGAGTCTACAGCCCCCAGCCCCTTTCAGAACACGGGGTTTGGTCTCTCTTCCCTCCCCCGGGTGTCCCCCAGAGTCCAGGCCCCTCCCTGAGCCGGGACCACCGTCTTGCCGGGACCGCAGCCCCTTCTTGTGCCCCTCACCTCTGTGAGCATCGTTGGGGCTCTGTTCCGGACCCTGCAGATCCGGGCCCCACAGCGCAGTCTCGGGCTCCATCCCAGAGCTCAGGACTGCAGTGTTCCAGGGACCCTGCGGGGGAAGACAGCGATGAGCGCACACTGGGAGCTGATTTTGCACTTTGCTTTATTCCCCCTGAACCTCACTCCCACCCTGCCCCGCCCCATTCCTCCTTGTGTGAACTTCAGTGTCCTCCCACCCCATTTTTCTGGGCACGGGTTCTTGCTGTGGCCCCCTTCCCCTGCAGGCCTGATTCTCACTCCAGATCTTAAGCGCACAGCTAAGCAAGCAGGTGAATTTAAGAGCGTAATTAAAAACTCATCACTCATAAGCCTTTGAACCCAGGATGGGGGCTGGAGCGGTCTCTGACATCCACAGGGGAAGGAGTTTTTCACCCCATACCTCTGATGCCCAGAGGCTGGGAAACCTGTTATTTGCTAATCAGAGGAAGCTCATTAAGACTCTAATTTTCCTCTTAATGGGGCTGCTAATTGAGACCAATAAACTTTTCTGTGCCCCAGAGTGAACCGAGGCTGCCTGAGACACTTAAAGGGTTAAGAAAAAAAAACACCCCAGTTTCCCAGAGGAGACAGAGGCCCTCTAAAAGGACTGGGGCACTTCCCTGTTATCCAAGCACAGAAAGAGGGTCAGGCTGGAGGTGGGGAGAGGGGCAGTTTAAAGCTGCATCTGCAGGAACCGCCCAGAGGAAGAGAAAAAGTAAGGAGAAGGGGAGGATGGATGCTTGTGTGAACACCTGCGGCAGACCCAGTGCCTGCCATGGTGTCATTTCTCTCACCCAGTCCTCCCACAGCCTGGTGAGGAGACCCAGGAATCAGGCTGTCCATTTTACAGATTAGTACATCAATGCCTGGGGAAACCTCTCCAAGGTCAAGGCTGGGAAGTGGCAGAGCTAAGATGATAAAAGCAGGGCTCCATATCTGGCTCACCCCTGTCTCTGAGAGCACGAGGTGACCTTGGGAGTCATGTGAGACTCATGCTCATGGGAGGCTGGCAGGAGACAGGTGATGAGGACAGCTCATGGGGAGCCTGCTGGCAGTGAGAATAGGCTGGAGAAATTCCTGGGACCCAGAGGTTTCCCAGGCTAGAAAAGGAGGAGTTGGACCCAGGGACTAGGCCTGCTGGTCTGCACCCATGAGCTGGAACCATACTCCCCACCAAAGCCCTCCTATCCCCACTCCTGCCCGGACCCTCCTTCTACTCCTTTTGTCCTGCTTTCTTGAGGCTGTTTCCCAAGCCTAGCCTGGCACTGAATAGGTGCTCCAGAAACTTTGTTGAATGAATGAATGAGTGAGATGTCCCTAGCCCCTGGAACACCTGTTTGGTCTAATGCCTTTAAAGATCAGTTTGCAAGGGGATGGCAGCAAAGGAGCAGGAGTTCCAAGTGGCCCCCTGGTAAAATAAATAAATAAATAAATAAATAAATAAATAAAAACAGCCAGCTGTCACTCCAAAAATGGTGAGATGAGTTCAGGATGAGGGAATGGGGCCACAGGAACAAAGCGCTTGAAGGAGGTCCCACACCATTTACACCCTGCAGAGAATCCCTGGGTGGGGCCTGGAAACTTTGGATGGCTGTGTGAGGTGGGCGCTGTGTGCACAGGGGCAGTGGGGCAAGGGAGACATGGCAGGAGGCGCTGAGAGGTGACCAAGGTGAAGCAAGACTGGCTGCACCCTGCCAAAGAGCGGTAGGAGAGACAGAAGTTAGCGTTTAGGAAGTAAATTAATTTCTTCATCTCTGCAGCTACTTAAGCTCCGAGAATCCCCCCTCCCCGCCTGTAAGTGTCTTTGGGGTGGTGGAAGCGGAGACCTCTGCCACACTGGGGGCTGCCTGATGTCCGGTCCGGGAAGGATGCCCTGCTGTGTTTGCTCGGGACAGGTAAGAGTTTGTGGACCTCGATGGTCTCCAAAAAATTCTCCCCTAGTGGTCCAGAGTAGGAGGGAAAGGGTTAATGACAGGGCCGACACAGAGCATGGACGTGGGAAGACCGAGGGAGGCCGAGGCGCTGGGAGCCCAGGCGCCAGGCACGCCAGCCTGAGACCTCGCGATGGCCCCACTGCAGAGGGAGGGAATGAGGAGCCGCCTCCCGAGAGATGTGGGGAACGGCCCAGGGTGACCCTGACATGGAGGCGGCGGGAATGCGGCCGCCCGGCCCGGCCCCCCCACCGCTTGGCTCCGGACTTCTGCTCCCCCGGAGCCGCGACCCCCGTCCCGCTGCTGATACAGAGCCTGGGCATCCGCCCCTGCCCCGGCCCCCGGGGTCCCGGCTCCTTCCAGCACTGCCAGGCTCCTCCAGGGCTGCGCTGGCAGCGCTGGTCCCCGGCCCCGGCCGATCCCTCTTCCCAGAATCCCCAGGCTCCCCTCCCCCGCCACCGACCCCCGCGCTTCCCAGAATCCTCGGCCCTCCGCGCCCCCCGCCCGCCCCCACCCCGGCCACAGCCCCGGGCGCGGGTGGGGGGCTCAGGCCCGGGCTCCCGGCCCCCGCCTCCCGGGCCCCATTGTTCCCCGGCGGCCGTCCCGGGCACTCCAGGCCACCCCCCGGGAACCCAGGCGTCCCCAACTCACGGCTCTGGGGTCTGGGAAAAGCCGGAAGGCGGAATCCAGCCCCAGGGGACTTAACCCCTTCAGTGCCCTGCCTCGGGGGACGGACTGGGCGCCGAGGACTCTGGGGTCCTTCTCAAGGGGTGATTCCAGGCTGAGGACCCGGGGACCAGTTCAGGGTGACTGGGACGGAGCAGGAAGTGACCCCAGCTTCCCGGGCCCCTCTAGCCTGGAGTCAGAGCATCAGCTCTATGGGATTTAACCCTTTGCCTCCCGCAGCCTGGGGAAAAAAGGGGACAGCGGTGGGAGCAGGGAGGAGGCTGGGACGACGCCCCTGTCCCCGTCTCCAGTGGGAGCAGGCAGCGTGGGCATCTGGGAGAGCCCCGATGCCCGCGAGGGTCCCTGGGCTTCTGGCCGCTCTTCATTTCGCAGGGGCTCCGCCGGCCGCGCCCGGAAAGCCCTATCTCAGATTTGGCGGCTGCTGATCCCCTGAGGCCAGTCTTTGTTTGGACTAACCCTGGGATGGGGCTGGGGTGGGAGCAGGGGCTGGCAGAGCAGACCTGAGAGGGAACACCCTACGCACTAAACATGGCCTTAATGCTTGATGGAAGTCATGGCTGCAGGAGTTGGGACTGCAGGAACAAGCACAGCCGGGAAGGATTTGCAATAGCCTGTGTTCCAGCCCCTCTTCTCCAAACACCTCCCCTCAGAGGAGGAAACTGAGGCTCACGGTGGCAGGAAAGAAGCCAGTGGGGGTTCCCTGGCCAAGGAGGGAGAACCTCTTTTCTCATAGCTCAGAGGGCACCCGGCTCACAGCAGAAGAAACCTTTAAAAACCCAGGAACACTGGTGGCCTCTCAACGTCCAAGTTATCTATGCTCGCAATTTTTACAGCCTTTCTTTCTTGTCTTCCTTATCACAGTCCCATGGGATAAGGTTGCCCATCATCCCCATTTCACCGGGGAGGAAACCAAGGTGTGAGAAGCGACTGGTGTACTTAAGGCCACCTGATTCTTTCAGTTCAACACACTGCATTATTATTCCTGGGCACTGTGGTTAACACTGGGGTGGGCATACCTCTGAGATGCATGGAAATTGGGCTTTCTACCCTTGGGAAGTTTGGTATTGTGTATGTGTTACAAACACAGAGGAATCCTGGGAGCGTGCAGAGGGCTCTGTCCAGAGACTGAGAGGCTGGGGGGAAGAATAAACCAAAGGTCAGAAATTACTAAAGGCAGCTGGGTGCGGTGGCTCACGCCTGTAATCCCAACCCTTTGGGAGACCAAGGCAGGCGGATCACTTGAGGTCAGGAGTTTGAGACCAGCCTGGACAACATGGTGAAACCATGTCTCTACTAAAAATACAAAAATTAGCCAGGCGCAGTGGCTCATGCCTATAATCCCAGCACTTTGTGAGGCCGAGGCAGGCAGATCGCTTGAGCCCGGGAGGCAGAGGTTGCAATAAGCCAAGATTGAGCCACTGCACTGCAGCCTGGACGACAGAGTGAGATCCTGTCGCAAAAAAAAAAAAAAAAAGAAGGAGGGAGGGAGGGAGAGAAAGAGAGAAAAGGAAGGAAGGAAGGAAGGAAAAGAGAAAACAGGAAAGAGAAAAAATTGCTAAAGGCCAGGCCTGGTGGCTCATGCCTGTAATCCCAGCACTTTGGGAGGCTGAGGCAGAAGGGTAACTTGAGCCCAGGAGTTTGAAGGCTGGGCAACATAGTGAAACCCTGTCTCTACAAAAAACTTAAAAACAATTAGCTGGGCAGGGCGCGGTGGCTCATGCCTGTAATCCCAGCACTTTGGGAGGCCAAGGTGGGTGGATCACCTGAGGTCAGGAGTTCAAGACCAGCCTGACCAACATGGAGAAGCCCCATCTCTACTAAAATACAAAAATTAGCCCAGCGTGGTGGTGCATACCTGTAATCCCAGCTGCTTGGGACGCTGAGGCAGGAGAAGCGCTTGAACCTAGGAGGCGGAGATTGCAGTGAGCTGAGATCGTGCCATTGCACTCCAGCCTGGGCAACAAGACCAAAACTCGGTCTCAAAAAAAAAGAAAGACAACAACAACAACAAAAACAAACAATTACCCTGGCGTGGTGGTGCATCGCTATGGTCACAGCTACTTGGGCTGAGGCAGGAGAATCACTTAATTCTGGGAGGTGGAGGCTGTAGTGAGCCATGATTGCACCACTGCACTCCAGCCTGGGTGGCAGAGTGAGACCCTGTCTCAAAAAAAAAAAAAAAAGTCCGGGCAGGGCACGGTGGCTTATGCCTGTAATCCCAGCACTTTGGGAGGCCAGGGCGGGCAGATCATGAGGTCAGGAGATTGAGATCATCCTGGCTAACATGGTGAAACCCTGTCTCTACTAAAAATACAAAAAATTAGCCGGGAGTGGTGGCACATACCTGTAGTCCCAGCCACTTGGGAGGCTAAGGCAGGTGAATCTCTTGAACCTGGGAGGTGGAGGTTGCAGTGAGCCGAGATCATGCCACTGCACTCCAGCCTGGGTGACAGAGCGAGACTCTCATCTCAAAAAAAAAAAAAAAAAAGATGGTTTGGCGAGGTGGCTCACACCTGTAATCCCAGCACTTTGGGAGGCTGAGGTGGGCAGATCACTTGTGGGCAGGAGTTCAAGACCAGCCTGGCCAACATGGTGAAACTCTGTCTCTACTAAAAATACAAAAAATTAGCTGGGCATGGTGGCGTGCACCTGTAATCCCTGTTACTCAGGAGGCTGAGGCAGGAGAATCACTTAAAACCCAGGAGGTGGAGGTTGCAGTGAGTCGAGATGGCGCCACTGCACTCCAGCCTGGGCAACAAGAGCAAGACTCAGTCTCAAAATAATAATAATAATAATTTTAAAAAAAATTAGGCCGGGCGCAGTGACTCACGCCTGTAATCCCAGAACTTTGGGAGGCCGAGGCAGGCGGATCATGAGGTCAGGAGATCAAGACCATCCTGGCTAACACGGTGAAATCCAGTCTCTACTAAAAATACAAAAAATTAGCCGGGCATGGTGGCAGGCGCCTGTAGTCCCAGCTACTTGGGAGGCTGAGGCAGGAGAATGGCGTGAACCTGGGAGACGGAGCTTGCAGTGAGCCGAGATCGTGCCACTGCACTCCAGCCTGGGCGACAGAGCAAGACTCTGTCTCAAAAAACAAACAACAACAACAACAACAAAAAACACACATTAAAAATTGCCTGGCATGGTGGCTCATGCCTGTAATCCCAGCACTTTGGGAGGCTGAGGCGGGAGGATTACCTGAAGTCAGGAGTTCAAGACCAGCCTGGCCAACATGGTGAAACCCCATCTCTACTAAAAATACAAAAATTAGCTGGGGCTGGCTGGGCGCAGTGGCTCACGCCTGTAATCCCAGCACTTTGGGTTGCTGAGGCAGGCGGATCACGAGGTCAGGAGTTCGAGACCAGTCTGACCAACATGGTGAAACCCCGTCTCTACTAAAAATACAAAAATTAGTTGGGCATAGTGGCGCACACCTGTAATCCCAGCTACTCAGGAGGCTGAGGCAGGAGAATTGCTTGAACCCGGGAGGTGGAGGTTGCAGTGAGCAGAGATCGCACTACTGCACTCCAGCCTGGGTGACAGAGTGAGACTGGACATAGTGGCATGCACCTGTAGTCCTAGCTACTCTGGAGGCTGAGGCATGAGAATTGCTTGAACCCAGTTGGTAGAGGTTGCAGTCAGCTGAGATCATGCCACTGCACTCCACCCTGGGTGACATAGTAAGACTCTATCTCAAAAAGAAAAAAAAATTAAAAATTGAATTTCTTGCTTCTTTATTGATTGATTGATTGATTGAGACAGAGTCTCGCACTGTCACCCAGGCTAGAGTGCAGTGGTGCAATCTTGGCTCACTGCAAGCTCTGCCTCCCGGGTTCACACCATTCTCCTGCCTCAGTCTTCTGAGTACCTGGGACTGCAGGCGCCTACCACCACAACCAGCTAATTTTTTTGTATTTTTAGTAGAGACAGGGTTTCACTGTGTTAGCCAGGATGGTCTCAATCTCCTGACGCTGTGATCTGCCCACCTCAGCCTCCCAAAGTGCTGGGATTACAGGCCTGAGCCACCGCGCCTGGCCTGAATTTCCTGCTTCTTTGGAAAATCCAAAGATGTGGCAACGTGATCCACATTTTCACATGTCAGTAACTGGCTGTTGCTGGGCAGCTTGCGTCTTTACAGGGCACTGACCTGCCAGCTGGTCACCATCCCTGTCATTCCTCTGTGTCCCCAACCCTGAGGCCAAGGTGGCTTCATTATATGAATGGTCCTTCACTGCTGATGTTCCAACTCCCGTTTAACTGTAGGTATAGATTCTGGACCCCTTAGTCTGTGTCTCCAAGGTTCAGAGTAATTTTTTATTTTTAGAGACAGTGTCTTGCTGTCACCCAGGCTGGAGTGCAGTGGCACGATCATAGCTCACAGCAGCCTTGAATTTCTACGCTCAAGCAATCCTCCCACCTTAGCCTCTCAAGTAGCTGAAGCTACAGGTGCGTGCCACCATGCCTGGCTAACTTAATTTAAAATTTTTTTGTTCCTCACAAAACTTCTTCCTGAATAATTTTTTAAATATTTTTATAGAAATAGGATCTCACTATATTGCCCAGGCTGGTCTCAAACTCCTGGATTCAAGCAGTCCTCCCATCTTCACCCCGCAAAGTGCTGAGATGATGGGCATAAGCCACCACGCCCAGCTCCAGAGTAACACATGAGGATGGTGCCTGCTGACATAGTTACATTTATTGAGCACTTATGCACTAGGCACTGTGTTTGCATGTAATGACTCCTTAAACCTCCACAACTCATGGCACCATTATTATTATCATCCTGGGACAGAAAGGGTAAGTCACTTGCACACAGGTCACCAGTGGCAGGAGTGGATTTAAATCCACGCACGGTGACTTCAGAGCCACCGTGGATCCTAAACACGTCTCTCCTGCTCAGATGGGCCCAAGCGTGTCTGGGACCCAAGGGTGAGCCTCTCAGTCCCTCCGTCTTCTCCCTCAGAGTTGGAGAGAGGAGCTGGGAAGGGCAGGGCACCCCCATTTGGGCCAATACATCCTCCAGGAAGAGTCTGGGTGTCCTGCTCCTAGGGATATAAAGGCTGCCATGTCCTCTTGCCCTCAATCAGCTGGCATCGCAGCCATGGCAGCAACCTGCCTGGCAGGGGAGCTCTTGCAGGGATGTAGAGGATCCCACCCCCACACCTGTCATGAACAACTCACCCAATGCTCTTCTCTTTGTTTGTTTGTTTGAGACGAGTGTTGCTGTGTTGCCCAGGCTGGAGTGCAGTGGCACGGTCTCGGCTCACTGCAACCTCCACCTCCTGAGTTCAAGGGATTCTTCTGCCTCCCGAGTAGCTGGGACTACAGACACATACCACCACGCCCAGCTAATTTTTGTATTTTTAGTAGAGACGGGGTTTCACCATATTGGCCAGGCTGGTCTCGAACTCCTGACCTCATGATCTGCCTGCCTCGGCCTCCCAAAGTGCTTGGATTACAGGCGTGAACCACCATGCCCGGCCCAATGCTCTTCTTAGTTATGGGCCTTATGCCCCGAGGGGCTGCAATAACAGTGAGTTCCTGGCCAGGTGCGGTGGCTCACACCTGTAATCCCATCTCTACTAAAAATACAAAAATTAGCTGGGCATGATGGTGGGCGCCTGTAATCCCAGCTACTTGGGAGGCTGAGGCAGGAGAATCACTTGAACCCAGGAGGCAGATGTTGCAGTGAGCCAAGATCGTGCCACTGCATTCCAGCCTGAGTGACAGAGCAAAACTGCATTTCAAAACAAAAAACAAACAAAAAAGTGAGGTCCTGGAGGTAGACCCGGGTCCAAACCTGCAGCAGCACTCCTTTCGAGGGGGCACCAGCTGCGGGGAGTCTGTCCCTTGCAGACCCCTGACCTGGCGATGGATGAATAAAGTATAACGGCACACAGATACTCTGCTCTGCCACTCCAGCTGAGGGTCCAAGCCGCTTACAGGCTCCGTGCTGAGTCCTGTAAACAGTTGCGACTGCGACCCTGATCAGCTAGTCAGACTCATATTTATTCAGTAAGATTAATTAACAAAAGCTTGAGTCAACACCATTAGAAGGTAATTGACATTGCGGACTTCCCGATTAAAAAGCACTTAAGCATCTGGTACATCAAAAGTTAGTTTTAAGATCGAATGAGTAAAGAAGCTAGCTAGGTAAACTACTCTGCCTTTATTACTACTTTAATTTGTTAAAAAGTAAAGAACAGGTTGCCTTCAACCATATCTACTACTGAAGCTAATGCAAACTTCTCGGCCTTCCAAGAAGATTTGTATCTATCTCTAAAACTATCTAATATTTTTCCTACCAGCCTGACTGAATCCCAATACAAACCCTGCACCATCCTCACTGGCTGGTGTGGTCTTGGGCAACTCTTGGAGATTCAGCTTCCTCTTCCTTGGGAAGAAGATGAGCCTTGGTACCCAAGGGACAGAGGGGTAAATGAGATAATGTGTGTCCAAGCACTTGGGAAGAATGTGTTCCCTCTCCCAAAGGAGGTGACCAGCGGAGCCGGGTTGGCCTCACTCTTCCTTGTCTGAGCTCACAGCCCTTGGCCTGGTAGATAGGAGATAGAGGATTCTCAAAGCCATGTCCTGAGATGACACCGGGAGTGTTTAACCTGTGAGGACTCACCATCATAAGCTCCAACCTCTGGTGTCTGGCCAGGGATACTCTAGAGGGCAGGATGGTGATGCTGGAGGGACCCATGCTGTTCCACGCCTGAGGCACCCTCTCACATGAAGAGGGTCTCACCGCAGGCAGGGGAGGCTGCAGAGGCCACCGTCAGGCCAGGTGGGCCTCCTTCCTGGAGACATGTGAGCCACAGGTGTGCTGGCGGCTGCTTTTCAGGACTGCAGTCCTTAAATGTGGGGCAAGAGCTGAGGCTGAGGAGCTAGCAGGCCCCTCCCACCTTGGGATTTCATGATCAGTCACTTACTGCCCAAAAACCTACCATGTCTCCCTAATGCTTCACACATCAGACCTCCTGCCCTACTGGTGCCTGCTAACAGCTGCATTTCCCAAGGCTCAGACCTGAGCCCTTCCCTTGTGTTCTCTTCCTGAAAAATCTCAATGTGGCCAATTCCAAAATCCCTAGATGTCCACTGCTCAGCCCATAGCCCTCTCCTCACTGCCATCCCCTTGTTTTTTTGTAGTTGTTTGTTTTTTGAGACAAGAGTCTCACTCTGTCGCCAGGCTGGAGTGCAGTGGCGCAATCTCGGCTTACTGCAACCTCCACCTCCCAGGTTGAAACGATTCTCCTGCCTCAGCCTCCTGAGTAGCTGGGACTACAGGCGTGCGCCATCTCATGCCCAGCTAATTTTTGTATTTTTAGTAGAGACAGGGTTTCACCATGTTCGCCAGGCTGGTCTTGAACTCCTGACCTCAAGTGATCCCCTCAACTCAGCCTCCCAAAGTGCTGGGATTACAGGCATGAGCCACTGTGCCCGGCCCCGCCCCCCTGTTTTTAAGACACAGGGTCTGGCTCTGTCACCCAGGCTGGAGGGCAGTGGCGTGATCACAGCTCACTTCAGCCTTGACCTCTTGGGCTCAAGTGGTCCTCCTGTCTCAGTTTCCTAACTAGTTGGGACTATAGGCATGGGCCACCGCACCCCCTTAATTTTTTTATTTTTTGTAGAGACAGGGTCTTGCTCTGTTGCTCAGGCTAATCTCAAACACCTAGTCTTGAACTCCCGGTCTGTAAGTCCTGACCTCAAGTGATCCTCCCACCTCAGCCTCCCAAAGTGCTAGGATTACAGGCATGAGCCACCGCCTCCTCACTTTGTTCTTTATCTCCATTTGCCTAACAGATCTTTCCACTAGGCCATCACCACAGATTCACCAGCTCCATTCCCCTACACCACACCTGATCATTCTGTTCCCCAAGGCCTGAGGGATCCACCCCCTTAATCAGTAGATCCTGATTCCTGTGGTGCTCCTGCTGCCCTCACCCCCCACCCCAGGCCACTGGAGCCCTCAGGTCCTCATTCCTGAATCACCACAGTGACTTTCAAATGGGTTGTCCCCACTCCAGCCCCCTTCACTTCTCCCTGCCCATCTGGTGCCCCATGGATCTTCCTAAAAGTACCAGTATGGGGCCGGGCACGGTGGCTTAGGCCTGTAATCCCAGCACTTTGGGAGGCCGAGATGGGTGGATCACAAGGTCAGGAGATCGAGACCATCCTGGCTAACATGTGAAACCCCGTCTCTACTAAAAATACAAAAAAATTAGCCAGGCGCGGTGGCGGGTGCCTGTAGTCCCAGCTACTCAGGAGGCTGAGGCAGGAGAATGGCGTGAACCCGGGAGGCGGGGCTTGCAGTGAGCCGAGATCGCGCCACTGCACTCCAGCCTGGGCGATAGAGCGAGACTCTGTCTCAAAAAAAAAAAAAAAAAAAAGGTACCAGTATGTTCCCCCTTCAGAACCCTCTGTGGTCCTTATTATCTTTTTTTCTTTTTTTCTTTTTTTTTGAGACGGAATCTCACTCTGTCACCCAGGCTAGAGTGCAGTGGTGCAATCTTGGCTCACTTAAATTTCCACCTCCCAGGTTCCAGCAATTCTCCTGCCTCAGCCTCCCAAGTAGCTGGGACTACAGGTACACGCCACCAAGCCTGGCTAATTTTTGCATTTAGTAGAGACAGGGTTTGACCATATTGGCCAGGCTGGTCTCAAACTCCTGACCTCGTGATCCGCCCGCCTTGACCTCCCAAAGTGCTGGGATTACAGGTGTGAGCCACCACGCCCAGCCAGGTCCTTATCATCAGTAGAGGGCTTAAACACAGTTGTTGTTTTGTTTTTTAAATCATGGTATTTTTATATTTTTTAAAAAATCAGCATAACTTTAAGCTATAGAAAATCATACATAAATGGGTAAATAAAATAAATGTATAGGCCGGGCACAGTGGCTCACGCCTGTAATCCC
The DNA here is from genome assembly GCF_000001405.40 of Homo sapiens. Lineage (NCBI taxonomy): Eukaryota > Metazoa > Chordata > Mammalia > Primates > Hominidae > Homo > Homo sapiens. The sequence continues at coordinate 30,795,984 of NC_000016.10, forward strand.
AGCAGTTTGGGAGGCCGAGGCAGGCGGATCACTGGAGGTCAGGAATTCGAGACCAGACTAGCCAACATGGTGAAACCCGGTCTCTACTAAAATTCAAAAATTAGCCAGGTGTGGTAGCTCAGGCCTGTAATCCCAGCTACTCAGGAGGCTGAGGCTGGAGAATCTCTTGAACCTGGGAGACACAGGTTGCAGTTAGCCAAGATCACACTCACTGCAGCACACTAGAGAGTCGCCCAAGCTGGATTGCAGTGGCGCGATCTCGGCTCACTGCAACCTCCACCTCCCGGGTTCAAGCAATTCTCCTGCCTCAGCCTCCCGAGTAGCTAGGATTACAGGCATGCGCCACCATGCTGGGCTAATTTTGGTATTTTTAGTAGAGACAGGGTTTCACCATGTTGGCCAGGCTGGTCTCAAACTCCCGACCTCAGGTGATCCTCCCACCTCAACCTCCCAGACTGCTGGGATTACAGGCATGAGCCACTGCACCTGGCCAGGGGTTGAGTTTTGTAAAGGTATTCTCACTAGACTAATGGCTTCTGACTGCTAAGAGTTTGTTTGTTTGTTTGTTTGTTTTCTTTGTAGGTTTATTTATTTTTTTATTATTATTATTATTTTTGAGACTGAGTTTCGCTCTTGTCCCCCAGGCTGGAGTGCAATGGCATCATCTTGGCTCACTGCAACCTCCGCCTCCCGGGTTCAAGTGATTCTCCTGCTTCAGCCTCCTGAGTAGCGGGGATTACAGGCGTGCGCCACCATGCCTGGCTAATTTTTGTATTTTTAGTAGGGACGGGGTTTCACCATGTTGGCCAGGCTGGTCTTGAACTCCTGACCTCAAGTGATTTGCCCGCCTTGGCCTCCCAAAGTGCTGGGATTACAGGCGTGAGCCACCGTGCCCAGCTGGTTTATTTTCAAACACGTATTTATAAGGTGACCTATGAAGTTGAAGTTGTGCAGCCTTTCTCTAGTTATATAAGGCTTCAGATATTTAAAGAACACCTTTAAGTGGGTCCCATAAAGGAGAGGAGGGAATTTTACAGTTGTGTTTGTTTGTTTATACTTGCTTGGTTTCAAAAAGGACATGAAGCATTTAGAGAGCCACATATTACACAACAGGTGCCTGGCATCTGATCCTTACTGACTCATAGTCCCTAAATCTTGGCCATTGTTACTGACAGTAGCAGTAGTAATGGAGTAAGTAGTATCATTAACAAGACAAAAAACTGAAATGCAAAGGGAAATTAAAGGGGGAATTATAACATGAAACTAGTGTTGGTACACAAAACATATGGTATAAAGTTCCATACAATAGCTAAAAGTGGCTTGTAGATTGGCTGATCTTTCTAGAGACCTGTACAAATAAATACTGGGTCCAGGCCGGACACGGTGGCTCAAGCCTGTAATCCCAGCACTTTAGGAGGCCAAGGCGGGCAGATCACAAGGTCAGGAGTTCGAGACCAGCCTGGCCAATATGGTGAAACCCTGTCTCTACTAAAAATACAAAAAAATTAGCGGGGCGTGGTGGCGCATGCCTGTAGTTCCAGCTACTCAGGAGGCTGAGGCAGGAGAATCGCTTGAGCCCGGGAGGTGGAGGTTGCAGTGAGCCGAGATCATGCCACTGACTCCAGCCTGGGTGACAGAGTGAGACTCTGTCTCAAAAAAAAAAAAAAAAAATACTGGGTCCACACTTCATGTGGCACATCCAGGAAAGTTCTCCTGTGGGTTTTCAGCAAACCGATATTTTGAGATGCACAGGGCCACGTCTTCAACCCCATCCCTTAGTTCTGGACCCAGTCTAACACAGACACGGATGGACAAACAAAGCCCCAATGATGTATGATACTGAGTATGGCTGCCATGAATTTGACAGTCATGCTTTTAAAGCTGCCATTACTGGCCAGGCAAGGTGGCTCACACCTGTAATGCCAGCACTTGTGGGGGCCAAGGCAAGAGGATTGCTTGAGGCCAGGAGTTCAAGACCAGCCTGGGCAACATAACGAGACCCTAGACTTCTGAGAAAAAAAGGAGGGGGTCTGACAGATGACTTGAAGCTAGACCAGCTTAATACCAGTGCAGCTTGACTGCCCCTATAGGCAGGCTTGCTCCAAACCTAGTGGATAGCACTAAGAGTACAAAAGCAGACTGGGTGCGGTGGCTCATGCCTATAATCCCAGCACCTGGGGAGGCTGAGGTGGGAGGATCGAGCCCAGGAATTGGAGGCTGCAGTGAGCTATGACTGCACCACTGCACTCCAGCCGGGGTGACACAGTGAGACCCTGTCTCTACAAAAGAGAAAAAAAGTAAAACAGCAAACAAACAACAAAACGTCCAAATACTACTCTCTTAGAGTATGAAACAGAAACCATCTTCTTACTGGTTGGATGTTTCTAGGGCCACTGTGTTTCATTCTCTCTGAATGGCCCCTGGAGCTGAGCAGGGAGGAGATACTGTGTATCTATGGAGTAACCCCATAGGGTTAAAAGTTACATGTTGTCCTGGTTTTTCTCAGACTTCACCAGTGCTTAATTTTTTTTTTTTTTTTTGAGAGAGTCTCGCTATGTCGCCCAGGCTGGTGTGCAGTGGTGTGATCTCGGCTCGCTGCAACCTCTGCCTCCCGGGTTCAAGTGATTCTCCTGCCTCAGCCTCCCAAGTAGCTGGGAATACAGGTGCGTGCCACCATGCCCAGCTAATTTCTGCGTTTTTAGTAGAGATGGGGTTTCACCATGTTAGCCAGGTTGGTCTCGAACCTGACCTCGTGATCCGCCCACCTCAGCCTCTCAAAGTGCTGGAATTACAGGCATGAGCAACTGTCTCTGGCCTAATTTTTGTATTTTTAGTAGAGACAGGGTTTCACCATGTTGGCCAGGCTGGTCTTGAACTTCTCGACCTCTGGTGATCCACTTGCCTCGGCCTCCCAAAGTGCTGGCATTATAGGCATGAGTCACCGCACCCGGCCTAACCAGTGCTTAAAATTTGACATTCTCTAGATTAAGGCTGGGACATATGATTTGTAATAGTGGCTTTATTTATTTATTCATTTTTTGAGACAGGTCTTAACTCTGTTGCCCAGGATGGAGTGCAGTGGTGCAATCCTAGCTCACTGCAGCCTCGACCTCCCAAGGGTCAAGCAACCCTCCCACTTCATCCTCCCGAGTAGCTGGGACTACAGGCGCACACCACCACAACCGGCTAATTTTTGCACTCACAGACTCACTACTCACTTTTTTTTTTTTTTTTTTTTGAGACGGAGTCTCGCTCTGTCGCCCAGGCCGGACTGCGGACTGCAGTGGCGCAATCTCGGCTCACTGCAAGCTCCGCTTCCCGGGTTCACGCCATTCTCCTGCCTCAGCCTCCCGAGTAGCTGGGACTACAGGCGCCCGCCACCGCGCCCGGCTAATTTTTTGTATTTTTAGTAGAGACGGGGTTTCACCTTGTTAGCCAGGATGGTCTCGATCTCCTGACCTCATGATCCACCCGCCTCGGCCTCCCAAAGTGCTGGGATTACAGGCGTGAGCCACCGCGCCCGGCCTCACTTTTTTTTTTTTTTTTTTTTTGAGACAGAGTCTTGCTCTGTTGCCCAGGTTGGAATGTAGTGGCGGGATCTCGGCTCACTGCAACCTCCGCCTCCTGGGCTCAAGTGATCCTTCTGCCTCAGCCTCCTGAGTAGCTGGGACTACAGGCACATGCACCCGGCTAATTTTTGTATTTTTAGTAGAGACAGGGGTTTCACCATGTTACTCAGGCTGGTCTCGAACTCCTGACCGCCGGTGATCCACTTGCCTTGGCCTCCCAAAGTGCTGGGATTACAGGTGTGAGCCACTGTGCCCGGCCTGAAATACTATTTTTAACCTAAGAGGTTATCAAATGTAAATAGTTTAATTATCTACTATGTGGAGAAAGATGCACTCTCAAACATTAGTAAGATGTGCACTTCCTCTTTGAAGAAAGATTTGGCTAGACTGATCAAAATTCAAAATGCCCATACCCTTTGATGCAGCAATTCCACTTCTAGATCCCACAGGCATGGTCACACATGCACATGAAGATGTATTTACATACTACAATTTCCACTGAAATGTTTTTATAGCAAAAGACTGAAAATAACCTATGTCCACCATAGGAGAGTTGATTAAATAAATCATAGCATATCCATATAATGGAATACTTGGCTTTGAAAATAAAAGCAGCTATGTAGAAACTGACATGAAACATTCTCCAAAATAGGTGCTGATGTGAAAAAATGCAAGGGGAAAAGCAAGCATTACTGTGTGCCATCCATTTTCTGCTTTCTAAAAGGAGATGCTTGCATATGCATGGACTAGCTCGGAAAGACACGACAAATTGGTAATAGCTCAGCTCAGGAGAGGGAACGGGAAGGGGCTGGGCAGAAGCAGGAGGGAATCTTGCTTTTTTTATACATCTACCTTTTTATGCAGTTTGAATTTCTTTTAACCATGTGAATTCTTTTTCTTTCTCTTTCTTTCTCTCTCTCTCTTTTTTTTTTTTTTTTTTTTTGATGGAATCTCGCTCTGCTGCCCAGGCTGGAGTGCAGTGGGGCAATCTTGGCTCACTGCAACCTCTGCCTCCCGGGTTCAAGCAATTCTCCTGCCTCAGCCTCCTGAGTAGCTAGGACTACAGGCACCCACCACCATGCTCAGCTAATTTTTGTATTTTTTTTAGTAGAGATGGGGTTTCACCACGTTGGCCAGGCTGGTCTCGATCTCCTGACCTCATGATGCACCCGCCTCAGCCTCCCAAAGTGCTGGGATTACAGGCATGAGCCACCACGCCCGGCCATGAATTCTTTTTCAAAATATAAAAGGTGAAAAAGAGCTGAGGTGGGAGGATCTCCTGAGGCCAGGAGTTCAAAACCAGCCTGGGCAACATAGTGAGACCCCCATCTCTACAAAAAAATTTAAAAAGTGAAAAAGAGTGGCCAGACGGGGTGGCTCACGCCACCCAGCACTTTGGGAGACCAAGGCGGGCAGATCACCTGAGGCCAGGGGTTTGAGACCAGCCTAGCCATCATGGTGAGACCCCGTCTCTGCTAAGAAAATGCAAAAATTAGCCAGGCACGGTGGCACATGCCTGTAGTCCCAGCTGCTTGGGAGGCTGAGGCAGGAGAATTGCTGGAGCCGGGAGGCAAAGGTTGCAGTGAGCCGAGAACAAGCCACTGCACTGCAGCCTGGTTGACAGAGTGGGACTGTCTCAAAAAAAAAAAAAAAAAGTGGGGGGGATCCTTCACATTGCATCAAATTCTCTCAGGTGTAACATGGCCAGGGCAGCAAGTATCTCAGAAGGTACACGAGGGCACCAAGAGGAGTATGGCATGTCCTAGATTCAAAGACCATGCACACTTTTTTTTTCTTTTCATTTCTTTTTTTTAGAGAGAGAAAGGGTATCCCTCTGTCACCCAGGCTGGAGTGCAGTGGCTTGCTCCCGGCTCACTGCAACCTCTGTATCCTGGTTTAAGCAATTCTCCTGCCTCAGCCTCCTGAGTAGTTGGGACTACAGGTGTGCGCCACCACACTCAGCTAGTTTTTTTGTATTTTTAGTAGACATGGGGTTTCATCATGTTGGTCAGGCTGGTCTCAAATTCCTGACCTCAAGTGATCTGCCCGCCTCGGCCTCCCAAAGTGCTGGGATTACAGGCATGAACCACCGCGCCCAGCCAGAAAAATATAAATCTTGTTAGAAAACATATCCCCTGTATTGTACAGGCATGATTTTCCTGGCTAGAGAAAAGTGTGCATGGTCAGCCGGGCACAGTAGCCCACACCTGTAATTCCAGCAGTTTGAGAGGCTGAGGTAGGAGGATTGCTTGGGCCCAGGTGTTCAAGACCAGCCTGGGCAACATAGTGAGACCCTGTCTCTATTAAAAAATACAAAAATTAGCCAGACATGGTGGCAGGTACCTGTGGTCCCAGTTACTTGGGAGGCTGAGGTTGGAGGATTGCTTCAGCCTGGAAAGTCAAGACTGCAGTGACCCACCACTGCACTCCAGCCTGGGGGACAGAGTGAGACCCTGTCTTTTTCTAAAAAAAGAAAAAAATGTGCATGGTCTTTGAATCCAGGGATGTGCCGTACTCCTCTTGGTACCCTTGTGTACCTTCTATGAGACATTTGCTACCCTGGCCCATGTACACGAGATAATTTTTTTTTTTTTTGAGATGGAGTTTCGCTCTTTTTGCCCAGGCTGGAGTGCAATGGTGTGTCCTCAGCTCACTGTAACCTCTGCCTCCCAGGTTCAAGTGATTCTCCCGCCTCAGCCTCTGGAGTATCTGGGATTACAGGCGCTCGCTACCACGCTCTGCGATTTTGTATTTTTAGTAGAGACGGGGTTTCACCATGTTGGCCAGGCTGGTCACGAACTCCTGACCTCAGATGATCTGCCCACCTCAGCCTCCCAAAGTGCTGGGATTACAGGCGTGAACCACCACACCCGGCCACCAGAGAGAATCTGATGCAACGTGAAGACCTCAGCCAGCAGGTAAGGAATCTGGGTTCCAGTCCTGACTAAACTACAACCTGTAGAGTCCTCTTGAAAAAGCCCCACACTGTTCTCAGGGTTAGGATGCAGAGCTGATGAGATGGACAGTGCCCTGCCCCTCCAAGCTTACACCAGGCAGAGCCAGCAGCATGGCCAAGGGCACGGCCGTGAGAAAGTCCTCACCCCAGGCTCTCCCTACTTTCTGGCCTGCCCTCCTCCATGACTGTCTAGTTGCTAAGTCTCTAGGGTTCAAGCTCCAGAGGGAATGAAAGGAAGACAAGACAGGCTATTTCCTCCAGGCCTCCACAAACTCTATGAGCCTTTAGTACTAAACGCTGGAGCTGGTAGTACTAAATGCTGGAGACTTTAGTACTAAACACTGGAGTGGAATCTGCCCAGAGAGCCATTGAGCAGTGGAAGCAGGAAGAAAGGCTGCGCGGGAAGGTCTGTTCTTCCAAGTCTCCACGGGCTGTATGAAAGGGGAGGCCGGATGGTAATTGTTCTTGCACGTAAGAGCATGGTTTTATTTTATCCTGAAAACACACACTCAGTGCCTTTCAGCTTTCTGTCTTTGTCTAAAACTTGCTTCTTTTCAAGGTCACAAGATCCTCTTCTTCTTCTTCTTCTTTTTTTTTTTTTAGACAGGGTTTCACTCTGTCACCAAGGGTGGAGTGTGGTGGCATGACTATAGCTCACTGTAGCCTCAACCTCCTGGGCTCAGGTGATCCTCCCACCTCAGCTTCCTGAGTAGTTGGGACCACAGGTGCAGGCCAAAACAGCTGGCTTTTTTTTCTTTTCCCCCCTCTTTGTAGTGACTGAGTCTCCTTATGTTGCCTAGGCTGGTCTGGAACTCCTGGGCTGAAGCAATCCTCCCTCCTTTGCCTCCCAAAGTGCTGGGATTACAGGCGTGAGCTCTTTTTTAAATGAAGTTGGTGTCTGTTCTGGGGCAGCACCGTTCATGATTGATTTTCATCCTGTTGTAGGAATTAGGTGATTTAGCACAGCTCTGAACTAACTAGATGTCCAAGTTTGATGCTTTAGTTTGGAATTCCCAGAAAAAGTTTCCCAAATGGAGATTCAGTGCAGAGGAGAGGGAAAATCGTGCATTGTGCACTCTGGAATCAGGCAGTTTTGAGTTCAAATCAGACTCTGACATATACTCAGTTATTAACCTGTTTCTTTCTTTCTTTTTGTTTTTTGGAGATGGAGTCTCACTCTGTCACCCAGGCTGGAGTGCAGTGGCATGACCTCGGCTCACTGCAGCCTCTGCCCACTGGGTTCAAGCAATTCTCCTGCCTCAGCCTCCCGAGTAGCTGGGATTACAAGTGTCTGCCACCATGCCCAGCTAATTTTTCTATTTTTTTTTTTTTTAGTAAAGACGAGGTTTCACCATCTCGGCCAGGCTGGTCTTGAACTCGTGACCTTGTGATCCACCCACCTTCGCTTCTCAAAGTGCTGGGATTACAGGCGTGAGCCACCACACCCGGCCCTGTTTTTTTTTTTTTTTTTTTTTTTTGAGACAGTTTCGCTCTTGTCACCCAGGCTGGAGTCCAGTGGCACAATGTCGGCTCACTGAAACCTCCGCCTTCTGGTTTCAAGTGATTCTCGTGCCTCAGCCTCCCGAGCAGCTGGGATTACAGGCGCCTGCCACCACACCCCGCTAATTTTTTTATTTTTAGTAGAGACAGGGTTTCACCACGTTGGCCAGGCTGGTCTCAGACTCCTGAACTCAAGTGATCCACCTTCCTCGGCCTCCCAAAGTGCTAGGATTACAGGCATGAGCCACTGTGACTGATTTTTTTTTTTTTTTTTTTTGATACGGAGTCTTGCTTTGTTGCCCAGGCTGGAATGCAGTGGCGAGATCTCGGCTCACCACAACCTCTGCCTCCCGGGTTCAAGCGATTCTCCTGCCTCAGCCTCCCGAGTAGCTGGGACTACAGCTGCGTGCCACCATGCCTGGCTAATTTTTGTAGTTTTAGTAGAGATGGGGTTTCACTATGTTAGCTAGGCTTGTCTCAAACTCCTGACCTCGTGATCCGCCCACCTCGGCTTCCCAAAGTGCTGGGATTATAGGCATGAGCCACCGCACCTGGCCATTAACCCGTTTATTGTTGTTGTTGTTTTTTAAGACGGAGCCTCACTCTGTCGCCCAGGCTGGAGTGCAGTGGTGTGATCTCGGCTCACTGCAACCTCTGCCCCCTGGGTTCAAGCGATTCTCCTGCCTCAGCCTCCCAAGTAGCTGGGATTACAGGCGCCCGCCACCACACCCGGCTAATTTTTATACTTTCAGTAGAGAGGGGGTTTCATCACGTTGGCCAGGCTGGTCTTGAACTCCCGACCTTGTAATCCACCTGCCTCGGCCTCCCAAAGTGCTGGGATTACAGGCGTGAGCCACCACGCCTGGCCTAACCCGTTTCTTAATCCATAAAATGGGAATAATATTAACATTCCCTTCACAGAATTGCCCTGAGGTTATAGAGATAAGGTGTGTAAGGAACCTAGCACACAGAAGGCTCTCAGTAAATAGCAGTTATTACTATCATTTTTATCATGTTTCTTATTCTCATGTCTCAAACGTGACCCTCCACCAAAAGTTCTTTTATAGCAGAGTATAAATAATGGAAAAAAATGATATATAGCTTTTTTGTTTCCCCTCCAGACAGTGTCTCACTGTCACCCAGGCTGCAATGCAGTGGCGTGATCATAGCTCACTGCAGCCTCAAGCCTCTGGGCTCACGCTATCCTCCCGCCTTGGCCTCCCAGTGCTGGGATCACAGGCGCGCGCCACCACGCGGGGTCCAGCCTCTCTTCTGAGTGCTGCACATGCATTAATTCATGGAATCCTTACAGCAACCCCTTGCAAGGAAGAAAGCTGTGACTCAGAGAGGTTGAATAACTTGTCCGAGGAGCTCAGCCATGAGGCGGATCGGGGATGGAAACCCAGGCCGTGGGCCCTGCGCGGTTACAGGCATTCAATCCTCCAAATGTCCCCAGAGTGACTAGCGGCCATCATTCGGCCCTTCTCAGGAGGAAAGCGAGCGAACACCTCACGCGGCGACGGCCTCCCGGAGCTGAAGGGGTTATTCCCACTGAGACGCGGTCGCCTCCGCTCCTAGAGAGGCCCACGGAGGGCGCCGCACTTCCGGCCTGGGTCCAGCTTTGGCTCCGGCTCCCGCTCCTGACCTGCTGCTTCCCGGGCTGGCGTCCGGGCCGGCGTCCGGGCCCAGGCGACCGGGGCCTCCGAGCTCAGAGGCAGTGCCGAGGACCGAAGGAGGGGAAGGGATTCCCCAAAGGCATCCCTGACTCCCGAATTCCAGCAAGGGAGAATCAGGCGCTGGGGAGGCAAGGAGAGGGCCGCGGCTCTCCTCGGGGGCCGCGGGGCGCGACTCTTCCAGGACCTCGGCTGCTTTTCCCAGTAAAGCCCAGGCGGCCCGAGGCTGGCCGAGGGAGCGACCCTCTCCTGCCTCTTCTGGAAGGGCCGCTTCCCCGCCCTGCTGTAGACCCCGAGCTCCCTGGGGGAAGGACCCGCTCCTTCCATCCTCCACCCTCCCGAGCACCAGCCTGGGAAGGAGGGGATCCCAGTTCCTCCTTAGAGGCGACTCCTTTATCAAGTCTGATTTAGACATGGGCTCGTCCAAGGTCGTTCAGCAGCGAGTAGCGGAGCTGGGGCTGCACCGAGGAGCTCAGGCCCCACTCCGTGTTGCGGTCAAGACCAGATTTTGGGGTCAGCTTCTCAAACTCAGCACTACCAGCACCAAACTAAACTACCTGGCCCCTCCTCCCGAGAGAGGGTTCATTCTCAATCAAATCGGAACCTCAGTTTTTCTCTCCTGCTTTCCGTCCGCTTCCCTCGTCCTCCCTTGACCATACTTTTATGCTTCATCTTTTCCATCCAACCCGTCTTTCCAGCCCTCCCTCAGCCGTACTGCCGCAAACCTGTGTCGTTGCAACAACCTGCAACCTTGCCTGCCTCTCCCTTTTATTTCACGTGAAACTCCACTACAAGGAGTCCCCAAATCCTTGCCTCAGGCCACCCCTCGTTCCAAAAATACCTTTTAGTGATTTACTCACTGCCTGTGAGTTCAAGTCAAAACTCAGCTTGGCATTCAAGACGATTTGAAACCTGGCTCAAGCCCACCTCTCAAGAGGATTTGAAACCTGGCTCAAGCCTACCTCTCTAACCTGATCTATCTTGGTTCCCTAAGTAGAGGTCACAGATTGGCAGATGCAACTGGGAAATGTGTTTCAACTGGCAAAGAGTGTTTCTTTTCTTTTTCTTTTTCTTTTTTTTATTGGAGCCAATGGCCAGGCGCGATGGCTAAAGCCTGTTATCCCAGCACTTTGGGAGGCTGAGGCAGGCGGATCACTTGAGGTCAGGAGCTCGAGACCAGCCTGGCCAAATGACGAAACTTCATCTCTACTAAAAATACAAAAATTAGCTGGGCATGGTGGCTTATGCCTGTAATTCTAGCACTTTGGGAGGCCGAGGCGGGGGGATCACGAGGTCAGGAGATCGAGACCATCCTGGCTAACACGGTGAAACCTCGTCTCTACTGAAAATACAAAAAAATTAGTCGGGCGTAGTGGCGGGCGCCTGTAGTCCCAGCTACTCCGGAGGCTGAGGCAGGAGAATGGCGTGAACCCGGGAGGCGGAGCTTGCAGTGAGCCGAGATCGCTCCAGCCTCGGCGACAGAGCAAGACTCCGTCTCAATTAAAAAAAAAAAAAAATACAACTTCAAACTCTTGAAGTTATATTGGGAGAAGTAGTTTCCCAAAGAAAGGACAGAGAGGGAAATTGATAGGCATCAAAGGCATCAAGCACCTAGTGTGTGCCAGAGAACGACAGATGCTTTCACATTTTTTTCTTTTTCTTTTTTCTTTTCTTTTCTTTCTTTCTTTCTTTTTTTTTTTTTAGAGATAGGGCCTCATTCTTTCCCCCAGGCTGGAATGCAGTGGTGTGATCATAGCTTACTGTAGCCTCAAACTCCTGGGCTCAAGCAATCTTCTGCCTCAGCCTCCCAAGTAGCTAGGACCATGGACACATGCCACCACATCTGGGTTTTTGTTTTGTTTTTGAGACAGAGTCTCGCTCTGTCACCCAGGCTGGAGTACAGTGGCGCCATCTCCACTCACTGCACGCTCCGCCTCCCGGGTTCACACCATTCTCCTGCCTCAGCCTCCCGAGTAGCTGGGACTACAGGCGCCCGCCACCGCGCCCGGCTAATTTTTTTGTATTTTTTTAGTAGAGACGGGGTTTCACCGTGTTAGCCAGGATGGTCTCTATCTCCTGAGCTCGTGATCCACCCACCTCGGCCTCCCAAAGTGCTGGGATTACAGGCATGAGCCCCACGCCCGGCCTGGTTTTTGTTTTTTTTTGTTTGTTTTGTTTTGTTTTTTTTAATTAATTTTTTGGCTGGGCCGGGTTGCTGAAGCCTGTAATCCCAGCACTTTGAGAGGCTGAGGTGGGTGGATAGCTTGAGGTCAGGAGTTCGAGACCAGCCTGGCCAACATGGTGAAACCCCGTCTCTACTAAAAATACAAAAAAATTAGCCAGGTTGGGTGGCACATGCCTGTAGTCCCAGCTACTCAGGAGGCTAAGGCAGGAGAATCGCTTGAATCCAGGACGTAGAGGTTGCAGTGAGCTAAGATCGCACCACTGCACTCCAGCCTGGGCAACAGAGTGAGACCCTGTCTCAAAAAAAATTAATTAATTAATTTTTTGTAGAGACAGGGTCTCGCTCTGTTACCCAGGCTGGTCTCAAACTCCTGACTTCAAGTGATCTTCCCACCTCAGCCTCCCAAAGTCCTGGGATTACAGGCATGAGCTGCAGTTCCCAGCCACTTTCACATTTTATCTTACTGAATCCTTACACATAGGAAAGTGTTGTCATCATATTTTACAGAAGAGGGAAGTGAAGCTTAAAATGCTATGTAATTTTGCACTTTTTTTTTTTTTTTTTTTTTAGACAGAGTTTCTCTGTTGTTGCCCAGGCTGGAGTGCAGCGGCGCGATGTTGGCTCAATGCAACCTCTGCCTCCCGGGTTCAGGCAATTCTCCTGCCTCAGCCTCCTGAGTAGCTGGGATTACAGATGCCCACCACCTCGCCTGGCTAATTTTTTGTATTTTTAGTAGAGACGGGGTTTCGCCATGTTGGGCAGGCTGGTCTCGAACTCCTGACCTCAGGTGATCCGCCTGCCTCGGCCTCCCAAAGGGCTGGGATTACAGGCGTGAGCCACTGCGCCCAGCCAGTTTTGCAAAATTTAAAATGACACTGAGCTTGGATCAGAAGGCAGTCCTGGTAGTCAGAGAGTTGTCTAGCATTCACCCTGTCTTCTGTGTCTCCATGAAATAAGCCAGTCAAAGAAACTGTTAATGTATGAGTTGTGGGTCCATGGCCCTAGTCTCTCACTGTCCAAGCGTCATTCTAGATGTTCTCTCCTTGTACCCAGAGTTATTTTAGATGTGTCCACACAAGTGAAAAATTGGCCTCTTTATCTCCCTTGCCTCCCAGCCATAAATCTGTCAGGTTTACAAAATTATTTTAAGACTTTCCAGGCTGGGCGTGGTGGCTCATGCCCGTAATCCCAGCACTTTGGGAGGCCAAGGCAGGCAGATCACTTGAGCCCACGAGTTCAAGACCAGCCTAGGCAACATAGTGAGACCCTGTCTCTACAAAAAAAAAAAAAAAAAAAAAAAAATTAGCTGGGCATGGTGACACACGCCTGTAGTCCCAGCTACTCTGGAAGCTGAGGTGGGAGGATCACTTGAGCCCAAGAGTTCAAGGCTGCAGTGAGCTGTGATTGTACCACTGTACTCCAGCCTGGGAGAAAGAGCAAGAGCCTGTCTAAACAAAACAAGACTTTCCTTTATCACAAAATTGCCCAGTATACAGTAGGTTCATTCATTCATTCATTCAATAAGTAAATACTTACAGAGCATTTACTCTGGGCTCTCGTGACCACTGTAGTTGTGAACAAAACAGGTAAAAATTAAAAACAAAAATTGCTACCCTTACTAGAGATTAAATTCTGTTAAGAAAGACAGATAACAAAGAAAATAATGAGAAAAATAAAGTGGGGTCAGGGAAGATGTTGAAATTTTGGATAGGTGGGCCAGTAGAGACTTCTCTGAGAAGGTGGACTTTTTAAATTTTTATTTTATTTTATTTTTTTGAGACAGAGTCTCGTTCTGTCACTCAGGCTGGAGTGTAGTGGCATGATCTCGGCTCACTGCAACCTCTGCCTCCTGGGTTCAAGCGATCCTCCTGCCTCTCAGCATCCTGACTAGCTGGGATTGAAGGTACACACCACCATGCCCAGCTAATTTTCGTATTTTTAGTAGAGATGGGGTTTCACAATGTTGGCCAGGCTGGCCTTGCACTCCTGACCTCAGGTGATCCACCCACCTCTGCCTCCTAAAGTTCTGGGATTACAAGGGCCAGGTGCAGTGGCTCATGCTTGTAATTCCAGCACTTTGGGAGGCTGAGGAGGGTGGATCACGAGGTCAGGAGTTTGAGACCAGTCTAGCCAACATGGTGAAACCCCATCTCTACTGAAAATACAAAAATTAGCTGGGCGTGGAGGCATACACCTGTAATCCCAGCTACTCAGGAGGCTGAGGCAGGAGAATAGCTTGAACCCAGGAGGCAGAGGTTGCAGTGAGCCGAGATCGTGCCATTGCACTCCCGCCTGGGTAACAGGGCAAGACTCTGTCTCAAAAAAAAAAAAAGTTCTGGGGATTACAGATGTGAGCCACCATGCCAAGCCTTATTTTATTTTATTTTATTTTATTTTATTTATTTATTTATTTATTTGAGACAGAGTCTCACTTTGTCGCCAGGCTGGAGTGCAGTGGCACGGTCTCGGCTCACTGCAACCTCCGCCTCCTGGGTTCAAGCAGTTCTCTGCCCCAGCCTCCCAAGTAGCTGGCATTACAGGCATCCGCCACCACGCCCAGCTAATTTTTTGTATTTTTAGTAGAGACGGGGTTTCACCGTGTTAGCCAGGATGGTCTCGATCTCCTGACCTCGTGATCCGCCCACCTCGGCCCCCCAAAGTGCTGGGATTACAGGCGTGAGCCACCGCGCCCGGCTATTTTATTTTTTTAAGGCAGAGTCTCGCTGTGTCGCCCAGTCTGGGATGCAGTGGCATGATCTCAGCTCACTGCAACCTCTGTGTCCCGGGTTCAAGTGATTCTCCTGCCTCAGCCTTCCAAGTAGCTAGGATTACAGGCATGTGCCACCACACCCGGCTAATTTTTGTATTTTTAGTAGAGATGGGGTTTCAACATGTTGGTCAGGCTGGTCTCGAACTTCTGACCTCAGGTGATCCACCTGCCTCGGCCTCCCAAAGTGCTGGGATTACAGGGGTGAGCCACTGAGCCCAGCCGAAGGTGGACTTTTAATAAAGTCATAAAGAAAGTAGATGTTTAGGCCAGGCACGGTGGCTCATGCCTGTAATCCCAGCACTTTGGGAGGCCAAGACAGGTGGATTGCTTGAGCTCAGGAGTTTGAGATCAGCCCGGGCAACATAGTGAGACCCCCGTCTCTACTAAAAGTACAAAAAAAAATAGCCAGGCATGATGATGTGCTCTTGTGGTCCCAGCTAATTGGGAGGCTGAGGTGCGAGGATTACTTATCCCCAGGAGGCAGAGGTTGCAGTGAGCTGAGATTGTGCCATTGCACTCCAGCCTGGGTGACATAGTGAGACCCTGTCTCAAAAACAAAGCAAAAAAAAAAAAAAAAAAAAGGAAGTAGATGTTTAATTCACAGCTGTGTAAATAAACTATTAAAATGATGCTCCCAGCCAGGTGAAGTGGCTCACACCTGTAATCCCAGCACTTTGGGAGGCCAAAGCGGGCGGATCATGAGTTCAGGAGATGGAGACCATCCTGGCTAACAGGGTGAAACCCTGTCTCTACTGAAAATACAAAAACTTAGCCGGGCATGGTGGCACGCACCTGTAGTCCCAGCTACTTGGGAGGCCGAGGCAGGAGAATAGCTTGAACCCGGGAGGCAGAGGTTGCAGTGAGCCGAGATCATGCCACTGCACTCCAGCCTGAGCAACAGAGTGAGACTCCATCTCAAAAAAAATAAAATAAAATTATGCTCCCTCCAAAATCACTTCCAGAAGTAAGACAGCCATGAAAAAAGCTACTCAAACACTTGAAGTCCAGAAGGGAAAAATATAACAAAATATTAAGGAATCTTTTCCTTTTCAAAGTTGTCTTTTGTTCTTATCTAGTTTGCTCTAGGAAGTTTCTCCCTTTTCCAATCTCCAGCAAGACTCACCTGTCTTCTGCCTTTTCTGTTCTCCCCTTCTCTATCCCAACTCCATCCTGGGTAGCCAAGAAATTAGGTGGCAGCCAAGGCGGGCGTGCAGGAGATCAGGGGAGCTGGCATGCTTCCTTCCACCGAGTGGAGCTGGGTAGAGTGTAAAGTGGTGGCTGAGTGGGAGATGGGGACGCTGTGGGGGGACACACTTGGAGATTTGGAAGACATCTGCAGGAGCAGATGGCCGAGAACCGCACCCCAGATCTCCCCAGAGTGAAAGGATGTAGCCACACAGAACCTAGGGAAGAAACACAGGCACATATTGGTTGGTTTTGTTTTACTTTTTGGTGTGCCTCTTTTGATGTAACAGCTTTATTGAGATGTAATTCACATATCATACACTTCATCTAGTTTTTTTTTTGTTTTGTTTTTGTTTTTTTAAGACAGAGGCTCGCTCTGTCACCTGGGCTTCAGTGCAATGGTGCGATCTCGGCTCACTGCAACCTCCACCTACTGGGTTCAAGTGATTCTCCTGCCTCAGCCTCCCAAGTAGCTGGAATTACAGGTGCATGCCACCACGCCCAGCTAATTTTTTTTTTTTTTTTTTTTTGAGACAGAGTCTCAGTCTGTTGCCCAGGCTAGAGTGCAGTGGTGCAATCTCGGCCCACTGCAACCTCCACCTCCTGGGTTCAAGCAGTTCTCCTGCCTCAGTCTTCCTAGTAGCTGGGATTACAGGCACCTGCCACCACACTCAGCTAATTTTTGTATTTTAGTACAAAACTCTTGACCTCAGGTGATCTGCCCGCCTCAGCCTCCCAAAGTGCTGGGATTATAGGCATGAGCCACTGCGCCTGACAAATTTTTTGTATTTTTAGTAAAGATGGGGTTTCACCATGTTGACCAGGCTGGTTTCCAACTCCTGGCCTCAAGTGATCCACCTGCCTCGGCCTCCCAAAGTGCTGGATGGAGTTTTGCTGTGTTGCCCAAGCTGGTCTCAAACTCCTGGGCTCAAGCAATTTTCACCCCCTCAGCATCCTGAGTAGCTGGGACTGCCTCAAAAAAAAAAAAAAAAAAAAAGATTACAAAGGTCAGTTTGGAACATTAGGGTAGGGGTTAGAAGCTCTTCTGGAGGGGACAATGGGGCAGTGGTGATAGATGAAAAAGCAGAAGAGAGAGATAACTCACTTCTGTTTTATTTTTTATTGCTCTATTTTTGCTTTGTAAGTCACCACGAATGTAGGCAGGATAGAAATCCTAAGTACACCAAAGTGGGAAGTGCTACAAATTAAATTGTTTGCTTTTATTCCTGTGGATAATTTTCTTTCTCTGTTTTAACATATTTATGCCTTCTATTTCCTAACACTTTGTAAAGGAACTGATTATGAAATCAGAAAACCTGGGTTTTTCCTCCTAATGTGACTTAGCTGCTGTCAAAGTTTCCTCATCTGCAAAATGAGGGGGTTAGAGTACAATGGACATTCCATTATCCTCTCCAGCATCATCCCCTTAGTGCAGGCAGGCACTCTTTCAGGGATCTGTTGACAGTCCCTATTTTATTTTTAGGTGCCAACCCAGCCTTTCCCCTCCTTTTCTAGAATTTTTGTGTACAGAAAGTGAAGGTGGGGCTGGGCACCATAGTGAGACCCCGTCTCTCCAAAAAAAAAAGCCGGGCATTGTGGTGTGTGCCTGTGGTTCCAGCTACTTGGGAGGCTGAGGCGGGAGGATTGCTTGAGCCCAGGAGTTGGAGGCTGCAGCCAACTAGGATTGTGCCACTGCACTCCAGCCTGGGCGACAGAGTGAGACCCTGTATTAAAAAAAAAAGAAAAGAGGGCCAGGCACAGTGGCTCATGCCTGTAATCCCAGCACTTTGGGAGGCCGAGGTGGGTGGATACCTGAAGTCAGGAGTTCAAGACCAGCCTGACCAACGCGGTGAAACACCGTCTCTACTAAAAATACAAAAATTAGCTGGATGTGGTGGTGCATGCCTATAATTCCAGCTACTCAGGAGGCTGAGGCAGGAGAATCGCTTGAACCCATGAGGTGGAGGTTGCAGTGAGCTGAGATCGCACCACTGCAATCCACCCTGGGCGACAGAGCGAGACTCAGTCTCAAAAAAAAAGAAAAGAAGGTGAAGGTGGCTAAATAGCATAACATGTCAGAGATTTACGTGTCAGAGATTTAACATGTCAGAGATTTCCACATGTTATCAAGTCTGTTTCATGGCTAAGAACTGGAAGGGACCTTTGAGGACATCTAACCCTCATAGGACTTAACAATAGGATGAGGAAACAAGCTCAGAAATAGGCTATAACTTGCCCAAGGCCACTCAGAGAGGGAATGCCAGAGCCAGGGCCAGCTCTCAACTTCAGGCCAGAGAAGCCCAGGGTCTTCCATGAGAAATAGGGCCTGTCAGACTGGACAGGCTCCTTGGAGGTGGTCCAGTGAGTCCAATCCCTTTTTTTGCTGCGGCTTAGACGAGGGGCCGCTGAGGATTCTCCGAATTCGCTGGATCTGGACCCAGACTTCCGGGTCCACAGTGCAGCCTGAATGATCAACAGGGGAACGTGCGTTCGCCAGGGTCCCCGGGGGCAGAGGCACCTCTCCCTGGGCGGGGCCGGGGAGATTACGCAACACGGGTCTTAGTTGTCTGGGCCGCTGGGGTCGCCTCCACGGGCAGGAGCCACGGCCAGGACGTGCAGGCCGCCCCCTGCTGGTCCGTTTCGGAACCGGGCGGGTGGCCGCGGCGCTGCCCGGGTTGGGGGCATGGCTTTACAACGGTGAGCCAATCCCAGGCCGCACCGTGGATGGGGCGGGCGTTCACTTCTCCTCCCAGTCCTTTGGTTCTCTCCGCGGCGGAAGCTGTGCGGCGACCTAGCAACCGTCCTTGCCGACCCTCCCGCCGGTGACGTGGCTGCGACCCACCCTTCTTGCCATAGCCCTTTGGAAAGCGAAGGTCCCTTCAGGGCCAAAAGGACAGGGAGGTTTTTTCCTTCCTTCCTTCCCTCCCTCCTTCCCTCCTTCCCTTTCTTTCTTTCCTTTCTTTTTCTTTCTTTTCACAGAGTCTGACTTAATCACCCACGCTGCAGTGTAGTATGATCTGCTCACTGAAGCCTCTGCCTCCCGGGTTCAAGCGATTCTCCCAACTCAGCCTCCCAAGTAGCTGTACAGGTGTGCACCGCCACACCCAGCTAAATTTTGCATTTGTAGTAGATATGGGGTTTCATCATGCTGGCCAAGATGGTCTAAAGTGATCCGCCCGCCTCGGCCTCCCAAAGTGCTGGGATTACCGGCGGGAGCCACCGCTCCCGTCCAGGACAGGGATTTTGGTTGGTTGGTTGGATGGAGCCTTACAGTTTGGATGTGGTGAGCATGAAATGCATACGTTCAAGAAGCTGAGCCGACAAAGGGCTTACTCTAGGTGGACTGAAAATTCGATGTTTCCAATTCAAAACATCTGCTCTCCGAGGTGTGGGTGAAGGTATGGGGGGTCCAAAAATGTCCGAGTCCCACCACCTGATGTTGTTAGTTACACTTCTTTTTTTGTTTTGAGATGGAATTTTGCTCTTGTTGCCCAGGCTGGAGTGCAGTGGCGCGATTTCAACTCACCACAACCTCCGCCTCCTGGGTTCAAGCGATTCTTCTGCCTCAGCCTCCCGAGTAGCTGGGATTACAGGCATGTGCCATCACACCAGCTAATTTTTGTATTTTTAGTAGAGACGGGGTTTCTCCATGTTGGTCAGTCTGGTCTCGAACTCTTGACCTCAGGTGATCCGCCCGCCTTGGCCTCCCAAAGTGCTGGGATTACAGGTGTGAGCCACCACACCTGGCCTAATTTTTGTGTTTTTAGTAGAGATAGGTTTTCGCCATGTTGGCCAGGCTGGTCTCAAACTCACCTCAGGTGATCCGCCTGCCTCGGCCTCTCAAAGTGCTGGGATTACAAGCATGAGCCACCACGCCTGGCCCACGCTTGGCTAATTTTTGTTTGTTTGCTTGTGTTTTAGAGATGGGGTTTTGCCACATTGCCCAGGCTGGTTTCAAACTCCTGAGCTCAAGTGATCTGCCTGCCTCAGCCTCCCAAAGTGCTGGGATTACCGGCATGAGACACCATGCTTGACCGGTTTTATCACAGTTTTTAAAAAGTAATAATATAGTAGGCCAGGCATGGTGGCTCATGCCTGTAATCCCAGCACTTTGGGAGGCTGAGGCAGGCAGATCACCTGAGGTTGGGAGTTCAAGACGAGCCTGACCAACATGGAGAAAACCCGTCTTTACTAAAATACAAAAATTAGCTGGGTGTGGTGGTGCACACCTGTAATCCCAGCTACTCGGGAAGCTGAGGCAGGAGAATGGCTTGAACCCAGGAGTCATTGGTTGTGGTGAGCTGAGATCGTGCCATTGCACTCCAGCCTGGGCAACAAGAGTGAAACTCCATTAAAAAAAAAAATTAGCCGGGCACGGTGGCTCACGCCTGTAATCCCAGCACTTTGGGAGGCCGAGGCGGGCGAATCACAAGGTCAGGAGATTGAGACCATCCTGGCTAACACGGTGAAACCCTGTCTCTACTAAAAATACAAAAAAATTAGCCGGCATGGTGGTGGACTCCTGTAGTCTCAGCTACTTGGGAGGCTGAGGCAGGAGAATGGCGTGAACCTGGGAGGTGGAGCTTGCAGTGAGCCGAGATTGTGCCACTGCACTCCAGCCTGGGCGACAGAGCAAGACTCCATCTAAAAAAAAAAAAAGTTAATATAGTAAACAAAAACCCATTGAATTGTGCACTTTAGATGGGTGAATTATATGGTATGTGAATTATATCTCAATAAAGCTGTTTCAGAAAGTTGTGGGGTTTTTTTTCTTTTGAGACAGGGTCTCGCTGTGTTGCCCAGGCTAGAGTGCAGTGGAGTGATCTTAGCTCACTGCAACCTCCACCTCCCGGGCTCAAGTGATTCTGGTGCCTCAGCCTATGTTTCAGAAAGTTTTAAATTTGGATTAAGTTCAATGTGTCACTTTTTCCTTTTATGAATTATGCTTTAGGTATCAAGAACTCTGTATAACATTAGAACCTTAAGATACTCTTCTGTTTTTTTCTGAAAGTTTTATAGTTTTTACATTTTACATTTAAGTTTGTAACTCATTTGGAGTTAATTTTTGTGTACGGGTTTTTAGGGTTTTGTGTTTTTGTCTATGGATGTCTAATTACTCTAACACCACCTGTTGAAAAGCACCACTGAATTGCCTTTGGTTTTTTAATTTTGTTTTGTTGGTTTGTTGGTTTGTTTGTTTGTTTTTGAGATGGAGTCTCATCTGTCACCCTGGATGGAGTGCAGTGGTGAGATCTCGGCTCACTACAACCTCTGCCTCCCAGGTTCAAGCAATTCTCCTGTCTCAGCCTCCCAAGCAGCTGGGACCACAGACAGGCACCACCATGCCCGGCTAATTTTTTTTTTTTTTTTTTTTTGAGACAGAGTTTCGCTCTTGTTGCCCAGGCTGGAGTGCAATGGTGCAATCTCGGCTCACTGCAGCCTGCGCCTCCTGGGTTCAAGTGATTCTCCCGCCTCAGCCTGCTAAGTAGCTGGGATTACAGGCATGTGCCACCATGCCCGGCTAATTTTGTATATTTAGTAGAGACAGGGTTTCTCCATGTTGGTCAGGCTGGTCTCCGACTCCTGACCTCATGTGATCTGCCTGCCTTGGCCTCCCAAAGTGCTGGGATTACAGGTGTGAGCCACTGCACCCGGCCATTTTTTTGTATTTTATTTTTATTTTTTGTAGACGGAGTCTCGCTCTGTCACCCAGGCTGGAGTGCAGTGGCACGATCTCGGCTCACTGCAACCTCCGCCTCCCAAGTTCAAGCTTCTGCCTCAGCCTCCCAAGTAGCTCCCAAGTAGGCACCCACCACTACACCTAGCTAATTTTTTGTATTTTTAGTAGAGACAGGGTTTCACTATGTTGGCCAGGCTGGTCTCGAACTCCTGACTTCAGGCGATCCACCCGGCTCAGCCTCCCAAAGTGCTGGGATTCCAGGCATGAGCCACTGCACCTGGCTGCTTTTGCAACTTTGTAAGAAATCAGTTGGAAATATATATATGGGTCTGCTTCTAGGCTCTCTATTCTGTTCCAGTGATTTATTCTTCTGCCAATAGAGTCTTGATTACTCTAGCTATATAATAAGTTTTTAATCTAGTGATGATTCTTTTTATTTTATTCTTCTTTTTCAAAATTGTTTTAGCTATTCTAGTTTCCTCTCCTTTTCATATAAATTTTAGAATAATCTTGTCTATATTTACAAAGAAATCTCGCTGGGGCTGGGTGCAGTGGTTCACGCCTGTAATCCCAACACTTGGAGAGGCTGAAGTGGGCTGATCCCTTGATGCCAGGAGTTCGATAGCAGCCTGGGCAACATGGCAAAACCCTGTCTCTACTAAAAATACAAAAATTAGCTGGGCGTGGTGGTATACGCCTGTAATCCCAGTTACTTGGAAGGCTGAGGCAGGAGAATTGCTTGAACCCGGGAGGCGGAGGTTGCAGTGAGCCGAGATCTCACCACTGCACTCCAGCCTGGGCAACAGAGCAATACTCTGTCTAAAAAACAAAAACAAGGCTTGTCGCGATGGCTCATGCCTGTAATCCCAGCACTTTGGGAGGCTGAGGTAGGCGGATCACAAGGTCAGGAGTTCGAGACCAGCCTGACCAACATGGTGAAACCCCGTCTCTACTAAAAATACAAAAATTAGCCACATGTAGTGGCGGGTGCCTGTAACCCCAGCTACTCAGGAGGCTGAGGCAGGAGAACTGCCTGAACCCGGGAGGCGGAGGTTGTAGTGAGCTGAGATTGCGCCACTGTACTCCAGCCTGGGTGACAGAGGGAGACTCCATCTAAAAATAAATAAATAAATACATAAATTTAAAAAATAAAAACAAACAAACCAACACAAAACCCACAAGGAAACCTTGCTGGGATTTTAATAGACATTTTATTAAACTTGTATAACAATTTGGGGGAGAATTAATATCTTTACTATAGTGAGTCTTCTGATCCATGAACGTAGTATGTCTCTCCATTTATACAGATCTTTGATTTCTTTTATTAGTGTTGTGTACTTTTCAGCATAGAAGTCCTATACATATTTTATTAGATTTACACTTACATATTTCCTTTTTCTTGTTTTGAGAGACTGTAAGTCATATTATATTTTTATTTCTTTTCTTTTCTTTTCTTTTCTTTTTTTTTGGAGACAGTTTAGCCAGGCTACAGTGCAGTGGGGCGATCTCAGCTCACTGCAACCTCCACCTCCTGGGTTCTAGAAATTCTTGTGCCTCCCAAGTAGCTGGGACTACAGGCATGTGCCACCACACCTGGCTAATTTTTGCATTTTTAGTAGAGATGGAGTTTTGCCATGTTGGCCAGGCTAGTCTTGAACTCCTGACCTCAGGTGGTCTGCCCACCTTGGCCTCCCAAAATGTTGGGATTACAGGAGTGAGCCACCACGCCCAGCCACCACGCCCGGCCAATGTTTGTATTTTTAGTAGAGATGAGGTTTCACTATATTGGTCAGGCTGGTCTCAAACTCCTGACCTCAAGCGATCTGCCCGCCTCGGCCTCCCAAAGTGCTGGGATTACATGTGTGCGACACCATGCCTGGCACATATTATATTTTTCATTTCAGTGTCCACCTGTTCATTGTTAGCGTATAGAAATGTAATTGATATTTCCAATCTATGTCTTGTACACTGAGACCTTGCTGAACTCATTAGTTCCAGGAGTTTTTTGGTAGATTCCTTCATATTTTCTCTGTAGACAATCATGTCATCTCCAAATAGTGAGTTTTATTTCTTCCTTTCCAATCTGCATGCCTTTTATTTTCTTCTCTTGCCCTCTTGCACTGGCTAGATCTTCCAGCACTTTGTTGAATAAGAATAATAAGAATGGAAATCCCTTACATTTTATTTTCCAGTTGTCACTAATGGTACACAAAATTTACAGCTGAAAAACTGCAACTGATTTTTGTATATTGAACTTGTATCCTAGACAGAGCTAAATTCATTTATTAGTTGTAGTAGTTAGTTTTTTGGGTTTTTATTATTTTTTTTGAGATGGAGTCTCACTCTATCACCTAGGCTGGAATGCAGTGGCGTGATCTCAGCTCACTGCAACCTCCGCCTCTGTGGTTCAAGTGATTCTCCTGCCTCAGCCTCCCGAGTAGCTGGGACTACAGGTGCGTGCCACCACCCCCAGCTAATTTTTGTATTTTTAGTAAAGACAGCATTTCACCATGTTCGCCAGGATGCTTTCAAGCTCTTGACCTTGTGATCTGCCCGCCTTGGCCTCCCAAAGTGCAGGGATTACAGGTGTGAGCCATTGTACCCGGCCTAGTTTTTAAAAAATATATATCCTTTCCATCAGATAAAGAAATTCTATTTATTGTTTTTAATTTGTTAATATATTTTTAATTTCTTTTTATTTTTTATTTTTATTTTTGTAGATAGAGATGGGGTCTTATGGGGTCTTGCTCTGTTGACCAGGCTGGTCTTGATCTCCTGGTCTCAAGTGATCCTCCTGTCTTGGCCTTCCAAAGTGCTGGAATTACAGGCATGAGCCACCATGCCCATATATATACATATGGGCATATATATATATATATATATATATATATATATATATATATACATACACACACACACACACATATGGGCATATATATATATATATATATATACACACACACACACACACATGGGCATATATATATATACACATATGGGCATATATATATATAATTTCGTATCCACTGGAAGTTTTATTTCTTTAGGGTTCTATCCCAATCAGTCACTTAAAAACCAAGTAACACAGACCTGAGGGGTGAGAGGTGGGGACTGCACCTCCCTCCTACTCATTGTGGACAGCAGAGGAGAAGAGAGAGGAGCAGGAGAGGTGGCTGACGCCAGGCAGCAGCAGCAGTGATGGGGCCACGACGTCACAGAGCAAGCTCCATCCTCCCCCAGACCCTAGCTGGAGCTCCTGTGGGTTGGGGTGGGCAGTGGGGAGAACCCACCCCAGGCCCTCCCCATCCCTTCCCCAGACAGTCTCCTTGTGGGCTCAACCAATGTCTTCTGGCAGGAGCCTGAGGCACACGGAGAGGAGGAAGTGGAAGAGGAGGACGGGAGAGGCACGGTGGTGGCAGGAATGAAGGCAGAGGTGGGAGGCTGGCCAGGGCCACTCCACCCCACGCCCACCCCGGAGAGGGCCGAGGAAGCCACCATCACGCAGCGTGTCACGGGGACCAGGCGGGGTTTAAGGCTGAGGGCTCGGGGCGGGCAGGGCCTCCGGCCTCAGTCAAAGCCGTGCCAGTGGCTGTGCTGCGAGTCTTATTCCAGCGCGGCGCCCGAGCCCTTGACACCGTCCAGCAGGTGGGCATGCCGTGGTGTCGGCCCCTGGCGCCAGCCTGCACTGCCACGCTCACACAGGCGCCGGCGCCACCTTCGCAGGCTGGCAGCATCGCGGCTTTGAGGACACCCTCTTTGTGCGCTGAGTACTCGCACTTGACACTGTAACCTTCAGGGACAGGAACAACGCTGAGGAGCTTGACATGCAGAGGCTGGGAACAGGTGCCTCACGGACGTGCTTGCTCACTGGGCGGGGGAAGAGTGAAGGTAATCTCATACCTGCGCAGGATCTTCAGGAAGCCAACCTTGACCAGAAAGCTGCTGTCGCTGTCCTGGGTGGCCATGACCACCGAGTCATGAAGCCTCTCATCAAAGCAGACGTGGCTCTGGGAGTATTACAGGTCGAGAAAATGTGGGTCGTGACCAACTCAGTATACCACTGGAGGCTATATGAGTAAACAGAAAACTGTTCTCATGAAAGCAGGATGTTGGAAAACTGAGGGCTGCATCTGCCCACAGAGGGAGTGCTGAGAGCAGTCACGCCCCAAGCGCAGTGTTCCTTGTGATTACCTATAGGAACATCTGAAGCCTGTTGTACAAAGAAAGCAATTATGTGTACCTGTGATAAATCAAGCAACTGACCAACCGTTACCTCTCCCTCCCTGCTCTTTCTACCTAATAAATACGAAGGGCTGTGGAAGCTCAGGGCTGCCCTTGTTCACTAGAAGCAAGGAGCCCCCTGACCCCTTCTTTCAAAACAGATCTTTTTGTCTTGGTCTTCATTTCTGCATTCATCCCCCTTCGTTCACACCTGTAGCAACCGACAGCAACATGGGAGCCCTCTGTATCGTGGCCTGCCGCAAAGCAGATACTCCTCCGGACTCTGGGCTTGTTGCCGTTGTTGGCTGCAGCCATGGATGCCCTCCCTGCCACACAGCGCCTGCTGGACACCGCCACTCACGCTTAGCAGCCTCCCGTGTTGCAGGGGCTGCAGTGTGCACCCGGGGCCGGGCAGGGCAGGCATGACCCAGGCTCGGCTGCGGGAGCTCAATGCCAAGCACGAGGAAGAATCGGCCTATATTTTTAATTTTTATTTTTTTTGAGATGGAGTCTTGCACTGTTGCCCAGGCTGGAGTGCAGTGGCACGAGCTTGGCTCACTACAAGCTCCGCCTCCCGGGTTCACACCATTCTCCTGCCTCAGCCTCCCTAGTAGCTGGGACTACAGGCACCCGCCACCAAGCCCGGCTAATTTTTTTGTATTTTTAGTAGAGATGGGTTTTCACCGTGTTAGCCAGGATGGTCTCGATCTCCTGACCTCGTGATCCGCCCACCTCAGCCTCCCAAAGTGCTGGGATTACAGGTGTGAGCCACCGTGCCCGGCCATTTTTTGTATTTTTAGTAGAGACGGGGTTTCACTGTGTTAGCCAGGATGGTCTAAATCTCCTGACCTCGTGATCTGCCCACCTCGGCCTCCTAAAGTGTTGGGATTATGGGCGTGAGCCACTGCGCCCAGCCCTAATTTTTTTTTTTTTTTTTTTTAGATGGAGTCTCGCTCTTGTCGCTCAGGCTGGAGCGCTGTGGTGTGATCTCAGCTCACTGCAACCTCTCCCTCCCGGGCTCCAGTGATCCTCCCACTCAGCTTCCCAAGTAGCTGGGACTATAGGCACATGCCACCCTGTCTGGCTAATTTTTGTATTTTTTGTTAGAGAAGGGGTTTCGTCA
Source organism: Homo sapiens (assembly GCF_000001405.40). NCBI lineage: Eukaryota > Metazoa > Chordata > Mammalia > Primates > Hominidae > Homo > Homo sapiens. The sequence goes on from NC_000016.10 coordinate 30,822,846, forward strand.
TGTTGCCCAGGCTGGTCTCAAACTTCTGAGCTCGAGAGATCTGCCCACTTCGGCCTCCCAAGTGCTGGGATCACAGGTGTGAGCCACTGGGCCCAGCCTCGAATGGGTTTAATTTTTTTTTTTTTTTGAGATGGAGTCTTGCTCTGTTGCCCAGGCAGGAGTGCAATGGCGAGATCTCAGCTCACTGCAACCTCTGCCTCCTGGGTTCAAGCGATTCTCCTGCCTCAGCCTCCTGAGTAGCTGGGATTACAGACATGCACCACCACACCCGGCTAATTTTTGTATTTTTAGTAGAGATGGGGTTTCATCATGTTGGCCAGGATAGTCTCGAGCTCTTGACCTTGTGATCCGCCCACCTCCGCCTCCCAAAGTGCTGGGATTACAGGCATGAGCCACCACGCCCAGCCTTTTTTTTTTTCTTATGTTAAATAAACAACAAAGAACTGTGAAATAAAATATATAACAATACAAGGAAAAACATGAGAAACAGTTTTATTGGAAATATTCTAACACATTTTCTGAACAAATAATCAAAAAATAAATAAGGACATAGAAAATATGAACATATAAATTTCTTACCCTGAAAACAAACAGTACACCTTCTTTTCAAGTTTCATGGACAGTGGACAAAATTAAATAATTATTAAGCTACAAAGAATATTTTGGTAAATTTTGAAAAGTAGAAATTCTAGAAACCATTCTCAGATCAAAATGCAATACAACTAACAATAATGTAAAACATACCACTTAGAAATTTTGAAACGTAAGTAGCACCTCAAATTATCCTTAGGACAAGATGTAAATCAAGAGTTAAAAAAATTAAAAAACAGACGATTTAGAAAATAATTTAAAAAGTAGGATTAACAGCCAAAGCTATATGCAGAGGTAAAAACAGCATTAAATGCTTTTAGTGTCAAAAATAGAAGAAAAATGAAACGAATTAAGCATGCTTGCAAGTTGGGATTTTGGAAAGTAGTATAAAAACAGTTCCTCCAAAAATGGGAGAAATGGAATATTTGAAATAGAAAACAGAAAAAGCAAACACTCAGAGGCCTGAGAGGTGGTGGGATGAGTTTTCTGCCTGTGGACAGAGACACGCTTGGAGGCATCCCCGCGGGCTTGGTCCCCTGGCGTGTGTCATCAGGCCTGTCCCCTCTCACTCCTCGAGCCCCGCCTGGTGTCCTCTCCTGTTCCCAGGGCTGAAGCTCCTGTGTCTGTGTCATCACCGCATCTTGAACATCCTGTGCCTTGATTGTGGCACTCTACAGGTTTCTCTACAACTAATTCTTTTCACTTATGACTCACTTACTAGTAGACTTGACAGGACAGGAACCATGTCCTGATACTCATTGGATCCACAGGGCCCGGTAGGCATTGAGTTCTTAATAGACATTATGAGTGGAAGAAAATGAGCAGATGGACTCAAGCACTGATTCCTGAGTTGCATCTGGCCCCATTGCCCAGCCACAGGCTGGAAGCCCATGTCCTGAGGCCTGGAATGAATTAGTCCAACAATAAGAGGACTAACTATGCAGGATCCACCTAATAGATTGTTATGCAACCTATAATGGCTGTGTTGACAATGTCAATAAAATATGAGGAAGTGGGGCTTTGATTGTTTTTCTTTTTCCTTTTTTTTTTTTTTTTTTTTTTGAGATGAAGTCTCGCTCTGTCGTCCAGGCTGGAGTGCACTGGCGCTACCTCAGCTCACTGCAAACTCCGCCTCCCGAGTTCAAGTGATTCTCCTGCCTCAGCCTCCGGAGTAGCTGGGATTACAGACACCTGCCACCACACCCGGCTAATTTTTGTAGTTTTAGTAAAAACAGGGTTTCACCATATTGGCCAGGCTGGTCTCGAGTTTCTGACCTCATGATCCACCCACCTCGGCCTCCCAAAGTGCTGGGATTACAGGCATGAGCCACTGCACCCGGCCTTTTTTTTCTTTTTTTTTTTTTTACTTTTTTTTGAGATGGAGTCTTGCTCTGTCTGCCAGGCTGGAGTGCAGTGGCATGATCTCGGCTCACTGCAACCTCCGCCTCCCGAGTTTAAGCGATTCTCCTGCTTGGGCCTCCCAAGTAGCTGGGATTACAGGCGCCCGCCACCATGCCTGGCTAATTTTGTATTTTTAGACCATGTTGGCCAGACTAGTCTGATTTTTTTTCTTATATTTCCTCTTTTTACTGAATAATCAAAGATTTCTTGTGTGAAATGGAAAATAGTCTTCTCCTCAAGTCCCAGTTCAAACGCCATCTTCTCTGAGGACCGACCCTGATTTCTCCAACCAGAAACACTCTGGCCTTTCCTGGGCTCCCAGAGCACCTGCCCCTCCCTCTGGTCTCTTACAATTTCTGCCTTTGGTTATCTGTGTCCTGCCAAGGGGCTGTCAGCACCCCATAGGCAGGACTGCATACTTCCTGGATGCCTGCACCCCAGGATGTTCATTCCGACTTGAACCCACCCTCTATGGGCTGTGCGGGGTGGGAGGGGACAATATACAGGTTTGAATGAGCACTGGCCGGAATGACAGAGACCACAGTGAACTCAAAGCATGCCAGGGCAGAGGATTATGGTGCCCAAACAGACTCCAGCAAGCCTTGGGGACCAACCTGTGCACACTCACACCTGCTGTGTTATACCTGGCTGGGAAAAGGTCCCGGGAGCAGGTTGTATAGCTCTAGCTACAATGAGGCAGGGAGACATGGGTTTGCTGTCACATCACCAGGGGCTGGTAAAGGAGCAGGTTGTATAGCTCTGGCCACAATGAGGCAGGGAGACATGGGTTTGCTATCACATCACCGGGGGCTGGTGAGTGCAGTTGAGACAGGTGTTTTAATCATCGTTTTTGCACCCAGATGAACAAGGAGAGGGCATTCAGGCATGGCGACCCGCCTGAGCCACCTCCAGGGGCAAGAGATGAGCAGATTTACTTCAGAAAGGACAACAGCATCAGCCACTGCCACAGCCCCCCCCAGATCATCTGTACTGGCTGTCAGAACAGTCCTGCTGAAACGCCAATCACACCTGTCATTCACTGCTCTGCCCAAGACTCTTCAGTGGGCTCCCCAGCGCTAAGCATTTGGCCTGACACTCCAGGCGCCATGTGCCCTGGTCCCCACCTACCTCTCCACTGCAAATTCTGGCCATACACCCCTGCACCCCCAAACAGTGCACTCCCATCTCAGTCCACATTCTCCCCTTACAACATGATTCATCCAAGACCATGGATTCGTGGCCTTAAGTTTACTTCTGGTCTGGACTTCTGTGTCAGCTCCAGAGTATAGTTGTCTCACTGACCCCTTCACTTGGGTGCCAGAGAACACTGGATATTCCAGACCCCTCAAACTCAACGAATCTAACACCTCCCCCCACCACCACCCAACCCCTTACTCTGCTTGTCTTCCCTGTATTAAGTCAACATCACCATTCCCCCGGATGCTCCGGTGGCTCTCAACTCTGCCCTTTCTGACTGTGCGTTCAATCCACCACTAAATCCTGCTGATTCTACCTCCAATGTTTTTATTTTATTTTAGAGACAGGGTCTTACTCTGTTACTGAGGCTGGAGTGCAGTGGCACAATCATGGCTCACTGGAGCCTCAAACTCCTGGGCTCAAGTGATCCTCCCACCTCAGCCTTCCGAATAGCTAGGACTATAGGTGCACAGCACCATGCCTGGCTAATTCTTACTTTTTTTTTTTTTTTTTGAGACGGAGTCTCGCTCTGTCACCCAGGCTGGAGTGTAGTGGCTCGATCTCGGCTCACTGCAAGCTCCACCTCCCGGGTTCACGCCATCTCCTGCCTCAGCCTCTCCGAGTAGCTGGGACTACAGGCGCCCGCCACCATGCCCGGCTAATTTTTTGTATTTTTAGTAGAGACGGGGTTTCACCGTGGTCTCGAACTCCTGACCTCGTGATCCGCCTGCCTTGGCCTCCCAAAGTGCTGGGATTACAAGTGTGAGCCACCGCGCCCAGCCAATTCTTACTTTTTTTTTTTAAGAGACAGGGTGTTGCTATGTTGCCCAGGCAGGTCTCAAACTCCTGGCCTCAAGCGATCCTCCTGCCTTGGCCTCCCAAAGTGTTGGGATTACAGACGTGAGCCACAGCACTTGGCTTCCAATGTTTCTCTTACCTCCATCCATTCCCTCCCCATGTATGTCACAACCCTAATCTAAGCCACATCTCCCACCTGGACTACACGAGGGTCTCCCTGCTTCCTCATGTGTGCCCCTATAAGTGCATTCTCATACAGTAGTCACGGTGATCTTATCCGTAAACTGAATCATGCCACTACACTGAAGCTGGGATGAAATCCAGGCTTGTAGTTTTAAGGAGCTTCCAGCGGCCAAATCTGGGACAATCTGAGCACCAAAATAATTAAGATTAATAACTAATTATAAAATTTATTGGAAAATAATAGAAATCCAAGAGTCCCTATGAATAGTGAATCTAAAATAAGTGGACAGAAGAATGCCAAGTGTTGACTAATAAATGTGGAGGGAGTCCTGGGGTTGAGTTACTATTCTGTAACCATCGTGATTCTTAGGCAAGAATCATCAATAGGTGTTAAATCTCATCTATTTAACTTTTGATGTGGAATAGGATATAGTCATGGTTATAAAATACCTCCTCATAGATTACTTGTTACAAGGGAAAAATAGTAACTCTAGATTGGAGAAATCAAATAACCTTGACTTGGTGATCAAAATTAAAATCACCAAGGAGGGGCTGGGTGTGGTGGCTCACGCCTGTAATCCCAGCACTTTGGGAGGCCGAGGCAGGCGGATCACCTGAGGGCAGGAGTTCAAGACTAGCCTGGCCAACATGGCGAAACCCAGTCTCTACTAAAAAATACAAAAATTAGCTGGGCATGGTGGTGGGTACCTGTAATCCCAGCTACTAGGGAGGCTGAAGCAGGGAGAATTGCTTGAACCCAGGAGGCGGAGGTTGCAGTGAGCTGAGATCACACCACTGCACTGCACTCCAGCCTGGGCAACAGAGCAAGACTCTGTTTTAAAAAAAATCACCACGGAGGAACAGACAGACATGTGTGGCTTTAGCTGTTACACTGAGAAGGACACAGTATCACTTACACAGTCTTCCAGCCAGGAATGCATAATCCATATATTATAATGAAGAAACAAGTAGACAAACCCCAAATGAAGAATGTTCTATTAAGATAAAGGGGAAGATTGAATTCTTCAATAATATCAACACCATGCAGACAAAGAAAGGCTAACCATTCCCGATTAAGGGATACTAGAGAGAAACAACAACCGAATGCAATACAGCATTCTTAGACTTGATCCTGTGCTAGAGGAGAAATGGCATCTAAAGGGTGTTACTGAGACAAGTGACAAAGTAACTTTGATACCACATTGGATCAGTGTGAAATTTAATGCAGTGGATAACTGTACTGTGGGAGGAAACACACTATTTAGGGGTAGAGGAACATGAGGTCTGCAACTTATTCTCAACTAGATTGGAATCAAAGTCATCTGTATATACCTTAAATAGAGAGATGGCCAGTGACAGAGAAATGGGGTAAAATGTGAACACCAGGTGAATTTGGGACAAAGGCTATGCAGATGTCCATTGTACTATTCTTGAGACTTTTCTGTAACTTTGAAATTATTTCCAAATAAAAAGTTAAACCAGGAAGGGCATGGTGGCTCATGCCTGTAATCCCTTTGGGGATTTGTAAGCACTTTGGGAAGCAGAGGAGGGTGGATCACTTGAGGTCAAGAGTTCGAGACCAGTCTGGCCAATATGGTGACACTCTCTCTCTACTAAAAATACAAAAATTAGCCAGGTGTAGTGGCAGGCACCTGTAATCCAGCTACTTGAGAGCCTAAGGTGGGAGAATCGCTTGAACCTCGGAGGTAGAGGTTGCAATGAGCCAAGATCACACCACTGCACTCCAGCCTGGGGACAGAGTGAGTCTGTGTCTCAAATTTAAGAAAAAAAAAAAAAAAAGTTAACCTAAAGCCTCCAGGCTCCTTACTGTGGCCCACCAGGCTCTGCCATCACCCCCGCCCAGGCCACCTGGCTTTATCTCAGCCCAAGCCCCTGCATGCTCAGCTCCCACTATAAGGATTGCCTTTCAGTTTCCCCACCATACCAAGCTCTTTCCCACCCTTGGGTCTTTTGTGCCTACTCTTGCTTGTCTATGGAATTCTCCTCCCCAATTCAGATCTCAGGGAGACAGTAATTGTCACTTTCTCACAATGACCTTCTTTGACCATCTTAATCTAATTTAGATCTACAATATGCTTTCATGGCACCAAGAACTTTTCCTTCATGACACTTATCACAGTTTATAAGAGTGTATTTTGGGGGATTGCATGACGTCTGTCTTCTCCAACAGCCTGGATGCTCCCTGAAGCCAGGAATCCTGTTTGTTCTACTCATGAATGCATCTTTCCACCCCAGCGGCTGGACCTGGCATGCAGCTGGGCATTCCATAGCCAGCTGACTGATTAAATGGTGAATTCCACTCTCCAAATTCACCCCCAGACTGTTGGTAGCGCTCAGAGAACACACTCTGTGGTCTATCTCTAGCCCTGAGAACTCATTCAAGAGGCTTCGTCTTTGAAGCCTTTCTAAATTCCCCACCACTATGCCACAATTTGGAACTAAGAGGCCATGGCAGGGAGGAGGTGGCACTTTGGAAGCAAGCCGTGTTAGGGGAGACATCACGAATGAGACCCAGAGAGGGGATGTCAAGGAGGCAGCTGGCTGCTCAGGCTGGCGCTCAGAGGGGCAGTCTGGGTTAGACTACTGAGAAAGGACCAACAGCTGGAGCTGCGCACATAAAGGAGATCTTTCACAGACCCGTGCAGAAGAAAGAGTCTAAGGACAGGGCCCAAACGAGGCTGACTTAGGGCTAAGCAAGAAAAACAGCCCTGGAAGCAGAGAAGCAGTGTCCAGAGAAGTAGCAATGATATTCAGAGACAGAAAAAGTTGTTACCAAAGGCAAGAAAGGAGGACATTTAGGCACTGAAACCATTTGGATTTTCTTCTTCCTTGTTCAAGATCAGCAGTCTGGCCCCTGGTGGTTGAGGCAGGCTGGTGAGGTTAAGAGCTTGGACTGTAAACTAGCCAGGCGCGGTGGCACAAGTCCATAGTCCGAGCTACTCGAGAGGCTGAGGCACGAGAATCACTTGAACCTGGGAGGAGGAGGTTGCAGTGAGCCAAGATTGTGCCACTGCACTCCAGCCTGGGTGATAGAGTGAGACTCCGGCTCAAAAAAAAAAAAAAAAAAAAAAAGAGCTTGGACTGTGTCTGAATCCTGACTTCATGATATATTAATATCAGTTGTGTGACCTTGGACAATGGACTTGACTTTCTGAGACTTCAAGCCCTCATCTGTACATTGTTGAGGGGCTACTGTCAGAATGACATGCGATCCTCTCTGGAAGGCCCTTTGAGCCATGTTTGGTCTACGGTCTAGGCAATGAATGACATCGTGGTGCATGCACAGTGCGAGAGGGTGCACTGGTTGCCGCTCACAGGAATGTGTCCTAAGTTCAGCCTTTCACCAATAGCAGTTTCAGACAAAAGTCAGAGCCCTCCAACCACCTTCTATTACATGTCCCCTTCCTCTGATGCGGCCCCTAATTAAAAACAAAAACAAAAACATATAGTGGGCAGGTTCCATTTAACATGATCCTTCCTCTAAAGCCTCTTTCTGAAAAATCAGTTTTCTCCCTGTCCCCAAGGGTGCCCCAAGTCATACCATGCCAGAGTTTGCCCTCATGACTACAATTAACCCTTAGCTGAGAGCATTTTGCACTGTTTTCCAGCTACCCATGGTGACACTCGCCTCAACACAGCTACCTTCTGTGGACATAGGTAAGTATTCTCAGGCCCCTTATTTGGGGATACCATTAACGTCTGCCCATAGCTTCCAACCATCCCATCTCTGAAGGCAAGAGAAGTGTGTGGCTACCATTTCACAGTTTAGAAAGCACTTCCCCAACACAGCCTCCCTTTCATCCTCACGACTGCCCGGTGAGGTAGATACAGCAGGTAACAGCTACAGTGGTTTGCATTTATCAAGCACTTACAATGTACCATGTTCTATGTTAAGCATTTTCATATGTGATCCCATTTAAACTCATGAAAACTCTATGAAGATGATGTCTGCCACAATCATCAATCAGTGCCACCACTTTACAGAAGAGAAAAATGGAGTGGTTCGTAACTTGCCTCAAATCAAAGAGGTGGTAAGTAATGGAGCCAGGATTCAAACCTCAGACTGACTACAGAGCCACACTCTTAACCCTCCTACAATATTGCCTCAAAAAGCAAGCATTGACTCCCCACACATTATTCTATCCATTAAATTGAAGCTCAGAGAGGTAAAGTGACTTGCCCAAGACCTCGCCACCAGGAACTGGCAGAGCTAGGATCCATACTTGGATTCTCTGGCTCTGAGGCCCCTGAAACCAAAAAGGCAAGATTCAATGTTCTAGGTAAAATTCCAGCAGCAGACTTGACTTGCCGATGCTGCTCAGTCCAGAGTAGTGTTTCTTTTTCTTTCTTTTTCCTTTTCTTTTGAGACAAATCTCCCTCTGTCACACAGGCTGAAGTGCAGTGGTGGGATGTCAGTTTGCTGCAACCTCTGCCTCCTGGGTTCAAGCAATTCTCCTGCCTCAGCCTCCTGAGTAGGTAGGATTTCAGGCACGCACCACCATGCCTGGCTAATTTTTGTATTTTTAGGAAAGACGGGTTTCACCATGTTGTTCAGGATGGTCTCGAACTCCTGACCTCGTGATCCGCCCGCCTCGGCCTCCCAAAGTGCTGGGATTACAGGCATGAGCCACCGCGCCCGGCCTTTCTTTTTCTTTTTTGAGATAGAATCTCACTCTGTCACCCAGGCTGGAGTGCACAATCTCTGCTCACTGCAACTTCCACCTCCTGGGTTTAAGCGATTCTCCTGCCTCAGCCTCCCGAGTAGCTTGGACTACAGGTGTACAGCACCATGCCCGGCTAATTTTTTTTTTTTTTTTGTATTTTTAGTAGAGATGAGGTTTCACCATGTTGGCGAGACTGGTCTTGAACTCCTGACCTCAAATGATCCAACCGCCTTGGCCTCCCAAAGTGCTGGGATTATAGGCATGAGCCACTGTGCCCAGCCCCAAAGTAGTGTTTCTATGCAGGAAATCCCTTCTGGAATTTATCAGGAAATCTGTATGTTCTTCTGAATCCCAAAATCGATCAGTCAAGAAATTGGGAAAATGGGGAAAAGCATTATAATTCTCCTGTGAGAATTAATGCTTAACAATCAACATAGAGGCATTCCTGGCTTAAAGAAATCCACTGATGCCAAATTGAAAGCAAGAGAAGGCAACGTTGACACACAGAGTCTAAAGTTAAGGTACTGTAATCCCGGTGCTCTGGGAGGCTGAGGCGGTTGGATCATTTGAGGTCAGGAGTTCGAGACCAGCCTGGCCAACATGGCAAAACCGTGTCTCTACAAAAAATACAAAACTTAGCCGGGCATGGTGGCATATGCCTCTAATCCCAGCTACTCGGGCGGCTGAGGCACAAGAATTGCTTGAACCCGGGAGGTGGAGTCGAGATCGCACCACTGCACCTGAGCCTGGGAGCTGCAGCAAGACTGTCTCAAAAAATAAATAAATAAAGTTAAGGTAGACATTTCCAGAATATGGGATAAGAGTACCTAGGAGATAAGTAGTCAAAATACTTTTTGTAGCTGTTGACACACTAAAAGTATATTTGTGGCTGTACCTGTTGTTAAGAGCGAGTCATTCCCACAAATATTAATGTTGACGTGCACTGTGTTTTATACAAATCCTACAAATGATGTTCTAATAAATAACAAGTTTTGGAAACACATAAGTCCTTAAATTGGCAATTCTCTCCCTCTCTCTTTTTTTAAGAGACACGGTCTTGCTCTGTTGCCCAGGCTGGAGTGCAGTGGTGCAATCATAGCTCACTATAGCCTCAAACTCTGGGCTCAAGTGATCCTCCTGCCTTGCCCTCCGAAAGTGCTGGAATTACAGGCATGTGCCACCACACTCAGCCTAAACTGGCAATTTCAACTCGTGATTCTGTGTAGTGTTGTTAATCTTGTCAAATATTTGAACATTTTGTTATTTAAATACTACCCAACAATGTTCATTGGCATCTTCCAGTTACTGAATATTTGCTACGGCCTACAGATCTTTGTAACTACTACTAAATGTGTATTTCTTATTTATTAAAAAATACAGAAAGTGGCCGGGCATGGTGGCTCACGCCTGTAATCCCCGCACTTTGGGAGGCTGAGGTGGGTGGATCACCTAAGGTCAGGAGTTTGAGACCAGCCTGGCCAACATGATGAAACCCTCTCTGTACTAAAAATACAAAAAATTAGCTGGGCATAGTGGCACGTGCCTGTAATCCCAGCTGCTAGGGAGGCTGAGGCAGGAGAATCACTTGGACCCGGAAGGCAGAGGTTGCAGTGAGCCGAGATCACACCACTGCACTCCAGCCTGAGTGACAAGAGCAAACCTCCGTCTCAAAAACAAACAAACAAACAAACAAACAAAAAAAAAAAACACAGAAAGTTATGAAAAATACAGAATAACATGCTTTCAGGAATTCCCCCAAATCCCATTTTTTCATTCCCAACTCCTGAAGATTAGTTTCCCTTTTGGGAACTTGGAAATCTTAGCCCAGAGGAACTGGATGAACTTCCCAGACAACCCAGTGGGATGGCAAATGGAGAGAGGTCATCCTTGTTGGCCTCCAGGAAGGCTCTACACAGGAGCTGGTCCTGGAATGGAGCTTCCTTCACCAACATCACCCTGGTGACGACTGAGAAAAGGTCATTCCAGAATTCCATGGGCTGAACCTAAAGCATTGGCTTGAAGCGTGAAATTTCTGTCATCTCAATCATTGGTACGAATGTTGACTTTCATCCCAGGGAGTATCTACTCACTTCAGTGTAGAAAGCGTTTTCTGTAATTCACCAGAGAAAAATGAATGCTCTCCATAAATGGAGGCCCTGTTAACCCACGGCCTTAACCCCGCTGTGTCCCAGCACAAGAAGTGGTACTGCATTGCTGACTTTGGGCAGGTTCCTTAACCTCTCAGAGACTCAATTTCTCCATCTGCAAAATGCAGATAATGAGAATATCCATGCCACAGGGATGCAGTGAGAACTAAATTACATCAGTCACAATGCCTGGTACAGAGTAAACCCTTGATAAATGGGAGGCGTTATTATTTCCTAGTACAACAGACCCAACGGTGAAGTCAGGAAGTGAGAGCTTGGTGAAGGGCCTTGGAACCACCCAAAAGGCTCACTCGCGCTGCTTCTCGGGCTAGGATTTTCCAGGTAGGTTAGGCCACCAGCTCAGGGCTGCGCCAGAAGTCTCCACGCCTCCACCCGAGGCGGGCGCCTGGGCTGAAAGGCCGCTTGTCCACATGGGTTCCCAGGTTGGCCTGCTAGGCTGACACCCTGGTGGAACCACTTGCCGTATGTCCTCGGGCGCTGGAGGTCTCCCAGCGCTGGCATACATAAGCCCTGGCGTGCGGGGCGGCTTCTGCGCTGGGGTCTCTGCGCGTGCACGGGCCTCAACATATGCATGGACGTCCAGGTGCCACGTGGGCATCTCGTGGTGCTGCAGAAGGCGGGAGGCCGGCGGGTCCCCTGCGCTTGTCCCCGCCACGGCCCTTGCCCGCTGTGGACCCGGAGGCTCAGTGCCGGCAGGACTCGGGACTCGGCGCCTCTCCCGGGGTGGCAGGCGCCTCGCATGGCACACTCAGACCGCTGGGAGGGTGGCCGCATGGGTGCGTGAGGAGGTGGGCGAGGCAGCCCAGTGCACCCCTCCCCTAGGCCTCTAGCAAGGCGGCCTCAGGCACTGGATGTGGTCCGAGTTCTGCCCTAAGCCCTTCCCATGCATTCGGGCGCCAGTGGCGAGCCAGATGGGTGCTGTGGCCTTAGGTTCGGGCAGGTGTGGGGCCGCTCGCCCTCCGATGTTACCGCGGTGGGTGAGCTGGGAAGCTCTTTCCGCCCTCGGGGCACAGGTAGTGGCTGGATCTTGGGGCAGCCAAGGGAGGCTTTAGGGGTCTTGGCTTGCTTGGGGAGCCCACTCACCTCCCCTTACCCTGGGGGATTGTTCTGGGTGCCCTCGGGGCCTTGCTGCCTCCCCCGGGAGCTCTGGTGTCCGGCACCGCCATGGAACTGGGCCGGACATTTGTCCGGAGGCCCCTCCTGGGCAGGAGCCTCCTGAGGGGCTCTGTCTTCAGCCCCTTCTCGTGAAGGGCTCTCCTCGTCATTCTCACTCCCGAATCCTGTACGGAGAAAAGAAGAATCTGGGTAGTGTTTCCTCTTCTCCCCACCTCACTGAGTTTCCACCAACTTGTCCCATTTATGACTTCCAAATGGCGCAAGTTGGTGGAAAGTCTTTTGCAAGCGATTAAGCTGGGTATTTTTGAGAGCAGGCAGAGGGTGAGGCAGGGCCTTGTAGGAAACCTGTAGGACCTCAGTTTCTGAAATTAGACAGTGCTGGGTTTGAATCCCAATTCCAGCCATTACTTGTAGTGTAATCTTGGGCAAGCTACATAACTTCCTGTTAAGCTCTAAGACGGAGATAACCTAAAGGCAGCCTCAAATGATTCTGTCAGTGTGGTTGGTGCATCCACAGGCCATCAGGGATATGTTCAATTGGAAAGATCAATATAAACCTTTACCTTTAAGAAAACTTTTGGCCGGGCTCGGTGGCTCACGCCTGTAATCCCAGCACTTTGGGAGGCCGAGGTGGGTGGATCACCTGAGGTCAGGAGTTGGAGACCAGCCTGACCAATATGGTGAAACCCCGTCTCTACTAAAAATATAAAAATTAGCTGGGCATGGTGGCGGGCGCCTGTAATCCCAGCTACTCGGGAGGCTGATACAGGAGAATCTCTTGAACCCGGTAGACAGAGGTTGCAGTGAGCCGAGATCGCACCACTGCACTCCAGCCTGGGCGACAGAGTGAGACTCCGTCTGAAGAAAAAAAAGAAAAAATTTTTTTAGCAGAGCACGATGGTTTAGCCTGTTATCCCAGCACTTTGGGAGGGAGGCCAAACAAAGCAGGATGATCTCTTGAAGCCAGGGGTTCAAGACCAGCCTGGGGCCAGGCGTGGTGGCTCACGCCTGTAATCCCAGCACTTTGGGAGGCTGAGGTGGGCGGATCACTTGAGGTCAGGGGTTCGAGACCAGCCTGGCAAACATGGTGAAACCCCGTCTCTACTAAAAATACAAAAATTAGCTGGGCATGGTGGTGTGACACCTGTAATCCCAGCTACTTGGGATGCTGAGGCACGAGAATCGCTTGAGCCTGGGAGGCAGAAGTTTTAGTGAACCAAGATCGCATCACTGCACTCCAGCTTTGGTGACAGAGCAAGAATCCGTCTCAAAAACAAAACAAAACCAAAAAGCCCAGCCATAGCGAGATTCCATCTTTACAAAATATTAAAAAATTAGCCCAGCATGATGGCATGTGCCTGTAGTCCCAGCTACTGGGGTGGGGTGGCAAGGTGAGAGGATCACTTTAGCCTGAGAGGTCTGAGCTGCCGAGAACTTATGATCACGCTGCTGCACTCCAGCCTGGGCAACAGAGTTGAGACCCTGTCTTTTTTTTTTTTTTTTTTTTTGAGACAGGTTCTCCCTTTGTTGTTCAGGCTGGAGTGCAGTAGTACAATCATGGCTCACTGAAGCCTCAAACTCCACATCTCAAGCGATCCTCCCACCTCAGCCTCCCAAGTAGCTGGGACTTACAGGTGCATATCACCATGCCTGGCTAATTTTTGTATTTTTTGTAGAGATGGGGTTTTGCCATGTTGCTCAGGCTGGTCTTGAATTTCTGGGCTCAAGTAATTCACCCACTTCAGCCTCCCAAAGTGCTGGGATTACAGGTGTGAGCCACTCGCCTGGCCAAGACTCCATCTCTTTGTATTTTTTTTTTTGTTTTTTGAGACAGAGTCTTGCTCTGTCACCCAGGCTGGAGTGCAATGGTGCTGTCTTGACTCACTGCATCCCCTGCCTACCAGGTTCAAGCGATTCTCCTGCCTCAGCTTCCTGGGTAGCTGGGACTACAGGTGCGTGCCACCACACCTGGCTAATTTTTGTATTTTTTTGGTAGAGACAGGGTTTCACTATGTTGGCCAGGCTGGTCTTGAACTCCTGACCTCGTGATCCACCTGCCTCAGCCTCCCAAAATGCTGGGATTACAGGCATGAGCCACCGCGCCCGGCCGACTCCATCTCTTTAAAAAATTTTTTTTCAACTCTCGTCACTGAGTGAAACTTTGCCACCCTACTGACACTTATGTATATCCTTAATGCCCAGTTGTTGGTGCCTAATAGTGTTTACCATTAAAATAACCAGGAGTTCTTGGAGGGTAGCTGATTACATTTCTTGAGACAAGAAAAATCAGGATGGGTCTATAGCATCCTGTTCATTCCAGAAAGTAAGGATATTTTCAAGGATATTGGGGTAGTGGTACAAAGACAAAGGTGATAATAATTTTTTTTTGAGGCGGAGTTTTGCTCTTGTTGCCCAGGCTGTAGTGCAATAGAGCCTCTTGCCTCACTGCAATCTCTAGGTTCAAGTGATTCTCCTGCCTCAGCCTCCCGAGTAGCTGGGATTACAGGCGCCCACCACCACGCCCAGCTAATTTTTGTATCTTTAGTAGAGATGGGGTTTCACCATGTTGGCCAGGCTGGTCTCAAACTCCTGACCTCAGGTGATCCACTCACCTCAGCCTCCCCAAGTGCTGGGATTACAGGCGTGAGCCACTGAGCCCAGCCGTGAGGACTTTAAATAAGAAGATGCAGATAAAGCACTTAGCACTGGGCCTGCAGCATAGGACATGATTCAAATGAGTTAGTTTATTGAAGAGGGCAGGGGGTGGTAGCAGGAACAGACATCAGAGAGGCAGAGTGCAGAGAGGAGCTTTCCCAGGCATGCTGTCTGGCTGATCAGGTGGCCAGTCAGTTGACTGGCACATGCTAACTGAGTCCCAACAAGGTGCCAGCCACTGGAGACATAATGGTGAACAATGCAGGGCCCTACAATTTTTCCTCCTCTATGGACTTCTCTCCAAGTCCTACTGGCTATCTTAGCTACAAACAATTCCCTACCACACTTTTCCCTTCAGGCTATTTTCATGAATAGAACCAGGACATTCCAGGCTTGGCTTCTTTCCTGTCCCAGGTTGGGCCACTGGCTTCACCACTGAACAGCCCGAGGTCTCAATTCAGGGCACAGGCACTCAGCTAATCTCCACCAAAGTGGTTAGGAGCATGGGCTTTGAAATGGATGACAGAGGTTTGAATCCTGACTCAGCTTCTTCTTATCTGTGACCTTGGGTAAATAATATAACATTACAAAGCCTCAGTTTTCTTATTTGTAAGTAGGCATAATAATCCCTACCCAAAAGGAATGTGATGATTAAATGAGATTACGTGAGTGTATGTGTATATAGTATACACATATAGATCAGAGATAGATGGTAGGTAGCTAGGTAGGTAGGTAGATAGATAGATAGAGGCACTGAGTAACGTTAGTGGCTGCCATTATTGCCTTAATATTCCAGTTACTTCAGGGTTTGCTCCTTGGAGGATTTTGGATATTTGCTTATGAGTATAAACAAACAGATTAGGCCAGGCGCAGTGGCCCATGCCTGTAATCCCAGCACTTTGGGAGGCCAAGGTGGGTGGGTCACTTGAGGTCAGGAGTTTGAGACCACCCTGGCCAACATGGCGATACCCTGTCTCTACTAAAAAAAATACAAAAAATTAGCAGGGATTGGTGGCAGTCACCTGTAGTCCTAGCTACTCAGGAGGCTGAGGCAAGAATTGCTTGAACCCAGGAGGCGGAGGTTGCAGTGAGCCAAGATCACGCCACTGCACTCCAGCCTGGGTGACAGAGCGAGACTCCGTCTCAAACAAACAAACAAACAAAAAAAACCCCCAAATAGATTATATCAGACCAGTGGCAAAATTTTTTTTCTGGGTATTAATAATGCATTATAGCATTTTCAGGAAGTTATAGCCATTTTATTTCAAACTTTCCCCAAATCGTTAACAGATAAATCAATGAAGAATGTCAGAAAGATTCTGGGAAAAAAATGTCTCTATGACAATAGCCAGGGTGGGCAAGTGGTTGCAAAGCACAGGGTGTATTTGAGTCCACAGGATCTACTGAGATCAAGGCCACTCACAACTCCTGGAGGTGGGTGCCATTCACTACCAGGTAAACAAGAGGTTTGTATAGTTAGTGCAACAGATTTCCAACAGATAACAGTACATTGTTTTAAGGAAAGGGCACCTCTTTCCTAGTTCATACAAAGTTGCTAAGAATTTATGAATGAGCCGAAGAGCTGACTGTGGCCTCTCTAGAGGACAGAATGTGTACCACACTTGTCTATTGGGCTAGATTAGGACCTAACAAACCTGTGGCAGAGAGGAACTGTCTTCTCGCAGGGTCTGGGGCAAAGAGTGGGATTCCCTGGTGTGACAGACAGGATTCTAATAGATGCTCCCCTCAAGATTCCTGTCCCCTGGTTATTCAGTCAAGCACTAATTTAGGTGCTGCTGTGAAAGGATTTGGCAGATGTAATTAAAATTCCAAGTCAGTTGATATTAGGATACCGAGATTATCACCTAGTCAGGTAGCCATTTAAAAGCAAGCTCTTCTCTGGCTGGTAGCAGAACAGGAAGTTATGAGGGGCATTTAAGCCATTGCTGACTTGAAGAAGGAGGCAGCCATGTGCTGAGGAATGCGGAGGCCTCCAGAGAGCTGCCACTACCCAACATCCAGCAAGGAGCTGACTTTGGCTAACAACCTAAACGAGCTCGAAAGTGGATTCTTCTTCAAAGCATCTGGATAAGAGCCCAGCTCAGCCAACACCTAGACTTTGCCCTTTTGAGACTGAGCTAAGAACCCAGTCACACCCATACAGTGGGACTTAGGGAACTGTGAGATAATAATTGGTTGTGGCTTTAAGCTGCTAAATGCGTAGTAATTTGTTATGCAGCAATAGGAAACAAATATTATTTGTTTCATGAAAGAGCTCAGCTGGAGATAACTTGGGAATCCCTCCAGGAGAGGACTCTGTCAGCTGTCTTGCATTATGCTGGTGGAGAGAACACATTTTCCCCACTCCTGATGTTTACTTTTATGCAGGTAGAGATCTACAGGTGTAACATTACTGACCTTCCCCCACCTCCTGACTTACTTAGGAAGGAATGGAGTTATTAGGAAGGAGAAATGGTATGTCTATATATCTGTTTCTTCCTCTGTTTTTCCCCTTGAGAGTGAACCTGTTGCCTAAGAACTTAGGTTCTGTTCTACACCGTCAAATTCCAAGTTGTTTTTTTTTTTTTTTTTTTTTGAGACAGAGTCTTGCTCTGTCGCTCAGGCTGGAGTGCAGTGGCATCATCTCCACTCATTGCAACCTCTGCCTCCCAGGTTCAAGCAATTCTCCTGTCTCAGCCTCTCGAGTAGCTGGGATTACAGGCACATGCCACCATGCATGGCTAATTTTTTTATTTTTAATAGAGACAGGATTTCACCATGTTGGCCCGACTGGTCTCAAACTCCTGACCTCAAGTGATCCACCTGCCACAGCCTCCCAAAGTGCTGGGATTACAGGCGTAAGCCACTGCACCCAGCCATCAAATTCCAAGTTTTACAAGGGGAAGGCTGTCAAGGTCTAGTACTACCTGTGACTATGGATGGGTAAACATGGTCCAGAACTGACGAAGAAGAAAGATGTATTAGTCTGGTCTCACCTTGCTAAAGACATACCCGAGACTGGGTAATTTAGAAAGGAAAGAGGTTTAATTGACTCACGGTTCAGCATGGCTGGAGAGGTCCCAGGAAACTTACAGTCATGGCGGAAGGGGAAGCAAACATGTCCTTGTTCACATGGTGGGAATAATAAGAAGTGCTGAGCAAAGTTGGAAAAGTCCCTTATAAAACTACCAGATCTCATGAGAACTCACTCACTGTCACAAGAACAGCATGGAGGTAACTGCCCCCTATGATTCAATTACCTCTCACTGGGTTCCTCCCATGACACGTGGAGATTACAATGGGGACTATAATTCACGATGAGATTTGGGTGGGGGGACACAGCCAAACCATATCAAAGACCTTAATTAATGGTCTCCCTCATCTCTCCCACCCCTGCCAGAAACCACATATAAACATACAGCCCTGGAAGAACTGACCTAATCTGCTCACCCTTGAGCACTTAGAAGGGAGCTGCACAGGTAGACTGACTTGAGGAAAGATGCCTGCCTGCACTTGAAAAGCCCTGTAGGTAAGGCTTCCTATTCATGCCTTAATAGTCAGATAGTGGTCTGCAAATTTGTTCAATACTGGGTGTTGTAGACTGAATGTATATCCTGCCCCCTCACCCCAATTCATATGAAGAGGTCCTGATACCTCAGAATGTGACTGTATTTGGAGAGGGTTTTAAAGAGGTAATTTGTTGGGAGCCGAAAAGGCCACAGGGATTGTGACCAACTCAGCATTCCACTGGAGGCTACATGATCAAACAGCAAACTGTTTATTATGAATGCAGGATGTAAGCAAACTCACACTGCGCCTGCTGCCAAAAGGTTTGCTGAGGGCCATCACTCCCTGGCTCCGGGCTCCTTGAAGTTATCTACTGGGAAATCTAGCGCCTATTGTTCGAAGGATACAGTCTCACAAGCCTGCTGTGAACCAAACAGCTGACTGACAATTACCCGACAACCAGTCCCCCTTTCTCGTTATCTCTTTTACCAATAAATACAGAGGGCTGTGTAAAGCTCAGGGCCCTTGGCCGGGCATGGTGGCTCACACCTGTAATCCCAGCACTTTGGGAGATTGAGGCGGGCAGATCACGAGGTCAGGAGATCAAGACCATCCTGGCTAACATGGTGAAACCCCATCTCTACTAAAGATACAAAAAATTAGCCAGGCGTGGTGGTGGGCACCTGTAGTCCCAGCCACTCGGGAGGCTGAGGCAGGAGAATGGCATGAACCTGGGAGGCGGAGCTTGCAGTGAGCCGAGATCATGCCACTGCACTCCAGCCTGGGCCAAATGCGAGACTCCATCTCAAAAAAAAAAAAAAAAAAAAAAAAGCTCAGGGCCCTTGTCCACCAGAGACAAGGTGCCCCCTGACCCCTTCTTCCAAATATACTCTTCTGTCTTTGTCTTTTATTCCCGTGTTCACCCCCCTTTGTTCAGTCTCCCAAGGTCCGTGCAGGTTACAGTAATTGAGTTACAGTGAAGTTGTTAGGGTGGGCTCTAATTCAATACGACTGGTACACTTAAGAGGAAATTTAGACACAGACATATACAAAGTGAAGACCATGTAGAGACACAAGGAGAACAAGGCCATTTACAAGACAATGAGAGAGGCCTCAGAAGAAACCAACTCTGCCGACACCTTGGTCTTGGACTTCCAGTCTCCAGAACTATGAGAAAATAAATTTCTGTTGTTGAAGCCACCCAATCTGTGGTACCTTGTTATGGTATACCTAGCTAAAGAGCACACTGGCCACTCAAGAGGAAACTTGCCTTACGCCACTTGCCTCTGTTTGATAGAACCTAACATACTATTCTGACTGCTAATTGTAAATAAAATAAGGAATAATTAAAGAAAAGTTACAGCCCATCTAAGGGACTCAGAAACCAGAGGAGGGAAGATCAAGCCAGTCCCTGGATGAAATGTTATTTATTTATTTTTTAAAACAGAGTCTCGCTCTGTCACCCAGGCTGGAGTGCAGTGGTGCGATCTCAGCTCACTGCAACCTCCACTTCCCGGGTTCATGCCATTCTCCTGCCTCAGCCTCCCGAGTAGCTGGGACCACTGGCGCCCGCCACCGCTCCCAGCTAATTTTTTGTATTTTTAGTACAGACAGGGTATCACCGTGTCAGCCAGGATGGTCTCGATCTCCTGACCTCGTGATCCGCTCGCCTCAGCCTCCCAAAGTGCTGGGATTACAGGCATGAGCCACCGCGCCCAGCCATTCTCCTGACCTTGTGATCCACCCTCCTCAGCTTCCCAAAGTGCTGGGATTACAGGCGTGAGCCACTGCACCTGGCCAAAATGGTTTTAACTGAAGTAAAATTGATTGAAGTCTGTTTTTTAAAAAAAGTTACAAGAGCTCAAACTTCCTTGTCACCAATCCTGTTCTTTCCAAATCCCTGGCCATCCAGCCAAATCATGAGCAACTGCCCATGCGTTAGTATAGGTCTGTACTTCTGGCTATTTCTCATTCCAGACATAGCAAACAATCAAACATACTAGTCAAAATTCCGGCCACTGCGAGGCCATGACAGCAGATTTTGCAGACTCTTCTGTAGAATGAGAGATACTCCAGGAGGTCATAGACACTAATGGAGGGAGAGGAAGACAATGTAGCAAGAGTTGGTGTTGGGCTGGGTGCCGTGACTCATGCCAGTAATCCCAGCACTTTGGGAGGCTGAGGCAGGAGGATCACTTGAGACCAGGAGTTTGAGACCAGCCTGGGCAACATAGTGAGACCTTGTCTCTACTAAAAATGAAAAAGTTAGCTAGGCGTAGTGGCACATGCCTGTAGTCCCAGCTACTTGGGAGGCTGAGGTAGGAGGGTCACTTGGGCCTGGGAGGTTGAGGCTGCAGTGAGCTGTGATCATGCCACTGCACTCCAGTCTCGGTGACAGAGTGAGACCCTGACTCAAAAAACAAAAAAAAAAAGTTGGTGTGAAGGAGTGGATTCTTCTATTGGTGTTTGCCATGTTTGCCATGGACACTGAGCGTTACCGGATCTGCTGGATCTCAAGCACCACACAGTAGACCAGCATGTGATGTAATGCAGCCTGGACTTGCTGCAGAGCCTTCTCTCGCTCCAGTCCCTGCTCAAAACTAGCAGCATAGACCGGGCACTGTGGGTCATGCCTGTAATTCCAGGATTTTGGGAGGCTGAGGTGGGTGGATCACTTGAGGTCAGGAGTTGGAGACCAGCCTGGCCAATATGGTGAAACCTCATCTCTACTAAAAATACAAAGAATAGCCAGGCATTGTGGCACATGCCTGTAATCCCAGCTACTTGGGATGCTGCTTGGCAGGAGAATCTCTTAAACCCGGGAGGCAGAGGTTGCAGTGAGCTGAGATCGCACCATTGCACTCCAGCTTTGGCGACAAAGCGAGACTCTGCCTCAAAAAAAAAAAAAAAAAAAAAAAAAAAAGTCCGGGCGTGGTGGCTCATGCCTATAATCCCAGCACTTTGGGAGGCCGAGGCAGGCGGATCACAAGGTCAAGAGATCAAGACCATCCTGGCCAACATGGTGAAACTCCGTCTCTACTAAAAATACCAAAATTAGCTGGGCGTGGTGGTGCGCACCTGTAGTCCCAGCTACTCGGGAGGCTGAGGCAGGAGAACTGCTTGAACCCAGGGGGCAGGGGTTGCAGTGAGCCCAGATGGCACCAATGCACTCCAGCCTGGTGACAGAGTGAGACTCCGTCTCAAAAAAAAAAAAAAAAAAAAAAAAAAGGGAAAAAACAAACAAACTAGCAGCCTTACAAATACTAATTTGCTCCAAGAAAGATACTGTATCTGGGAACAGCAGCTACAATTGGAGTCACCATCTGATAAAGTTTATGATAGTCCACAGTCATTCTCCGAGATCCATCTGACTTCTGCACAGGCCACACTGGTGGGTTAAATGAGCATGTGATAGGTGTCATCACCCTTGCTTCTTTTAATTTTTTGATGGTGGCATTAATCTCTGTGCTTCCCTCAGGAATGTGGTATTTCTACTGGCTTCTTTTCTCTGTAGGGAGGGGAAGTTCCAGGGGCTTTCACTTAGGCCTTCCTGTCATATTGACCTTCAGTCTATGAGTCAGAGAGCCTATGTGGGGATTCTGGCACTATGTCAGTTTTCAATCAGTTGTCTCAGCTCTAAATGTCACCCTCCAGTACCTGCTCTAAGATAACGGGCTGGACTTCTAATACATTTCTCCTTGCAAAGAACATGATGTTATGCTTTGTCAGTAGAGGGCGCTGGTGGGACATTGCAAGAAGAAGGGGAAGCTCTTCCTGGTTCTGGTCCTGTTGAGGTTTCATTTTTCTTGCTCTTGCTGCAGTTTTTCAGGGGCAGATCCCAGTGGTTCTCTGCCCTAGATGCATGTCCAGAGTGAAAAGTCCTTGGGAGGCTCAAAGACCCCAGTTTGCAACACTTTACCACGTTCCCTCCCCCAATATGGACACCACAAATCCCATACCACATGCCGCCTTTGCTGTGAGTGGCTCCTGGCACTTGGATAGTTTTTGCACACCCACCACTGGTCCTGACCTTTATTGGCTTTCTCTAGCACTGAACTCTGGCAGAGCACGCTTCTCCAGTACTTGGCTTCTGTAGCAGTCTAGCTTTCTCCAGCACTGTGCTCTCACCAAGCGCACTTTATCTAACAGGTAGAAAGCATGGCTTTCTCTGCCACTTGGTTCCTGTATGGGTAGAGCTTCCTCAGGCACTGGGCTCTCGCTGAGTCTGCATGCTCTCGTGCTTGACTCCTCTAATAGCCTGACTCTCTACAGTGCTTGATCCTTGCACTGGCAAAGCTCTTTCCAGCAATGGGCTCCTGCAGAGTGAGTTTCCTACAGTTCTTGGTTCCAACAGTGCTTGGTGGAATAGCAGCTTCACCTGATACCCCAGAGGGCAGATTTCTAGGAGGTCTCATTTGGTGAGGCATGTCAGTGGCTTCTCTGCCATGCCTTTCAAATGACATCTGGATCTCAGCCCTTGTGGGAGAAGATTCTTCATTGGATACTGTATCTCAGCCCCGGGGATAGTAGCTGATCTTTATATCTGCCACCTCTGTATTTCTGCATTCTTTTTTTTTTTTTCTTTTTATTGAGACAGCACTCTGTTGCCCAGGCTGGAGTACAGTGGTGCAATCACAGCTCACTGCAGCCTCAAACTCCTGGGCTCAAGAGATCCTTCAGCTGGGCGCAGTGGCTCATGCCTATAATCCCAGCACTTTGGGAGGCCGAGACAGGCGGATCACAAGATCAGGAGATCGAGACCAGCCTGGCCAACGTGGTGAAACCCCGTCTCTACTAACAATACAAAAATTAGCTGTGCATGGTGGCAGGTGCCTGTAGTCCCAGCTACTCCGGAGGCTGAGGCAGGAGAATTGCTTGAACCCGGGAGGCAGAGGTTGTAGTGAGCTGAGCTGAGATCACGCCACTGCACTCCAGCCTGGGCAACAGAGCGAGACTCCATCTCAAAAAAAAAAAAAAAGAAAGATCCTTCAGCCTCAGCCTCCTCAGTAGCTGGGACCACAGGTTTGCACCACCATGCCTGGCTAATTTTAAAATTTATTTATTTATTTATTTATTTATTTATTTATTTATTTTTTGGAGATGGAGTCTCACTCTGTGGCCCAGGCTGGAGTGCAGTGGCGCGATCTCAGCTCACTGCAAGCTCCGCCTTCTGGGTTTAAGAGATTCTCCTGCTTCAGCCTCCCGAGTAGCTGGGACTACAGGCGCCCACCAACACGCCCGGCTAAATTTTTTTGTATTTTTAGTAGAGACGGGGTTTCACTGTGTTAGCCAGGATGGTCTCGATCTCCTGACCTCGTGATCCGCCCACCTAGGCCTCCCAAAGTTCTGGGATTACAGGCATGAGCCACTGCGCCCGGCTTAAAATTTATCTTTATTTTTTGTAGAGATGAGGTCTTACTATATTGCCCAGGCTCTCTGTATTCTTTAGAATTGTCTTTAGCTCTCATTAACCAATTCCCTATCATTCCAATCCCCTATCAATAATTCCTTATGTTAAACTCCCATTGTGGCTTCTGCCTTTTGATTGAACCTTAACTGATATAATAAGTGGCACTGGGAGTGATCCCAGGAGACAGACCTGTGGAGATGGATTTGGGGATTTATTTAATCACACCCTGGGCTTGAGCTCCCTGCTGAGCTCCTTGCCTTGGGAAGTGGGATGCCAGCAACCCATGGCCTGCAGTAGCATTCCAGCTAGTGACGCTGTCACGTGATGGTGGTGAAGTGCCTACTGAAGCACATGCCTTGGGAACCCAAATGGCTGCTATTCTTGACTACAGTGACAGCAGTAATGACCAAGGAGCAAGGACTGTGGTGTGCGATGGATTCTTTTCAGTACAGTCGAGTTATTACAAAGAGAAAATGGCAAGCTCAGGTCTATTCACTCTCAGCTCAAGTCACAGTCTGAGAATCAGAATGCTTCCATGACAAGCCTAAAACAATCTCTGACTTGTGTAGACCCAGGGCTGATATTGCTGAAAGTCAAACACATAATTTAATTGTGTGGTTTGCTGAAAAGTAATGAGTTGAATTTGCAGTCTCATCAAATTTGTCATGCAAAAACTAGGGCACTAATTGGGAAATAATAGGATCCAGAAATTTGGAATGGTGAATCTGGTTGGACCCAGATGAAGCCAACAATATTGAACTCCTATGTCATTCAGAGTCTCCCTTGTGAGTGGAAGTAGCCTGATGTCCACAGTCTGAAGAGACTCACTTTCCTGTCTGAAAAGGCTGTGATAACCTCACCTGGGCAAATGCCTTGAAAGTGGATGCTCATACCCTCAAAATCCACCACAACCTATCTGTTGCCAGTAGGTCTTTAATAGGGTCAAATCTCATCATGGGCCAGGCACAGTGGCTCACACCTGTAATCTCAGCACTGTGGGAGACCAAGGCGGGTGGATCACCTAAGGTCAGGAGTTCAAGACCAGCCTGTCCAACATGGTGAAACCCTGTTGCTACTAAAAACACAAAAATTAGCCGGGCATGATGGTGCACACCTGTAATCCCAGCTACTCAGGAGGCTGAGGCAGGAAAGTCGCTTGAACCCGGGAGGCGGAGGTTGCCAAGAGCCGAGATTGTGCCATTGCACTCCAGCCTGGGCAACAGAATGAGACTCTATCTTGAAAAAAAACAAAAACAAAAACAAAAAAAATCTCACCATGTTTCAGGGGGACAGATACACACTGAGACCCAGGAGAAAATGACCCAGCTTACACACTAAAATAATTGCAGGACATTGTTGATACGTTAGCAGAAAACTAGGGTGTATGGGAAGATGGGTGCTAAGGATGTTAGACCAGTGAGGGGAGAATGTGATACTAGATAAGGCCAAATTCATTGATGTGGGTGCATGTGCTAGAGACTCCAGATGTAATGTGTTAGCTTGTGTACCTGAATTTGGCTGTAAGAGACTACTTGGCTGGTTGACTGGAATTTGGACTTCATGGTGGCCTACCACTATTAAGTGGTTAGTGAAATGAGATGCCAGATCTTTCCTGGTAATCACAAGGAAGAGAGAATCCAAAGGCTTAGCATGATAGACTGCGTTTATCATGTGTACTCTATCAACTCTATTTTATGAGAGGACCCAGAAGGCACTCCTTTTGCTAGGGCATTGAAGGGAGCAGGTGTATCTTTGAGAAGTTCTCTGGTTGCTGTCCTTTGTAGGCCAAGTAAGGCTGCAGGAAATGCACCATTGAGGTGGGCCCTCTGATCTTGGGATATGAAGGGACCCTGACAAGTTAGATACATCAACTGTAAAGGGCAGCAGAGACCACCAGGCAATCTAATTTCTTGGCTTGCAGAGGTCTTGGCAGTAGCTAATGGATTATAGTGTCCCTAGGAACAAAGTAGATGGGCAGTGTACTCCAATATTTCTTGGTCTGTTTCCTTGTTGATCATCTGTTCTATCCATTATTGAAAGTAGGGTATTGAGGCCAGGTGCGGTGACTCACACCTGTAATCCCAGCACTTTGGGAGGCCGAGGCCAGCAGATCGCCTGAGGTCAGGAGTTCAAGACCAGCCTGGCCAACATGGTGAAACTCCATCTCTACTAAAAATACAAAAAAATTCTAGCTGAGTGTGGTGGCACATGCCTGTAATCCCGGCTACTCAGGAGGCTGAGGCAGGAGAATCACTTGAACCCAAGGCAGAGGTTGCAGTGAGCCAAGATTGTGCCATTGCATTCCAGCCTGGGTGACAAAGTGAGACTCCATCACAAAAAAAAAAAAAAGGCTGGGCGCGGTGGTTCATGCCTGTAATCCCAGCACTTTGAGAGGCCGAGGCGGGTGGATCACGAGGTCAAGAGATTGAGACCATCCTGGCTAACACGGTGAAACCCTGTCTCTACTAAAAATACAAAAAATTAACCAGGCGTGGTGGTGGGCGCCTGTAGTCCCAGCTACTCGGGAGGCTGAGACAGAAGAATGGTGTGAACCCAGGAGGCGGAGTTTTCAGTGAGCCGAGATTGAGCCACTGCACTCCAGCCTGGGGGACAGAGCAAGACTCCGTCTCAAAAAAAAAAAAAGAAAAAGAAAAAGTAGAGTATTGAAATCTCTGCCTAATATTGTTGAATTGCTTATTTCTCCCTTCAGTTCTATCAGTTTTTGCTTCATGTATTTTGGGGCTCTGTTGTTAGATGCATGTATGTTTTCAATTATTATGGCTTCCTGATGGATTGACCCCTTTATCATTATAAAATGTCTTTTGTATCTAGTAACAATTTTTGTCTTAAATTCTGGTTTGTCTGATATATATATTAGCATAGCCACTCCACATCCCCGTTTTTTGTTTTTTTGAGACTGAGTTTAGCTCTATTGCCCAGGCTGGATTGCAGTAGCACGATCTCAACTCACTGCAACCCCGGCATCCTGGGTTCAAGCATTTCCTGTGCCTCAGCCTCTCAAGTAGCTGGGATTACAGGCTCCTGCCACCTGCCTGGCTAATTTTTATATTTTTAGTAGAGACGAGGTTTCACCATGTTGGCCAGGCTGGTCTTGAACTCCTGACCTTGGGCAATCTGCCTGCCTCGGCCTCCCAAAGTGTTGGGATTATAGGCATGAGCCCCTGTGCCTGGCCTCCTTTTTTCTTTTTTTTTTTTTTGGAGTCAGGGTCTTTCTGTCACTCAGGCTGGAATGAATGGTACGATCGCAGCTCACTGCAGCCTCCACCATGCCTAGCTAACTTTTGTATTTTTTATTGTAGAGATGGGTTTTGCCATGTTGCCCAGGCTGGTCTCAAACTTCTGGGCTGAAGAAATATGCCTTCCAGGCTGGGCGTGGTGGCTCACACCTTTGGGAGGCCAAGGTGGGCAGATCACAAGGTCAGGAGATCAAGACCATCCTGGCTAACACAGTGAAACCCCATCTCTACTAAAAATACAAAAAAATCAGCTGGGCATGGTGGCAGGCACCTGTAGTCCCAGCTACTCAGGAGGCTGAGGCAGAAGAATGGCGTGAACCCAGGAGGCAGAGCTTGCAGTGAGCCGAGATCGCATCACTGCACTCCAGCCTGGGTGACTGAGCGAGACTCCATCTCAAAAAAAAAAAAAAAAAAGAAAAGAAAAGAAAAAAAGAAATATGCCTTCCAAATTGCTGGGATTACAGGCATGAGCCACCACACCCAGCAAACACATCTCTTATAGTTACTTTTGCATGGCATATCTTGTTATATCCTTTTACTTACAAACTATTTATCTTTGAGTATAAAGGCACTATATACAGTCATGTGTTGCTTAACAATGGGGATACATTCTGAGAAATGTGTCATGGGCGATTTTGTCATTGTGCAGACATCATGGAATGTAGTTACACAAACCTAGATGGTATAACCTGCTACTACAAATCTAGACTATATCATATAGACTATTGCTCCTAGCCTACAGATCTGTACAGCATGTTACTGTCCTGAATACTGTAGGTGATATATATATAATACTGTAACATGATGGTAAGTATTTGTGTATTTAAACACACAGAAAAGGTACAGTAAAAATACAGCATAAAAGATAAAATGATATGCCACACTGGTATACCACGGTATGCCATGGTAAGTACCAGGGCACTTACCAGAATGGAGCCTACAGGACTGGAAGTTGCCCTAGATGAGTTAGTAAGTCAGTAGTGAGTGAATGTGAAGGCCTGGGACATTATGGTACACCACTGTAGGCTTTATGAACACTGTATATATAGGCTACACTAAATTTACAAAAAAGATTTTTTCTGCAGTAATAAATTAATTTTAGCTAAGTGCAACTTTTGGTGCAAATGTAATTGCGGTTTCGCACCATGAATTTTAAATCACTATAACCAGGCTCAAACACATATTTATTAATCAAAATAGGAACCAGTACAAACAACACATTTTTTCCAATAAGAAATAAGTTTGTTTATTCCTGTAGCGTAAAAATCTGTGCTTCGGGATTCAGCGAACTCTTGGAAAGCATTTTCTGCATCCTACTGGTTCGTTTTCCCTGCAAAACTGCTGGGATGCTTGAAGAAGTGGTAGTCAGTTGGCAAGAGGTCAGGTGAATATGGTGGATGAGGCAAAATTTCATAGCCCAATTCGTTCAACATTTTTTTTTTTTTGAAATGAAGTCTCACTCTGTCGCCCAGGCTGGAGTGCAGTGGCACAATCTTGGCTCATCGCAACCTCCACCTTCCGGGTTCAAGCAGTTCTCTTGCCTCAGCCTCTCGAGTAGCTGGGATTACAGGCGCCAGCTACCATACCCAGCTAATTTTTGTATTTTTAGTAGAGACAGGTTTCACCATGTTGGCCAGGCTGTTCTCGAACTCCTGACCTCAAGTGATCCGTCCACCTTGGCCTCCCAAAATGTTGGGATTACAGGCGTGAGCCACCGCACCCGGCCTCAATATTTGAAGCGCTGGTTATGCGATGTGTGGTTGTTGTCATGGAGAATAACTGGGCCCTTTCTGTTGAGCAGTGCCACAGCAGGCCTTGCAGTTTTTGGTGCATCTCATCGATTTGCTGAGCATACTTCTCAGATGTAATGGTTTCACTGGGATTCAGAAAGTTGCAGTGGATCAGACCAGCAGCAGACCACCAAACAGTGACCGTGACCTTTTTTTGGTGCAAGGTTGGCTTTGGGAAGTACTTTAGAGCTGCTTCTCAGTACAGCCACAGAGCTGGTTGTTGCCGGTTGTCATATAAAATCGACTTTTTGTCACACATCACAATCTGATCAAGAAATGGTTCGTTGTTGTTGCATAGAATAAGAGAAGATGACACTTCAAAATGACGATTTTTTTAATTTTTGGTAAGGTCATGAGGCACCCACTTATTGAGCTTTTTCACCTTTCCAATTTGCTTCAAATGCCAGACGGCCATAGAATGGTCGATGGTTGAGTTCTTGGGCAACTTCTTGTGTAGTTTTAACAGGATCAGCTTCAATGAGAGCTTTCAGTTGGTCATTGTCAACTTCCGATGGCCAGACACTATGCTTCTCATCTTCAAGGCTCTTGTCTTCTTTGCAAAACTTCTTGAACCACCACTGTACTATATGTTCATTAGCAGTTCCTGGGCCAAGTGTGTTGTTGATGTTGCGAAGTGTCTCCACTGCTTTATGACCCATTTTTAACTCGAATAAGAAAATCGCTTGAATTTGCTTTTTGTCTAACATCATTTCCATAGTCTAAAATAAACGTAAAATAAACAGCAGTAATGAGTCATTAAAAAAATAAAGTGAGAAATGACCATTAAAATGATGTATAGCATAACCACATTTATTTAAGAATGTATTCCAAAATCAAATGGCAAATTTCAACAATTACTTTTGCACTCACTTAGTAACTTTATAACTTTTTTTTTTTTTTTTTTTTGAGATGGAGTCCTGCTTTGGCGCCCAGGTTGGAGTGCAGTATTGTGATCTCGGCTCACGGCAACCTCTGCCTCCCGGGTTCAAGTGATTCTTCTGCCTCAGCCTCCTGAGTAGCTGGGATTACAGGCGCATGCCACCAGGCCTGGCTAATTTTTGTATTTTTAGTAGAGACGGGGTTTCACCATATTGGTCGGGCTGGTCTCAAACTCCTGACCTCAGGTGATCCACCCGCCTTGGCCTCCCAAAGTGCTGAAATTACATGCATGAGCCACCTCACCCAGCCAAACTTTTAAATTTTTTAAACTTACTCTTTTGTCAATAAGCTCATTAATAAATGTTATTACACTTAGCTTAAAGTACACATTGTACAGCTGTACAAAAATATTTCCTTTCTTTATATCCTTATTCCAGAAGCTTTTTCTATTTTATTTTATTTATTTTTTGATACGGAGTTTTGCTCTTGTTGCCCAGGCTGGAGTGCAAATGGCATGATCACGGCTCACCGCACCCTCCGCCTCCTGTGTTCAAGCGATTCTCCTGTCTCTGCCTCCCGAGTAGCTGGGATTACAGACATGCGCCACCACGCCCAGCTAATTTTGTATTTTTTTCAGTAGAGACGGGGTTTCTCCATGTTGGTCAGGCTGGTCTCGAACTCCTGACCTCAAGTGATCCACCCACCTCAGCCTCCCAAAGTGCTGGGATTACAGGCATGAGCCACTGCACCCGGCCAACTTTTTCTATTTTAAAAAGTATATTTTTCAATATTTTAAACTTTTTTGTTAAAAACTAAGACACACATACACACACACACACCAGCCTAGGCCTACACTAGTCAAGATCATCGAGATCACTGTCTTCCACTTCCACATCGTGCCCCACTGGAAGGTCTTCAGAGGCAATAACACGCATGGAGCTGTCATCTCCTATGATAACACATTCTTCTGGAATCCCTCCTGTAGGACCTGCCTGAGGCTCTTCTTGAGGCACTATCACTCTTTCAAAAAATGTCCATGGAGGTTTGCTTGGCTTCTTTCTTTCTTTTATTTTAATCATACATTTGCTTGTAAACAGATAATGCACCATGAACATATCTCTATTAATGAAAACCGTTCAGTATGGGGGTCCGTGTTTTCAACGTTTTAAGGAGTTTGTTGAGGTCTGCAGCAGCTTCTGCTAAACCCTTCACTGTGAATTTTCTTCTGGGTTTTTCTTCTCCTGCAGTTTCTTTTTTCTCTTGCCTCTTCTTCAGCTATGTATTCCTGTTCCAGTTCCAACAGCTCCTTATTAGTCAATTCCTCAAGAATTACCTCTAGGCGCTCTACCATGTCATCCTCATCCACACCCAGGTTAAAATTATTTGCCACCTCAACCACAGCTTTATTGATTTTTGAAACCTCCTCATCCTTGACAAATACTTTTAAGTCATGGACCAACCTTTTGAGTGTCTTCCTCCAGATGGCATTCATACCGCATGGTGACATCACCCCAAGTCTAAGCAGGGTTCTTGATGAAGTCACAGATGTGTTGCAATCCTTCCAGAATTGTCTCAGTGGCTTCTCAGTGTCTTCCTCAGCTGCAGCAATCACCTGGGCAAAGGTCTCCTCAGGTAATAGGCCTTAAAAGCTGCTATACCTCCATGATCCATTGGTTGAAACAAAGAGGTGGTGTTTGGAGGGGAAAACACCACTTAGATATTGGGATGAATATCACCAGTAAAAGGAGGATGTATGGGAGCCTTATCAACAATAAGCAAAATCTTGAAAAATATATTATTCTCCAAACAGTATTTCTGCATTTCTCTGGCAAAACAATTCAGGATTGCATCTTGGAAGAGGAGCTAGGTCATCCATGACTTCTTATTGCTCCTGTAGTACACTGGCCATGTGTGCTTACTGATGTGCTTCAAGGCCCTGTGGTTCTCACTGTGCCAGATCACAGAGGGTTTCAATTTGTAGCCTACAACATTGTCCCCCAAGGAAGACTGTTATCCTGTTCTTCAAAGCGTTGAAACCTGGCATTGACTTGGCCTCCTTATGGATGAAAGTTCTCTTAGGCATCCATTTTCAGAATAGGGAAGTTTCATCCATATTGAAGATTTTCTCTGGCAAATAATTTTCCTGCACAATCAGCTTATCTACAGTTTCCAAAAATTCTTCAGCTGCCTTCACATCAGCACTCACAGACTCACCACTCACTTTCTTTTTTTTTTTTTTTCTGAGAAACAGTCTCGCTCTGTCACCCAGGCTGGAGTGCAGTGGCATGATCTCAGCTTACTGCAACCTCCGTCTCCCAGAGCGATTCTCCTGCCTCAACCTCCTGAGTGCCTGGGATTACAGGCACGTGCCAACATGCCTGGCTAATGTATTTTTAGTAGAGACAGGGTTTCGCCACGTTGGTTAGGCTGGTCATGAATTCCTGACCTCAAGTGATCCGCCTGCCTTGGCCTTCCAAAGTGCTGGGATTACAGGCGTGAGCCACCATGCCCAACCTCACCACTCACTTTTACGTTATGTAATTAATAACATAATTAATCCTTTAAACCACTCAGAGCTAGCAATAATTCAGCATAATAGTTGGGTCCAGCCGTTTCTTTCAATGTCGCACACAGACTTTTTGTTTTGGCTGAGATCATCATGGTGCTGAGAGAGCTATGCTTCTGTGTCTAGTCTTCAATCCAGGTCATCAGAAGTTTCTCCACATCTGATATAGGCCACCCTTCTCAAATAAATTTATTTATTTATTTATTTTGAGATGGAG
Source organism: Homo sapiens (assembly GCF_000001405.40). Classification (NCBI taxonomy): domain Eukaryota; kingdom Metazoa; phylum Chordata; class Mammalia; order Primates; family Hominidae; genus Homo; species Homo sapiens. Next base: position 30,855,266 of record NC_000016.10, read on the forward strand.
TCTCCCTCTGTTGCTCAAGCTGGAGTGCAGTGACATGATCTCGGCTCACTGCAAGCTCTACCTCCTGGGTTCAAGCGATTTGTCTGCCTTAGCCTCCTGAGTAGCTGGGATTACAGGCGTGTGCCCACCACCACACCCGGCTAATTTTTGTATTTTTCATAGAGATGGGGTTTCACCACATTGGCCAGGCTGGTCTTGAACTCCTGACCTCCAGTGATCCATCCACCTCAGCCTCCCAAAGTGCTGGGATTATAGGCATGAGCCACTGCACCTGGCCCTGCCCTTCTCAAATTTTTATGAGTCTCATTGCCTTCAATGAAGCAGATCCTTTAATAGCTTCTGTCACTTTGTTCTTGTTCTTTAAGATCATTGCTACGGACGGGGCATGGTGGCTCATGTCTGTAATCCCAACAGTTTAGGAGGCTAAGGCAAGAGGATCGCTTGAGCCCAGAAGTTTGAGACCAGCCTGGGCAACATAGCGAGCCCCTGTCTCTATTTAAAAAGAAAAGAAAGGGCTGGGCGTGGTGGCTCATGCCTGTAATCCCAGCACTTTGGGAGGCTGAGGCAGGTGGATCACCTGAGGTCGGGAGTTCAAGACTAGCCTGACCAACATGGAAAAACCCCGTCTCTACTAAAAATACAAAATTAGCCAGGTGTGGTGGTGCAGGCGCCTGTAATCCCAGCTACTCAGGAGTCTGATGCAGGAAAATCGCTTGAACCCAGGAGGCGGAGGTTGCATTGAGCCAAGATTGCACCATTGCACTCCAGCCTGGGCGACAAAGCAAGACTCCATCTAAAAAAAAAAAAAAAAAAAAGAAGAAAGTTATAAATAAAACTTTCTATTTTTTTGCATGTCTCATCATTTTTGGTTGAAAGTGACATTTTAAAAACCAAAGTCGGGTGCAGTGGCTCATGCCTGTAATCCCAGCACTTTGGGAGGCTGAGGCGGGCGGATCACGAGGTCAGGAGATTGAGACCATCCTGGCTAACACAGTGAAACCCCGTCTCTACTAAAAATACAAAAAATGAGCTGAGCATGGTGGCGGGCACCTGTAGTCCCAGCTACTCAGGAGGCTGAGGCAGGAGAATCACTTGAACCCAGGAGGCAGAAGTTGCAGTGAGTCAAGATCACACCACTCTACTCCAGTCTGGGCGACACAGTGAGACTCCGTCTAAAAAAAAAAAAAAAAAAAAAGTGTGGCAGCTCTGAAAATTAGATTCCCCTCCTCCCTAGGCTTTGTTATTGTCACTGTACGTTGTTGCTGCTATTTGTTATGTGAATCCCTAGACTAATTCAGTCGCATCTGTATTCTACGTTGTGCAGCCACTGAAGTCTGCTCTGTTAGAGCAGTTAGCCCAGTTAGCTTAGTTGTCAGCTAATGATTGGACAGAGATTTTCTTAAATGCCTTTCACAAATGACTCCCAGCTTTTCCGAGGGGCTCTATGTGTGTGTCTCAGTGTTCCAAAGACAGTGTATAGCACTGCTCTAACCTTCCCTTGCTGCCGGCCGGCACAGAGCCACAAGGTCAGCTAGAGGTGAGAGCGTAGGGACTTCTCAGGTCTTTTCTCTGTATGTTCACAGCCCTAGACATGCTGGTGACCTAGGAATTCCTAAGAATATGTCAGAGCTTTGCTCTCTATTGGATATGGCATGGTTTTCTTTCCTTTTAAGTTTTTTTGTCAGCCTCTTATATCTCCAACTGGTATTACCACCCCAGGCACTTGTGATGTTAAACAGTTGTCACTGCCTGTTTTTGTTTGTTTTCAACAAATGCCCTAGGGACATGGCTGTTAGTAAAGGAAAAGTCCTGAGTCAGGTCAAATAAAGATAAACCCTGAGGGCTGGGCACGGTGGCTTATGCCTGTAATCCCAGCACTTTGGGAGGCCGAGGCGGGCAGATCACATGAGGTCAGGAGTTCAAGACCAGCCTGGCCAACATGGTGAAACCCCACCTGTATTAAAAATACAAAATTAGCTAGGCACGGTGGTGCATGCCTGTAGTCCCAGCTACCCGGGAGGCTGAGGCAGGAGAATCACTAGAACTCAGGAGGCAGAGGCTGCAGTGAGCCAAGATTGTGCCACTGTACTCCAGCCTGGGTGACAGAGCGAGACTCCATCTCAAAAAAAAAAAAAAAAAAAAGATAAACCCTGAGAATAGAGCTTTTCAAGGAGTCAGCGGATAGGTCAAATAATGACACTTCTCTGGAAACAGAGCTTTTGTTGAGGTTCAAACCTGTTCTGCCCCTCTAATGGCTGCTAGGCTATTGGTTCTCACAGGTCTCTTAGTTGTGAGGCTCTTAGTTACCAAGATTGCTGTGGACCAAGGGAGAGAAGAATGGGAGCAGAGCAAGTTAAAACACCACAAAACTCACTCTCCTTACTAGGATTCAGCTGTTTTTTCTTGAAAAACCATGCCTTGGAGGCCGGGCGTGGTGGCTCATGCCTGTAATCCCAGCACTTTGGGAGGCCAAGGCGGGTGGATCACCTGAGGTCAGGAGTTAGAGACCAGCCTGGCCGACATGATGAAACCCCATCTCTACTAATAATACAAAAATTAGCTGGGTGTGGTTGTGCACGCCTGTAATCCCAGCTACTCGGGAGGCTGAGGCAGGAGAATCACTTGGACCTAAGAGGTGGAGGTTGCAGTGAGCCGAGATTGTGCCATTGCATTCCAGCCTGAGTGACAAGAGCGAAACTCCAACTCCAAAAAAAAAAAAAAAAAGAAAGAAAGAAAGAAAAGCCATGCCTTGGATTGTAATAGCTAGCCTTTGGTTAATTTATAGAGTTCTGAAAAAGCTGATTTGGGCAATTTTTGCCAGTGTTCTCATTGCTTTTATGGGGGAATGGATTTTTGGAAGTCTTTAGTCTGCCATTGCAGAGTATTTCTCTCCTGCTTCCTTTATACACTAGGAGAAACCCTAGGTCTGGTAGCCAAGATCCTGACTCCATTGCCACAGTGAAGAGTCCCAGCCTCTCATTCCTTTCCAGACCTAAGTCATTAGCGGACCCAGAGCTCCTTGATTGAAGGAGATAACCAGTACCCTGGAGGAAGGTCCTTGCAGCATAAATCTTCCTTCAAGCCTTTCCGAAGTGACCTATGGCCACTCACCAGGGTGTCTGTGCCTTGGGGAGAGGGAATATCCAGGCTCCTTAGGGATTACTAGACATGGGCTCTAAGTTTATGCTTATTCCTAGGGACCCAAAACGCCAGTGTGCTCCACCAGTCAAAATAAGGGCTTAAGGGGGTCAGGGGACAGATGGAATCTTAATTCCAGGCCTCCTCAGTGGGCCCCAGTGGTTCACAGACCCATCCTGTGGTTACTTCCTCAATGCCAGGAAAAACCTAGAATAGACATATTTGGTAGTTGGCACAGTCATTAATGAGACACTCGGAGATACTGGAAGAAATCCTATCACATGTCAGAAATTCAAGAGAAGGAGCCCTGCAATTACATGTGAAACTGAAGGGCTGATCCAGAAGACCAACAACCAAACAACAGGAGCCCCAAAAGAAGAGAACGGGAACAGTGGAGTGGGAAATTTGAGTCTGAAGAGTAAAATGACTCGCATGACTAAAGATAAGCATCTAGACATAGCCTGATAAAATCCCTGAGTCCCAGAAATAGAAAAAACACCCTATAAGCTTCCAGACAAAAAGATTAGGTTACTTATAAGGGAACGAGAATCCTCTAAGGGTGCCCATCTACAATACTACAAGCCAGGAGATAGTAGAATACAGATTGCTAAGAGAAAAGGAATGTGACCAAAGATCAAAACCAACCAGTGTAATTGCCTGATCAAGGCAAAAGAAAGACATTTTCTGGCTTACAAGATTCAGTGCATATATCACCTACATGCCCTCTGAGGGATTTCCTTAAGAAAATTCTTTCAGTAGTGGTTACAAATTCACGATAATGACAGATGAAGAGGTAAGGTAGCAGAGTTAGCAATGAATTATGCAATACAGAGAAAGAGTTCAGCTTAGACGGTGGAGGATAGACTGGGAATTTGTGCATCAAGTGTTTAGAGACTGTTTTGCAGAAGTGAGTAATGAAAATCCTAATAACAGTCCCACCATGGTGGTTTACACCTGAAATCCCAGCACTTTGGGATGCTGAGCTAGGAGGATCATTTGAGGCTAGCAGTTCAAGACCAGCCTGGGCAACATAGCAAGACCCTGTCTCTGTCAGGCCTCTGAGCCCAAGCTAAGCCATCACATCCCCTGTGACCTGCATGTATACATCCAGATGGCCTGAAGCAACTGAAGATCCACAAAAGAAGTGAAAATAGCCTTAACTGATGACGTTCCACCATTGTGATTTGTTCCTGCCCCACTCTAACTGATACGATATATTCTCCCCCCTCCCCACCTTTAAGAAGGTACTTTGTAATATTCTCCCCTGCCCTTAAGAAGGTACTTTGTAATATTCTCCCTGCCCTTGAGAATGTACTTTGTACACCTATCCCAAACCCATAAGAACTAATGATAATCCCACCACCCTTTGCTGATTCTGTTTTCGGACTCTGCCAACCTGCACCCAGGTGAAATAAACAGCCTTGTTGCTCACACAAAGCCTGTTTGGTGGTCTCTTCACACAAATGCACATGACATTTGGTGCCGAAACCTGGGACAGGAGGACTCCTTCGGGAGACCAGTCCCCTGTCCTTGCCCTCACTCCGTGAGGAGATCCACCTACGACCTTGGGTCCTCAGACCAACCAGCCCAAGGAACATCTCACCAATTTTAAATTGGGTAAGCGGTCTTTTCACTCTCTTCTCCAGCCTCTCTTGCTACCCTTCAATCTCCCTCTCTCGCTACCCTTCAATCTCCCTGTCCTTCCAATTCCAGGTCTTTTTCCTCTCTAGTAGAGACAAAGGAGACACATTTTATCCGTGGACCCAAAACTCCAGTGCCGGTCACGGACTCGGGAAGACAGTCTTCCCTTGGTGTTTAATCATTGCGGGGACACCTGCCTGATTATTCACCCCACATTTCATTGGTGTCTGATCACCGCGGGGATGTCTGCCTTGGTCATTCACCCACATTCCCTTGGTGGCAAGTCAACTGTGGGGACGCCTGCTTTGGCTGCTCACCCACATTGCAGCCCAGGGCTGCTCACCACCACTCCATGTCTCTACCTTTCTCTTTAAACTTACCTCCTTTGCGATGGGCAAGCTTCCGCCCTCCATTCCCCTTTCTTCTCCTTTAGCCTGTGTTCTCAAAAACTTAAAACCTCTTCAACTCACACCTGACCTAAAACCTAAACACCTTATTTTCTTCTGCAATACAGCTTGACCCCAATACAAACTCGACAATGGTTCCAAATAGCCAGAAAATGTCACTTTCAACTTCTCCATCCTACAAGATCTAGATAATGCTTGTTGTAAAATGGGCAAATGGTCTGAGGTGGCTGACATCTAGGCATTCTTTTACACATCAGTCCCTCCCTAGTCTCTGCTCCCAATGTGACTCGTCCCAAATCTTTCCTCTTTCTCTCCTGTCTGTTCCTTCAGTCTCCACCCCAAGCTCTGAGTCCTCTGAATCCTCCTTTTCTATGAACCTATCTGACCTCTCCCCTCCTTCCCAGGCTGCTCCTTGTCAGGCCAAGCCAAGTCCCAATTCTCCCTCAGCCTCCGCTCCCTGACCCTATAATCCTTCTATCACCTCCCCTCCTCACACCCGGTCCGGCTTACAGTTTTTTTCCGCGACTAGCCCTCCCCCATCTGCCCAACAATTTCCTCTTAGAGAGGTGGCTGGAGCTGAAGGTAGAGTCAAGGTTAATGCTCCTTCTTCTTTTTCTGACCTCTCCCAAATCAGTTAGCGTTTAGGCTCTTTTTCATTAAATATAAAAACCCAGCCCAGTCCATGGCCCGTTTGGCAATAACCCTTAGACGCTCTACCGCCCTTTACTCGACATTAGAAAAAGCTCCAAAAATTAGATTCTGGCCGTCAAACCCTACAACAGGACTTAATTAACCTTGCCTTCAAGGTATACAATAATAGAGTAGAGGCAGCCAAGTAGCAACATATTTCTGAGTTGCAACTCCTTGCCTCCACTGTGAGAGAAACCCCAGCCATATCTCCAGCACACAAGAACTTCCAAACGCCTGAACTGCTGCAGCCAGGCGTTCCTCCAGGACCTCCTCCCCCAGGATCTTGCTTCAAGTGCCAGAAATCTGGCCACTGGGCCAAGGAATGCCCACAGCCCGGGATTCCTCCTAAGCCGTGTCCCATCTGTGTGGGATCCTACTGGAAATTAGACTGTCCAACTCGCCCAGCAGCCACTGCCAGAGACCCTGCAACTCTGGCCCAAGGCTCTCTGACTGACTCCTTCCCAGATCTTCCCGGCTTAGTGGCTGAAGACTGATGCTGCCTGATTGCCTCGGAAGCCTCCTGGACCATCACAGACGCTTTGGGTAACTCTTACAGTGGAGGGTAACTCCGTCCCCTTCTTAATCAATATGGAGGCTACCCACTCCACATTACCTTCTTTTCAAGGGACTGTTTCCGTAACTGTTGTGGGTATTCACGACCAGGCTTCTAAACCTCTTAAAACTCCCCAATTCTGGTGCCAACTTGGACAACATGCTTTTTTTTTTTTTTTTTTTTTTTTGAGACGGAGTTTCGCTCTGTCACCCAGGCTGGAGTGCAGTGGCGTGATCTCAGGTCAATGCAAGCTCCGCCTCCTGGGTTCATGCCATTCTCCTGCCTCAGCCTCCCAAGTAGCTGGGACTACAGGCACTGGCTAATTTTTTGTATTTTTAGTAGCGACAGGGTTTAACTGTGGTCTCAATCTCCAACCTCGTGATCCGCTGCCTCGGCCTCCCAAAGTGCTGGGATTACAGGTGTGAGCCACCGCGCCCGGCCTGGACAACATTCTTTTATGCACTCCTTTTTAGTTATCCCCACCTGCCCAGCTCCCTTATTAGGTCGAGACATTTTAACCAAATTATTTGCTTCCCTGACTATTTCTGGGCTACAGCCACACCTCAATACCTCCCTCCACAACCCATTATTCTGTTATGGATCTCAAACATGCTTCCTTTACTATTCCTTTGCACCCTTCATCCCAGCCTCTCTTCGCTTTCACTTGGATTGACCCTGACACTCATCAGTCTCAGCAACTTACCTGGGCTGTATTGCCGCAAGGCTGCAGGGACGGCCCTCATTACTTCAGTCAAGCCCTTTCTCATTATTTACTTTCTTTCTGTCCATCTGCTTCTCACCTTATTCAATATTGTAACGACCTTCTACTTTGTAGTTCCCCCTACAAATCCTCCCAACAGGACACGCTCCTGCTCCTCCAACATCTATTCTCAAAGGGATATCTCGTATCCCCCTCCAAAGCCCAAATTTCTTCCTCATTCATTATCTATCTTGGCATAATTCTTCATAAAAACACACGTGCTCTCCCAGTTGATCGTGTCCGGATAATCTCCCAAACCCCAAACCCTTCTACAAAGCAACAACTCCTTTCCTTCCTAGACATGGTTAGGTACTTTCACCTTTGGATACCTGGTTTTGCCATCCTAACTAAATCATTATATAAACTCACAAAAGGAAACCTAGCTGACCCCATAAATCCTAAATCCTTTCCCCACTCCTCTTTCCATTCCTTAAAAACAGCCCTAAAAGCTGCTCCCACACTAGCTCTCCCTAATTCATCCCAACCCTTTTTGATTACACACAGCTGAAGTGCAGGGCTATGCAGCTGGAATTTTTATACAAGAGCTGGGACCATGCCCTGTAGCCTATCCAAACAACTTGACCTTACTGTTTTAGGCTGGCCCCCCCACATTATTCCTGATAACACACCTGACCCCCATGACTGTATCTCTCTGATCCACCTGGCATTCACTCCACTTCCCCATATTTCCTTCTTTCCTGTTCCTCACCCTGATCACACTTGGTTTATTGACAGCAGTTCCACCAGGCCTAATCGCCACTCACCAGCAAAGGTAGGCTATGCTACAGTATCTTCCACATTTATCATTGAGGCCACTGCTCTGCCCCTCTTCACTACTTCTCAGCAAGCCGAACTCATTGCCTTAACTCAGGCCCTCACTCTTGCAAGGGGACTATGCATCAAAATTTATACTGACTCTAAATATGCCTTCCATATCCTGCACCACCATGCTGTTATATGGGCTGAAAGAGGTTTCCTCACTACACAAGGGTCCTCCATCATTAATCTGTCTTTAATAAAAACTCTTCTCAAGGCCCTTTTACTTCCAAAGGAAGCTGGAGTCAATCACTGCAAGGGCCATCAAAAGGTGTCAGATCCCATTGCTCAGGGCAACGCTTATGCTGATAAGGTAGCTAAAGAAGCAGCTAGTGTTCCAACTTCTGTCCCTCACGGCTAGTTTTTCTCCTTCTCATCGGTCACGCCCACCTACTCTCCCACTGAAACTTTCACCTATCAATCTCTTCCCACACAAGGTAAACGGTTCTTGGACCAAGGAAAATATCTCCTTCCAGCCTCACAGGCCTATTCTATTCTGTCATCATTTCATAACCTCTTCCATGTAGGTTACAAGCCACTAGCCCACCTCTTAAAACCTCTCATTTCCTTTCCATAGTGAAAATCTATCCCCAATCCGCCACTCTTGACTCCCTCTTGGAGTGGATAGATGATCTTTGCTGACAGGGCACACTCCAATTCTTTCACCCTGATGAAGTCCTATTCTTTACTTTTATACTCACTCTTATTCTCGTTCCCATTCTTACGTCACCCTCTACCTCTCCCCAGCTATCTCCATCACACTATCAATCTCACTGACTCTCTCCTAGCCGTTTCTAATCCTTCTTTAACAAATAATTGCTGGTTTTGCATTTCTCTTTCCTCCAAAATCACCGAGGCCCTGATTTACTCACTGCTGAAAAAGGAGGACTCTGTATATTTTTAAATGAAGAGTGTTGTTTTTTCCTAAATCAATCTGGCCTGGTATATGACAACATAAAAAAACTCAAGGATAGAGCCCAAAAACTCGCCAACCAAGCAAATAATTATGCTGAACCCCCTTGGACACTCTCTAATTGGATGTCCTGAGTACTCCCAATTCTTAGTCCTTTAATACCTATTTTTCTCCTTCTTTTATTCAGATCTTGTGTCTTCTGTTTAGTTTCTCAATTAATACAAAACTGCATCCAGGCCATCACCAATAATTCTATATGACAAATGCTCCTTCTAACAACCCCACAATATCACCCCTTACCCCAAAATCTTTCTTCAGTTTAATCTCTCCCACTGTAGGTTCCCACGCTGCCCCTAATCCTGCTCGAAGCAGCCCTGAGAAACATCACCCATTATCTCTCCATACCACCCCCAAAAATTTTCACCGCCCCAACACTTCACCACTATTTTGTTTTGTTTTTCTTATTAATATAAGACAGGAATGTCAGACCTCTGAGCCCAGGCTAAGCCATCATATCCCCTGTGACCTGCACGTATACATCCAGATGGCCTGAAGCAACTGAAGATCCACAAGTGAAAATAGCCTTAACTGATGACATTCCACCACTGTGATTTGTTCCTGCCCCACCCTAACTGATGCGATATATTCTCCCCCCCACCCCCACCCCCCCACCCTTAAGAAGGTACTTTGTAATATTCTCCCCTGCCCTTAAGAAGGTACTTTGTCTGTAATCCCAGCACTTTGGGAGGCCGAGGTTGGCGGATCACAAGGTCAGGAGATCGAGATCATCCTGGCTAACACGGTGAAACCCCATCTCTACTAAAAATACAAAAAGTTAGCCAGGCGTGGTGGCAGGCAACTGTAGTCCCAGCTACTTGGGAGGCTGAGGCAGGAGAATCACTTGAACCTGGGAGGCGGAGCTTGCAGTGAGCCGAGATCACGTCACTGCACTCTATCCAGCCTGGGCAACGGAGCAAGACCTCCAACTCAAAAAAAAAAAAAAAAAAAAAGTACTTTGTAATACTCTCCCCACCCTTGAGAATGTACTTTGTATGCCTATTCCAAACCCATAAGAACTAATGATAATCCTACCACCCTTTGCTGACTCCTCTTTCGGACTCAGCCCACCTGCACCCAGGTGAAATAAACAGCCTTGTTGCTCACACAAAGCCTGTTTGCTGTTTGGTGGTATCTTCACCCGGAAGCGTGTGACAGTCTCTACCAAAAAAAAAATTTTTTTGAAAATTAGCCTGGCCTAGTGGTGTGCCTTTGTATTCCCAGCTACTTGGGTGGCTGAGGCAGAAGGATCCCTTGAGCTCTGGAGTTTGAGGTTGCAGTGAACTATGATTATGCCACTGCAGTCCAGCCCAGGTGACAGAATGAGATCTTGTATCTTTAAAAAATAAATGAATAAAAATAAAATAAAACACCAATTCAAGGTACTGGCAGTAGGACTCTAGGTGGCAGGAATAGTGTTACTCTCATTTTTCCTCATCTGTATTTCCTGACATTTTACCGTGCACATACATATGGCTTTTTTTTTCTTTTTTTTTTTTTTTTTGAGATGGAGTCTTGTTCTGTCACCCAGGCTGGAGTGCAGTGGCGTGATCTTGGCTCACTGCAACCTCCACCTCCCAGGTTCAAGCGATTCTCCTGCCTCAGCCTCCCTAGTAGCTGGGATTACAGGCGCCCGCCACAGTGCCCTAATTTTTTTTTTTTTTTTGTATTTTTAGTAGACACAGCGTTTCACTATGTTGGCTAAGCTTGTCTCGAACTCCTGACGTCAGGAGATCCATCTGCCTCAGCCTCCCAAAGTGGTGGTATTACAGGCGTGAGCCACCTCGCCCGGCCATATGGGTTTTATAACAACAACAAATCCTCATAATAGACGAGAACAAAAAATTGTAAACTATCTCAGTAATAAAACTCAAGGACTGGGGAGAGTGGGAGAGTTAGAAGCATGCTAAAGGCAGCGTCTTTCAGGGAGTGATGGAGGAGTTGGCAAGCATAATATTTTGATGGAGGAGGATTATTTACCATGTATCCATAGAGCAATTTAAGGATATGATTGTTAGGAAAGAAGATAAACACTAGCAGGTTAGCAAAGGGAAGGCTGGGTGCGGTGGTTCACGCCTGTAATTGCAGCACTTTGGTAGACTGAGGTGGGTGGATCACTTGAGGTCAGGAGTTTGAGACCAGCCTGGCGAACATGGTGAAACGCTGTCTCTACTAAAAATACAAAAATTAGCCAGGCGTGGTGGCACGCACCTGTAGTCCCAGCTACTCAGGGGGCTGAGGCATGACAATCGCCTGAACCTGGGTGGCAGAGGTTGCAGTGAGCCAAGATCGGGCCACTGCACTCCAGCCTGGCCAAAATAGCGAGACTGTCTGGAAAAAAAAAAAAAAGGTGGGGGGGTGGGAATTAACAGGAACTTGATGAAACCCACCAAAGTTAAAGAAAAAAAAAGGCACAGAGGAAAACATTAATGAAATGTAAATAGTAAATGTAAAATAAGGCGGAAAGAAAGTATATTGCTTATTGAAATAAATATGAACAGGCTGAATTAACCTATTATAAGTCAGAGGTTTGCTGGGCGTGCCGTCTCATGCCTGTAATGCCAGCACTTTGGGAAGCTGAGGTGGGAGGATTATATAAGGCCAAGAGTTCACGACCAGTCTGGGCAACATAATGAGATATCTTCTCTACAAAAAGTTTAAAAATCAGCTGAGCATGGTGGTGCACACCTGTAGTCCCAACTATCCAGAAGGCTGAGGCTGGAGGATCACTTGAGCCCAGGAGTTTGAGGCTACAGTGAGCTACAATTGTGCTACTGCACTCCATCCTGGATGACAGGGAGATACCCTGTCTCAAAAACAAACAAAAGTCAGAGCTTGTCAAACCAAATGACTTTTAAAATCTAGCCATATGCAATGTATAGGAAATGCACATAAAACAAAGTGACAAAAATGTTGAAAGTTAATAGATGGACAAAAAAATTCCAGGCCCAAAAAAACATGATTGGGGGAAGGTGGGTATCATTGAGATTCTGACCATGTTTATTTCTTGGTTTGGGTGGTGGTTATAAGGATATTTTGTTTTGTAATACTATCTTAGACTATTTTTCTATGAATATTTATGTATATGGATGTTTCATAAGTGGTAGGCAGAATAATGGCCATTATTCTGATGTCCTAAAATTCCCACACCCTAACCCCTGGAACATGTGAATGTCTTAGTTTACATGGTGAAGGGATTTTGCAGGTGTGATTAAGGACCTTGAGATGCGGGTGGTCTTGGATTATCCAGGGGGGCACAATGTAATCATGTTGGTCTTTAAAATCAGAGACTCGGCCATCCCAGCACTTTGGAAGGCCGAGGCAGGCAGATCACCTGAGGTCAGGAGTTCGAGACCAGCCTGGCCAACATGGTGAAACCCCATCTCTATTAAATATACACAAATTAGCCAGGCGTGGTGGCGCATGCCTGTAATCCCAGCTACTCAGGAGGCTGAGACAGGAGAATCGCTTGAACCCGGGAGGCGGAGGTTACAGTGAGCCAAGATCGCGCCACTGCACTCCGGCCTGGGCAACAGAGCAAGACTCCATCTCAAAAAGAAAAAAATAAAATAAAATCAGAGACTTATTTCTGATTTTGATCAGAGGGAGATGTGATTGTGGAAGAATGGTCAGAAATGCAGTGTGACTGACTCTGAAGATGGAGGGAGGGGCCTCTGGAAGCTGGAAGAGAGAGTGAAACAGACTGTCCCCTAGAGCCTCCAGGAGGGAACACAGCCCTGAAGACACCCTGATTTGATTTCATTTATTTATTATTTTTTGTTGTTGTTTTACAACAATCTCTTGTCCAACAGAAACACCTCGATTTTAGCCCAGTGAGACTCATGTCAGACTTCAGACCTACGGAATTGTAATATGATAAATCTGTGGGTTTTTTTTTTTTTTTTGAGACAGAGTCTTGCTCTGTCACCCAGGCTGGAATGCAGTGGTGCGATCTCAGCTCACTGCAACCTCTGCCTCCTGGGTTCAAGCGATTCTCCTGCCTCAGCCTCCCGAGTAGCTGGGACTACAGGCGTGTACCACCCGACCCGGCTAATTTTTTTTTTTTTTTTGTATTTTTAGTAGAGACAGGGTTTCACCATGTTAGCCAGGATGGTCTCCATCTCCTGACCTCCTGATCCGCCCACCTCGGCCTCCCAAAGTGCTGGGATTACAGGCGTGAGTCACCGCACCCCGCCAAATCTGTGTTGTTTTAAGCTACTAAATTTGCTGTAATTTGTTACAGCTATAGAAAACAATACAATAGGCCAGGCGCGGTGGCTCACGCCTGTAATCCCAGCACTTTGGGAGGCCGAGGTGGGCAGATCACCTGAGGTCGGGAGTTCGAGACCAGCCTGACCAACATGGAGAAACCTGGTCTCTACTAAAAATACAAAATTAGCCAGGTGTGGTGGCACGCGCCTGTGATCCCAGCTACTTGGGAGGCTGAGGCAGGAGAATCTCTTGATCCTGGGAGGTGGAGGTTGTGGTGAGCGGAGATTGCGCCATTGCACTCCAGCCTGGGCAACAAGAGCGAAACTCCATCTGAAACAAAACAAAAAACAACAGCAACAACAAAGAAAAAGAACAGAACGGAAAAGAAAAATAATACAACAGCAAAAAAAAAAGATTTAAAAAAAATTGGCCTGTTATGCCTCTGCTTTACCTCCCTTCTCAGCTTCCACATTACACTTTTAAAATGAATCTGTAATTTTTTCTTTTTTTTTGAACTCCTGACCTCAAATGATCCACCTGCCTCAGCCTCCCAAAATGTTGGGATTACAGGTGTGAGCCACCGCACCCAGCCATGAATCTAATTTTTTCATGGCCATGGCTTTGTGAGTCGACAGTTATGGGAAAGACAAAGTAGAAAGAGTGCCGAGCTTGAAGACTGGGGCCAGAGTCGTAGTTCCAGCTTTGCTGTGTCACTCGGGGCCTATCGCTTTCCCTCTCTGAGCCTATAGCCTTCATTATTTTATTTTGTTTTTTGCGACAGGGTCTCACTCTGTCACCCAGGCTGGAGTTCAGTGGCACGATCATGGCTCACTGCAGCCTCGACCTCCCAGGTTCCAGCAATCCTCCCACCTCAGCCTCCTGAGTAGCTGGGACTACAGGCGCCTGCCACTGTGCCCAGCTCATTTTTTTTTACTTTTTGTAGAGATGAGTTCTCACTATGTTGCTGGCCTCGAACTCCTAAGCTCTAGTGGATCTCCTGCCTCTGCCTCCCAAAGTGCTGGGATTACAGGTGTGAGCCACCACGCCTGGCTCTTTCTTTTTTTTTTTTTTTTTAAAGAGACGGGGTCTCGCTCTGTTGCCCAGGCTGGAGTGCAGTGTCACGATCAAAGCTACTGTAGCCTTGAAACTCCTGGGCTCAAGGCATCCTCCTGCCTTCGCCTGCAGTGTAGCTGGGACTACAAGTGAGGACAATCATGCCCGACTAATTTTTTTTATTTTTTGTAGAGATGGGGTCTCGCTATGGTGCCCAACCTGGTCTCCAACTCTTAGCCTCAAGCAATCCTCTCACACTGGCCTCCCAAAGTGCTGGGGTTACAGGCATGAGCCATGGTGCCTGGCCTTTTTCTGTCTTTTCTGAGTTCAGCATGGACCTAGCATAGAATGGCACCTCCATGATTGTTGAATGAGTAAACAAATTATTCCTTGCCCTTAAATTAGAAGATAGAATGAGGTGATATCTAAGAAAACTCTTCTCTAAAATTCTAGAAAAATAGAGTAGGGCAGCGGCTAAAAGCCTAGAATCCATGTGTATGAATACATGCATCTATCCATCTATCTCATATATCTATATATCTCACCTGTATCTCAATCTCTTAGCCCAGGGCCTGCCACCTTAGGAAGATGCAGTAAATGGGAGCCATTGTTACCATCACATTCCTGTTCCCCAGGGAGGCTCAAGGATTCTCATCTCCTTTTCCCCAAACTCCAAGCCCCTCAGCCCAGCTGCTGCTCTAGAAGCCTAGGCAGAAAATGGTTCCTTAGACCAGGCCTTACGACTCCTGGCCTGCCAAAGGAGTGAGACTTCTTTTTTATAAGAACACCCTTTTCATAGTGGTCTTTTAAGTTTCATTCTGAAGTTCCTAAAAAAAAGGAAGCTTGCTTTCATTAGAAAAATTGGGAAAAGAGGCCAGGTGCAGAGGCTCACACCTGTAATCCCAGCACACCTGTCTTCTCGGCCAAGGTGGGAGGATCACTTGAGCCCAGGAGTTTGAGACCAGTGTGGCCAACATAGTGAGACCCCGTCTTTACAAAAAAAATAAAAAATTAGCCGGGTGGGCTGGGTGCGGTGGCTCACGCCTGTAATCCCAGCTACTCAGGAAGATCAAGCAGGAGGATCGCTTGAGCCCAGGAGTTGGAGGCTGCAGTGAGCTGTACTCCAGCCTGAGTGACAGAGCAAGATCTTGTCCCCCCACCAAAAAATAAAATAAAATTAAATAAATAAATAAATAAACTGGGGAAAGAGATTTTATAGATAAAGTAGAGCCAGAGAGGGTAAGAGACTTGCTGGGGTACCACAGCCAAGCATCACCTCCCTCCCTTACATGACTCTCAACTCCAGAATGTCCCTAAGGAGTGGCCAGAGCAGTAGACTCAGGGATGGGCACCTGGGTTCCAATCCTTGTTGCTCCATTCACTAGCTGTGTGCCCCTGGGCAAGTCACTTCACTGTCCTAGAATTCAGTTGACTTATCTGTAATATTGGAAGAATAGCGCCTGGGAAGTAGCGAGGACCAGATAAATTGTAAATGTACCCAGCCCAGTGCTGACACATAGTAACTCGGTGGCAGTTGCAGGCCAGGGGAACAGTTGTTAACTCATCACCAGAGGGGCCAGAACTGGGCAGGGGGAAAGGTGTCCTGAGTGGGAGATCCAGGTCTTGGGGTGCTCCGACTCTGGATCTCTGGGAAGAGGAATCCCCAACTCTGCTTCCCAAGTAGCTAGAAACTGACTTAGGAGGGGGACAGCGTATAGGGAACACTGAAATGCTGCTGTAAACGATGGCTGGAGTTAGCCTCATCTGAACTCTGTGTTTGAGGGTACACACTCTGAAGTCAGATGATACGGATTCAGATCTGCCTCTATTATATACTATGGGACAAGTGACTTCACTTCTCTGTGCCTTGCTTTTCTCATCTGTCAAGTGGAAATAATAAGAGTACTTACCTCACTAAGTTATTGAAATGATTTTGTAAGATTATGCATGTAGTGCTCTGAGAATATTCACCTAGCTCAATGTTAGCTTTTTTTTTTGAGACTGAGTCTCACTCTGTCGCCCAGGCTGGAGTGCAGTGGTACGATCTTGGCTCACTGCAACCTTCACCTCCCGGGTTCCAGTGATTCTCCTGCCTCAGCCTCCTGAGTAGCTGGGACTACAGGCAGGCACCACCACACCTGGCTTATTTTTGCATTTTTAGTAGAGACAGGGTTTCACCATGTTGGCCAGGCTGGTCTTGAACTCCTGACCTCAGGTGATCTGCCTACCTTGGCCTCCCAAAGTGCTGGGATTACAGGTGTGAGCCATCGCACCCGGCCACTATTTTGTTTTATAGGGTCCAGAATTACTCAGATAATTGCTTGGATTTAGGGTTGAGATTCTCACCTAAGTTGAGTGAGACCAGATGGACCCTAATCATCCTGTCTGGAGGTGCTTAGCCTCAAGTTTGGGTCAAGTTGAATTGCACAGCTGTGAGAGAGGTGGACTGAGTTAAATCGGTGTTGAACAAGAGCATGGCAGGACCTGGTTGTTTTGCTTATCTTCTATATGCTATAATTTCAAAAATTAAGGTATAAAATTAAGCTCTCTCTGGAAAAGGATATTCGTGTTATTGGAATGGGTTCTGAATTTAATGGTCAGTTAAAGCCCACAGGGAAAGAATAAGATGAGGAATAGGGTCTGAGGGAGGAGGCAGAGTTCTGATGAAGATGATGGCAAGAGGTGGGAAAGTCCTTGGCCAGGAAGGGGAGAGAGGGAGTCATGGTGAATACCCTGCGGCTGTGCTCCAGGAAAGTGGTCAGTCCTGAGAGCAGGTGGCGGCCTGACATTCCAGAAACATGGGACCCTATATGCAGGTAATCCCAGCCAGCCTAGAGACTCTGGTGCCCACAGGTGGAATAGGGCAGAAGTCATGGAGTGTAAGGGACCCCTGTGGGCTTGGAAAGTGATGCCAGTAGCAACCAAGATGAACTAGAGATCAGACTCTCCTCACCACCAGCACGCACGTTCACACACACCCTCATTCTCCAGGCAGGCAGCACTTCCTGAACTGCGGTGTGCCGTTGAGAGAGGGTGAAAGCCCCAGTGGCAAATGAGATGGGATTTCTGTTTAGAGTCATAAATTGTTTCATAGAAATATTTGAATATTTGTTAGAAGAGGTACCCAAAACAACTCAGGCAGCCTGGTGCCCGCATGTTTTGGGTAGTGGCCAGAGTCCCCTCTCAAGCCTGCTAGTCCATTCCCCACCCCCTATCCTACTTCCAGACTTGGTAAGTAGGTAGTTTTGGCAATCAGACAGACTTGGTTAAGCCTAGCTTCTGTCACTAGCTGTGTGACACTGGACAAGTAATTGTACCTGACTTCTCTGAACCTGTTTCTTCATCGGTAAAATCATGCACTTCTTTACAGGAGTTGTCAGGAAAATGCAATGAAAGAATAAGGTGAGGGTGGTTTTCAAATGATGACCTGGAGAACCGTAAATCAGACAATCCAGTGTTTGCCAAACTTCATTCACATCCCATCTTCCCAACCTCTGACAAATTTGTGGACCACCTCTACTTCTGTTTACTTAATCTTGTTCTTTAAAAATTATCAACTCACGTTTTGATGGAACTAGGTGTATTCAAAAGGAAACTTTAACCACTGCCATAAATGAGAAATTATCATGTACCCAAGAGTGGTAAAAATAGATACAATAAAACCAAAACAATGCTGTTCAGTTCTAGCTGGCTATGATTATAGGCCAGGGCTCTGAGCTCAAGGAGTTGATTTTGTTAAAAACAACAACAAAAAGGTTATCTCAGTCAAAAAAGGCCACATAAAGCCCTAATATGAAATGTCCAAAATAATCAACTCTATAGAGACAGAAAGTAGATTTGCAGTAGTCTAGAGCTGTAGTGGGAGGAAGGCTTGGGAGTTACTGTTAATGGGTATGGTTTCTTTTAGGGGTAATGAAAATGTTCTAAAATTGACTGTGGTGATATTTGCAAAACTGTGAAGATACTAAGAATCATTGAACTGTACACTTTAAATGGGTGAGTTGTATGGTGTGTGAGTCATCTCTCTCAGTAAAGGTGTTATTTTAAAATACGTATATATGGGCCGGGTGTGATGGCTCAGACCTGTAATCCCAGCATTTGGGGAGGCTGGGGCAGGCAGATCACTTTTGAGCTCAGGAGTTCCAGACCAGCCTGGGCAACATAGCAAAACCCTGTCTCTACTAAAAATACAAAAATTACCCAGGCATGGTAGCAGCAGCCTGTAATCCCAGCTACTCGGGAGGCTGAGGCAGGAGAATCGCTTGAACCTGGGAGGCGGAGGTTGCAGTGAGCCGAGATCGAGTCCCTGCACTCCATCCTGGGCCACAGAGCTACACTGTCTCAAAAAAAAAAAAAATTGTACAGATATATATACACACACACACATATAGAAAAATTATATAATTTTTCCTCCTCTCTCTATATACATATATATATAGATATATGTATACACACACACACACACACACAGAGGAAGGTATAGGTGTCAAACCTTTTTTTTTTTTTTTGAGACAGATTCTTGCTCTGTGGCCCAGGCTAGAGTGCAGTGGTGCGATCTTGGCTCACTGCAACCTCTGCCTCCCGGGTTCAAGGGATTCTCCTGCCTCAGCCTCCCGAGTAGCTGGGATTACAGGTGTGTGGCACCACATCCGTCTAATTTTTGTATTTTTAGTAGAGACAGGGTTTCACCATGTTGGCCAGACTGGTCTTGAACTCCTGACCTCAAGTGATCTGCCCGACGTGGCCTCTTAAAGTGCTAGGATTACAGGCGTGAGCCACTGAGCCCAGCCTAAATTCAATTATTAAACTCCTTGAGTTAATTAAAGGGTAGCCAGGTGCGGTGGCTCATGCCTGTAATCCCAGCACTTTCAGAGGCCGAGGCAGGAGGATCGCTTGAGCCCAGGAGTTCCAGACCAGCCTGGACAACATAGCGAGATCCTGACTCTACAAAAAACAGAAAAATTAGCCGGGCGTGGTGGCGCGTGTTTGTAGTCCCAGACACTCCTGAGGTTGAGGTGGGAGGATCACCTGAGCCCTCGGGAGGTCGAAGCTGCAGTGAGCGGAGATCGCACCGCTGCACTCCAGCCTGGGGGACAGTGAGGCGGTCTCAAAACAAAACAAAAACAAAAGGGGAGGGCGGGGGGAAGACTTAAAGACCCCTGAGCCAGGGCCATTATTATTTAACTTGGTCGGGTCTCTGAACCATTCGGAGGAAGCTTGGGTTTCTATCCTTCCCGACTGAGCCACAGACCTGAGTCTTGACTCCGGATAAATCACCCCAGACTGTTTTTCTGTCTGTGACACGGGAACGGCAGCTTCTGCCTCGCGAGGTGGAGAGAGAATGAGAAGCGCCGTGTGTGGCGCGCCTGACACGGTCAGCTCGCGGGTGGAGGCCCGGAGCAGAACGCCCTCGGGCGCCCGCTCTTGCAGCCGCACTGGAGACCGGGAATGGCTCCGGCCACGCCTCTGCCGACTGCGGCAACGCGAGGGACAGCTGGTCTCCGGGGTTGCAGCGTAACGCCCTCCTTCCCGGCCTCATCTTTCCTGACTGCATAACGGGCATACAGTGGGTTCCATGGCGCAAGGGAGCTGAAGAAGCCGCCCGCCCCCAGCTCGCCCGGGATCCTCACGCCCCTATAACGCCCCGAGGGGCCACGATGCTGCCCACAGCCCAGATCGCGAGTGCGGACCCTGCGGGAGGGTCTGGCCTAGATGCGAGTTTCCCGCCGCAGACCAGGCGAGGCCACGCGACATATCCCCTACCCGCTTACTGCAGGCCGCAGACGGAGACAGTGCAGCCCTGCGCACTGCTGAGGTTGCCCGAGGTCTCAGCCTCGGCGGGTCGGGAACACGCGGCGCGCGCCCGCGCCCCAACCGGAAGTCCGCCACCGGCCGCTCTAGCACGCGCAGGGCTGCGTCTGTGGCCTTAACCCTTCCCAAGGCTGCGCCGCCGGCCTTTGTCTCCGCGGAGCGTCACAAAGGTTGGAAGGGTCGCGGGGCCTCTGGGTGCCGAGCTGCAGATGCCTCCACTGCGAGCACAGCCCTGAGACAAGGGCCCAGGCGCCCAGCGGGGCTGGTTTCACTCAGTCCAGCCGCACCTACCCGTGCCCTCACCAGATCTTAAGATACAGACATTAAAACCTCCACCGGGCCGCGGCACAGGACAGCAGTTTTACTTTCTGTTTTTGGCATTGCATTGCCTCCATTTCCTAGAGTGCACGTAATAAATACCGCTGGTGATTCCAAAATATAAAGGTTGAAAATATTTACTTTACAAAAATTTGGTTCCCATACTGCTTTTAAGGCCATCCTCTGCACTTGGTTCCCGCTGCTCCTGATGTGGTTGAAAGATGGATGACCCCAAAGACGAGGAAAAGATTATTGGCTCCATTTTTTAGATGCGGCAGCCAGCTAAGGTCTAGACAGGGGAAGGGACTTGCCCCAAATCACAGTTAGAGCAAATCAGTCTGAATCAGGAATAACTCCATTCCTATCCCGCATCCTGCCCTTTCACTACGCCACAGCTGCCTGGCTGCCTGGAGGAACAAAGGAGGGCCGGGCAAGAACGCCATTACCAACTGCAAATCCACAGGCAAATGCAAGAGGACAGAAAGTAAGTTCTTGGGCTCTGCCCTTGTGCCGTACCCGGAGGGGTTCTGGGGTCACCAGCCAGGTGCATCCCTGCCTTCACAGCCATGCACAGCGACACCCAGTTAACTAATGGGGGGGATTATGCCACTTGCTGGGTATGCCTGTGCCACCAGTGCACTCACTCTGTGCCTGGGGAAATAACCACGGATGAATCTGGGGATCCCCTGGGCCCACTGTGAAATGGACCTGAGCTAAAACTCCATTGATCACAGGACCTCAGGGATCTTTTGGGTCTCGAGAACAGAATTGGATGCTACAGGAGAAATGTAACCAGAAAAGGATTAGGATTTTGCCAGTAGAGAAAGGGAGATGTGCTTGCTTTCATTCATTTATCATTAATGAGCACCTACTGTATGCCAGGCACCACACTAGGCCCTAGGAAGACAGAGATTATGAGACAGATGTGGCCTTATTCTAGCAGGGGAAGTGAGATGAAGGAGGTGAGAAAGAGGAAGTATAGTGACTAACCAGGGACCTGACCTAGTTTGAAGGTCAGGGAACCTTGGAGGAGGTGAAATCAAACCCAAAGCCTGAGATAAGAGAGAGAAGGGGAGGGTGGAGGGAAGGAAAGGGCTTCACAGACAGAGGGAACGGGAGTGCTAACAGCCTGGCCAGCTTCCTTGTGGTAGAAGTTCTATGCATGAGTTGGAAGAAAGCTTGGGGAAAGGGGCAGGAGAGGTGGGCAGGGGCCAAATCCAGCAGGGGCTTTTCTACCATAAGGAACTTGGTGGGAGAACTCCATGGGCAAAAACAGGTGTGGAAGGGACCAAGAAGCCCATGTGGCTGGAGGGCAGGACATGAGATGAAGATGACTAGAGCAGGGAGTGAGGAGGTGGAGAAGGTGAGCAGAGGCCAAGGCTGGGAGGCCTGAAATGCCTGGCCGCAAAACTCAGCCATTAGCCTGGAGGCCATGCAAGTGAACAGCAAGGAGGAGAGTGGAACACCAGGGAGCGGTAGGGATTGCGGGGACTGAAGGGCAGAGACTCCGCCCCCAGGGCAGTCAGTGTTCTGCACCCCCTACCCCCCTACCCCACCAACCTCCGCCCCATGACCACTCCAGGAGGCAAACTCAGTATCTCAGAATATCTGCTTTCAAGGGTAGCTGGAGTCCAGATTTCTTTTTTTATTTTTGGTAGAGACAGGATCTTGCTCTGTCGCGCAGGTTGAAGGGTAGCAACACATAGCTCACTGTAGCCTCAACTCCTAGGCTCAAGCAGTCCTCCTGCCTCAGCCTCCCAAAGTGCTGGGGTTACAGTGTGAGGCACGTCACCCGGCCTGAGTCCAGATTTTTTTTTTTTTTTTGAGACGGAGTCTCGCTCTTTCACCAGGCCCGAGTGCAGTGGCACTATCTCGGCTCACTGCAAGCTCCGCCTCCTGGGTTCAGGCCATTCTCCTGCCTCAGCCTCCCGAGTAGCTGGGACTACAGGCACCCGCCACCGCGCCCAGCTAATTTGTTGTATTTTTAGTAGAGATGGGGTTTCACCGTGTTAGCCAGGATGGTCTCGATCTCCTGACCTCGTGATCCACCCGCCTCGGCCTCCCAAAGTGCTGGGATTACAGGCGTGAGCCACCGCGCCCAGCCTAGTCCAGATTTTTATATGAAATCACTTGATTTTAATGTTGCCAACATGTTCAACACCATGTAAGCCAAACAAATCACATTCACAGGCTCACAGCTCCAAGCTTTGCAGCATGTTAGCATCACCTGAGGAGCTTGTAAAAATCCCAGGGCCCTTGGCCGGGCGCAGTGGCTGATGCCTGTAATCTCAGCACTTTGGGAGGCCAAGGCGGGTGGATCACCTGAGGTCAGGAGTTCGAGACCAGCCTGGACAACATGGTGAAACCCCATCTCTACTAAAAATACAAAAATTAGCCGGGTGTGGTGGCAGGCACCTGTAATCCCAGCTACTTGGGAGGCTGAGGCACGAGAATGGCTTGAACCTGGGAGGCGGAGGTTGCAGTGACCCAAGATCATGCCACTGCACTGCAGCCTGGGCGATAGAGCTAAACTCAAGACTCAAAAAAACAAAACAAAACAAAAAATCCCAGGGCCCAGGTTGCACATGATACCAATGTAAAATGTCTGGGGTGGGGCCGGGTGTGGTGGCTCATGCCTGTAATCCCAGCACTTTGGGAGGCCGAGGGAGACGGATCACAAGGTCAGGAGATTGAGACCATCCTGGCTAACACGGTGAAACCCCGTCTCTACTAAAAATAAAAAAATTTAAAAAAATTAGCTGGGTGTGGTGGCACGCGCCTGTAGTCCCAGCTACTCGGGAGGCTGAGGCAGGAGAATCACTTGAACCCAGGAGGCAGAGGTTGCAATGAGCCGAGATCGTGCCACTGCACTCCAGCCTGGGCGACAGAGCGAGACTCTATTTCAAAAAAAACAAAAATGTCTGGGGTGGCTGGGCGTGGTGGCTCACGCCTGTAATCCTGGCACTCTGGGAGGCCGAGGTGGGTGGATCACGAGGTCAGGAGCTTGAGACCAGCCTGACCAACATGGTGAAACCCAGTCTCTACTAAAAATACAAAAATTAGCTGGGCGTGGTGGCACGCACCTGTAATCCCAGCTACTCAGGAGGCTGAGGCAGAAGAATCACTTGAACCCGGGAGGCAGAGGTTGCAGTGAGCTGAGATCGTGCCACTGCACTCCAGCCTGGGTGACAAAGCGAGACTCCGTCTCAAAAAAAAAAAAAAAAATGTCAAGGGTAGAAGGCAGCCATCAGAATATTTAAATGATTCCCCAGGTGATTCCAGTATGCACACTACCAGAGACTACGTGCTTTCAGTTGCCAGGCTCAGCCATGGGGAGCCATGGGAAGTTTTAGAACAGGAGAGGAGCCCAGTTTAGAGTTTAAGGAAAATCATTCTGTAGGAGGAACAGAATGTAATCTTGTGTGAAAAGGGTCCGGAAGCCCCAAGGGCAGTGGCAGGATCCTGCTAGGGTGATGGTGATCAGCCATCCCAGTTTGCTCAAGACTGGGGTGTCTCCTGGGACATGGAACCTGCAGTGCTAAAACCAAGAAAGTCCTGGGCAAACAGGGATGCTTGGTCATGCTAGATTCTCCTGATGTAGTTCTGTTTTCCCAGATTTTTGGGGAGACTGATGCCACAGACTTCGCATTCTAGAAATTCCTAAGAAAAGGCTGTCCATCTCCCTGTGGTGCATTCACCTGAGTCTCTGAGCCCTGGCAGGGCCCATCTCTTCTCCACCCAGCAGAGTGATCCTGGCCTATGGAATATAATTTAGCAGTAAAAAGGAACAAACTACTGATTCACACAATAATCCGGATGACCCTCAAGAATATTAGCCTGAGTAAAAGAAAACAGATGCAAAAGAGTTACATACTGCTTAATTCTATTTACATGAAGTTCCAGAACAGGTTCACCCAATCCGTTACTTTAAAACAATCAGGCCAGGTGTGGTGGCTCACGCCTGTAATCCCAGCACTTTGTGAGGCCAGGAGGATCCCTTGAGGCCAGGAGTTCCAGACCAGCCTAGGCAACACAGAGAGACTCCCCTTCTCTACAAAAAAAAAAAAAAAAAAAACTGGGCACGGTGGCTCACATCTGTAATCCCAGCACTTTGGGAGGCTGAGGCGGGCGGATCACGAGGTCAGGAGATCGAGACCATCCTGGCTAAAATGGTGAAACTCCATCTCTACTAAAAATACAAAAAAATTAGCTGGGCATGGTGGCAGGCACCTGTAGTCTCAGCTACTTGGGAGGCTGAGGCAGGAGAATTGCGTGAACCCGGGAGGCAGAGCTTTCAGTGAGCCAAGATCACGCCACTGCACTCCAGCCTGGGTGACAGAGCGTGATTCCGTCTCAAAAAAAAAAAAATGTTAAGTAGTTGGGCGCAGTAGCACATGCCTGTGGTCCCAGCTACTCGGGAAGCTTAGGTGGATCACTTGGGCCCAGGAGTTCAAGGCTGCAGTGAGCTATGATCTAAAACAAACAAACAAAAAAAAACACTTTACCCAGTTACTTGGGGGAGGACAGACATTGTGGCATCATTAAAGTTGTTTGAACAACAACAAAAAGGCTGTGTGCATGGCTCACACCTGTAATCCCAGCACTTTGGGAGGCAGAGGTAGGTGGATCGCTTGAGCCCAGGAGTTCAAGACCAGCCTGGGCAATATGGTGAGACCCCGTCTCTGCAAAAAATACAAAAAAAAATTAGTGAGCTGTGAACATGCCACTGCACTCCACACTGGACAGCAGATCAAGGCCCTGTCTTATTAAAAAAGTCAGAACAGGCTGGGCGCGGTGGCTCATGCCTGTAATCCCAGCACTTTGGGAGGCTGAGGTGAGCGGATCACGAGGTCGGGAGATTGAGACCATCCTGGCTAACATGGTGAAACCCCGTCTCTACTAAAAATACAAAAAAAAAAAAAAAAAGTCAGAACAGCGGTTGACTCTGGGGAGTTGGAGATGAGAAGGGGGCAACGGGAACTTTCTGGCAAGTGATAGTGATGTTTTGTATTTGAGAACAGTTTCCTTATGCAGATGTATGCATTTGTTTTGTTCTGGTTTTATTTTTATTTTTATTTTTTTTAGACAGGGTCTTGCTCTGTTGCCCAGGCTAGAGTGCAGTGGTACAATCATAGCTCACTGCAGTGTTGAACTTCTGGACTCAAGTGATCCTCTCACCTCAGCCTCCCAAGTAGCTGGAACTAAAGGTGTGCACCATCATGCCCGGCTAATTTTTTTTTAAGTTTTTGTAGAGATGAGGTCTCACTATGTTGCCCAGGATAGTCTTAAACTTCTGGACTCAAATGACCTTCCTGCCTTGGCCTCCCAGTGAGCCACCGCACCTGGCACTATGCTTTTGTTAAAATTCACTGAATCAAGCAATTAACACCTATGCATTTTACTATATAGATATTTTACATCAAAGACGGGGGAAAAAACCTGTGAATGAATACTGGGCTGTAGTTAACAATGTGCCTGCAGGCCGGGTGCCGTGGCTCATGCCTGTAATCCCAGCACTTTGCAAGGCCCAGGCGGGTGGATCACCTGAGGTCAGGAGTTCAAGACCAGCCTGACCAACATAGTGAAACACTGTCTCTACTAAAAATACAAAATTAGCTGTGTGTGGTGGCGAGTGCCTGTAATCTCAGCTATTTGGGAGGCTGAGGCAGGAAAATCGCTTGAACCCAGGGGGCAGTGGTTGCAGTGAGCCGAGATTGCACCTCTGCATTCCAGCCTGGGTGACAGAGTGAGACTCCGTCACACACACACACACACACACACACACACACACAACAAAAAATTAGGAACAAAACCTAAGTCTGATTATGCTTTTCTGCTCAGAACACTCCACGATACCCAGAGGAAAAGCCAAGTCTTGACAGTGGCCTCTGAGCAGGGCGACCATAAGTTCTGCTGGCCCAGCTTCTGCCTGCCTTCCCAGCGTGATTAGTACTGCCCTTGTTTTCATTCTCCCAGTGTGAAGGATAATTTAAGTGCTTGCCCTGCCTGCGAGGCCCAGCTGACCTGAACTCACTCCCCTGCCCCTCCCTCCCTCCGCTCCAGTCACACTGGCTCTCCTTTGCCCTGGCCATTCCCTCTGCCTGGAATGCCCTTCCCCAGAAACTTGCAAGGCTCTCTCCCTCACCTCCTTCCAGCTTTTCTTCAGCCTTTGCCTCAGTGAGGCCCCTGCCTCGCCCCCGCTTAAAATCACACCCTGCTCTCTCCCCATCTCCCGTTCTGTGCTTGCTTTTTCCAGCGCACTCTAACTTCCTGCTTAGGATATAACTGCCTGAAGGCAGGTGCCATGAGGGCAGGGATTTTTTTTTTTCCTGTGTTCTTTTTTTTTTTGAGACAGAATCTCACTCACCCAGGCTGGAGTGCAGTGGTGCGATCTCGGCTCACTGCAACCTCCGCCTCCAGGGTTCAAGTGAATCTCCCATCTCAGCCTCCCGAGTAGCTGGGATTATAGGCACCCACTACCAGGCCTGGCTAATTCTATTGTATTTTTAGCAGACATGGGGTGTCACCATGTTGGCCAGGCCGGTTTTGAACTCCTGACCTCAGGTGATTTGCCTGCCTCGGCCTCCCAAAGTGCTAGCCACCACGCCCGGCCATTTATTCTGTGTTCTTTAAGCTGCATCCTCAGGTCCTAGAACAGTGCCCAGCAAACAGTAAGTACACAATAAGTACCTATTGCTATGAATAAAGGGAATCCTCTGCCCTCCTGGGGCTTGCAGGCTGGTGCTGAAGAACCAAGCAGACAGGGACCACTACAAAGCAACAGCCACCACTTCACGACATAGCAGAGGAGGGGTCAGGGGCTGAGGGAAGGCAGAAGAGACACCCCAGAAGCTGAGACTTGAAAACTGCTTTGGCATCTGCCAGGCGAAGAGGGGAAGGGAGGGGCTTTCCTGGTGGAGCAGCCAGTGTGAGCAAAACCCAAGGGGTGAGAGATGGCAGCAGGCATCTGGGGGCTGTGAGCAGTTCAGAGAGTGACTGCAGGTGTGGGTATGCAGCAGGCTGTGGGCTCCATCCTGCAGGTAGTAAGGACAGGAAGGTTCTAACTGGGGGCAGTGGCATGGACAGATTTGGGTTTCTGAAAGATTGCCCAGCTACTGGGTGGAGCATGGATTGGAGGTGGGCACCAGGAGGCTGTTAGTTTTGCTGGCACCTAGTAAAGCAGTGTTGCCCTGAAGAAAGGGGCTAACTGGAAAATTACTTAAGACAGAGACCTAACAGGACGTGGTGGTTCCTGGAAGGTGACTCTGACTTCTGGTGTCACCATCTTGGCTGGCTCCTGGGATGGTAGGAATAGGTTGTGGGGAGGATGAGGCTGGGGTCTCTGGGATATCCCAATGGAGATGTGATGCAGCCATTTGGCTCCTGGAGTCTGGAGGTGGGGGTGGAACTTAGAGTCAGAGAATGAGGAACTGTTGATTCAAAGGGCAGGTGGGACCCAGCAGGGAGAGTGTGCACAAAGAGAAGCAAGTCCAGGGCAAGAGACAGTTCCCAGACCAGGAAGAGGGGAGTGCCCAAGGACAGATGAGGGCTCAGAGGGGAGGAGTCAGTGAGCCCCAGAGGTGGGGCCCGAGAGCCAGGGGTAGAAGGATTTCCACAAATAGAGTGTGGAATTTGGGGAGGAGGTGGAAAGGGGAGACAGCAAGGTGGTAAATAAGGGCTGTGGCTCTGGAAGAGATAGCTTTTTAAATTTACCATGTTCACTGTTTTTTTTAAGATACAGGGTCTCGTTCTGTCATGCAAGCTGGAGTGCAGTGGCACAGTCATATCTTACTGCCGCCTCAACCTCCTGGGCTCAAGCGAGCCTCCCGCCTCAGCCTCCCGCCTCAGCCTCCCAAAGTGCTGGGATTCCAGGTGTGAGACACCATATCCAGCCAAACTGGCTTTTTTTTTTTTTTTTTTTTTTTTTTTTTTGAGATGGAATCTCACTCTGTTGCCCAGGCAACCTCCGCCTCCCACGTTCAAGTGATTCTCCTGTCTCAACCTCCTGAGTAGCTGGGACTACAGGCATGCACCACCATGGCTGGCTAATTTTTGTATTTTTAGTAGAGACAGGGTTTCACCGTGTTAGCCAGGCTGGTCTCGAACTCCTGACCTCAAGTGATCCGCCTGCCTTGGCCTCCCAAAGTGCTGGGATTACAGGTGTGAGCCACCACGCCAGGCCCAAACTGGCTTTTAAACCAGGTCAAAGTGCCGGGCGCAGTGGCTCAGGCCTGTAATCCCAGCACTTTGGGAGGCCAAGGCGGGCGGATCACGAGATCAGGAGATCGAGACCATCCTGGTTAACACGGTGAAACCCTGTCTCTACTAAAAATACAAAAAATTAGCCGGGCGAGGTGGTGGGTGTCTGTAGTCCCAGCTACTTGGGAGACTGAGGCAGGAGAATGGCGTGAACCTGGGAGGCGGAGCTTGCAGTGAGCCAAGATCACGTCACGGCACTCCAGCCTGGGCGACAGAGCGAAACTCCGTCTCAAAAAAAAAAAAAAGCCAGGTCAAAGAATGGGGCATGAGAGGGTGGGGGCATGCCTGGGGGGAATCAGGACAGTTTCCTAGGCCCCGTGACCAGGAGAGAGTCAAGAATGGGGGAGACTCAAACTTTAGCTTCTCAAGGCTGCTCAGAAATGGACACCCTGTCTGGGGCCAGGCTTCTGTCCCCAGCCTCAGGGACAGGAGAGTCTCTGGTAACCTCATTTGTAACATGGGGCAATAGGACAAAACCTGCCATTTATTGAGCACTTACTACGTCCCAGGCCAAAGGCTGTCTCTCCATGTGTGGCCTAATTTAACTCTCAGAATACTCTCATCAGGCTGATGTCACTATTATCTCCTATCTCCATTTGTTTTTTTTTTTTTTTTTTTTTTGAGACAGAGTCTCCCTCTTTTGCCCAGGCTGGAGTGCAATGGCGTGATCTTAGCTCACTGCAACCTCCTCCTCCCGGGTTCAAGAGATTCTCCTGCCTCAGTCTCCTGAGTAGCTGAGATTACAGATGCCCCGCAACCATGCCCAAGTAATTTTTCTATTTTTAGTAGAGACAGGGTTTCACCATGTTGGTTAGGCCAGTTTTGAACTCCTGACCTCAGTAATCCAACCACCTCAGCCTCCCAAAGTGCTGGGATTACAGGTGTGAGCCACCATGCCTGGCCTATTATCTCCATTTTATAGATGAGAAAACAGATGCACAGAAAGGTTCAGTCACTTGCTCAAGGTGATACAACAAATGAATGCAGATGCTGAGATTCAAACCCGGAACCTGAATTCTGAGCTTCAACACTGCACCACTAACCCACACAAGGGACTTTCCCATTTACAGAACACTCTCCTCCCTCGGGAGTGGTTGAGGGGAGTCATGAGGTGGCCACACACCCAGCAAACAGCCGACATTACCATGAAGATGGCCCTCCAAAGAAGTCCACATCTGAATCCCCAGAATCTGTGCATGTGTTGCTTTATATGGCACATGGGCTTTTGCAGGTGTGATGAAACTAAGGATTGTGAGATAGGAAGAGTGTCCTAGATTATTCAAATGGGCCCAGTGTCATCACAGGGTCCTTGGAGGAAGGAGGCAGGAGAGTTAGAGAAGATGTGACGATGGAGAGAGATTGGAAGATGCTACACTGCAGGTAGCCTCTAGAAGCCGGAAAAGGCAAAGAAAGAGATCCTCCTCTGGAGGGAACTACTGCTGAGACCTTGACTTTAACCCAGTGAGACTAACTTTGGACTTCTCCAGAACTGTAAGAGAATCAATGTCTGTGGCTTTTTCTTTTTTTTTTTTTTGAGATGGAGTCTTGCTCCATCACCCAGGCTGGAGTATAGTGGTGCGATCTCGGCTTACTGCAACCTCCCGGATTCAAGCAGTTCTCCTGTCTCAGCTTCCCGAGTAGCAGGGATTACAGGCGCCCGCCACTATGCCCAGCCAACTTTTGTATTTTTAGTAGAGACGGAGTTTCACCTTGTTGGTCAGGCTGGTCTCACACTCCTGACCTCAGGTGATCCACCCACCTCGGCCTCCCAAGGTGCTGGGATTATAGGCATGAGCCACTGTGCCTGGCTAATGTCTGTGGCTTTGAGCCCCTATATGTGTGGCAATTTGTTACAGCAGTGATAAGAAACAGTTACACTACATTGCAGCAAGCCTGGCTTCCCTGGACAGCACTGGCTCCACCAACACCACTGCAGCTGCTGTCGGAAGCATCCTTACATTTCCTTTGTTTGTTTAGACACAGGGTCTTGCTTTGTTGCCCAGATTTGAGCACAGTGGTGCAATCATCACTCACTGCAGCCTCAACTTCCCGGGCTCAAGCAATCTTCCCACCTCAGCCTCCCAAGAAGCTTGGACTACAGGCGCGCACCAGTATGCCTGGCTAATTTTTTCATTTTTGTCTTGCTTTGTTGCTCAAGCTGGTCTCAAACTCCTGGCCTCAAGCAGTCCTCCCACCTGTGCCTCTCAAAGGCCTGGGATTACAGGTGTGAGCCACCACACCTAGCCTACAGTTTTTAATGCTTCTTTAAAGTTCCAATTTGGTCCTCTCTGAACCTCAGTATCTTTCTTTATTAAAAATAAAAATAGGGCCAATATACATGACCCTATAGGCACAGAGTGAGAGGGCCTTATATTACTCGAAGCTTCCCACAAACCCCTGGGGCAGATGAGGCCTAGTTATTGTTCCCATTGCTCAGATGAACAAACTAAGGCTGAGAGTAGAAACAGCCTGCCTAGAGCCACTCAGGGAGTAACAGAGCCAGGACTTGAACCAGGGCTTCTGACTTGAGTTCTAGCACAGAGGTTCATGTCTCAGAGCCCAGCTCACATGCCACCTCCTCAGAGAAGCCTGCCTGGAAAACCCCAGCCCATTCATGTATTCATTTATTCATGAAGCAGCTGCTGGGACTGCCCTGTTCCCAGTGTTGTGTGGAGACCCCTCAGGAGCCCACAGCCTCGTAGACAAGACAGACACACAAACCACGGATCCCAGAACAGCCTGATAAATGATGAAACAAGGAGAATGAAGCCCAAGGGGTTGCTGGAGCTCAAAAAAGGGGAAACTCACTGAGCCTGGAGTCAGGGAAGGCTTCTCGGAGGAGATGGTGATTGAGATGGGGATAAGTTAGACCCAACCAGAAGTGTGGCCAGGCATCCCAGGTGGAGGAGTGGCTTCTTCAGGGCAGGGAATGGGTTGGTCATCCCAGGCCCCCAAGTCCCTCTGGGCCTCTGTGTTATTATGTATGAAACGTGAATAGGCTGGGCGCGGTGGCTCACGCCTGTAATCCCAACACTTTAGGAGGCCAAGGCAGGAGGAACACTTGAGCCCAGGAGTTCAAGACCAGCCTGGGCAATGTAGCGAGACCCCATGTCTACAAAAAATAAAATTAGCAGGCTGGGCATGGTGGCTCATGCCTGTAATCCCAGCACTTTGGGAGGCCGAGGCGGGCAAATCACTTGTGGTCAGGAGTTTGAGACCAGCCTGGCCAACATGGCAAAACCCAGTCTCTACTAAAAATACAAAAATTAGCCGGGCGTGGTGGCAGGCACCTCTAATCCCAGCTACTCAGGAGGCTGAGGCAGGAGACTTGCTTGAACCCAGGAGGCAGAGTTTGCAGTGAGGCGAGATTGCGCCATTGCACTCCAGCCTGGGCAACAAGAGCAAAACTCTCTAAAAAAAAATAGTGATAAATAAATAAATAAATAAATAAAATTAGCTGAGTATGGTGGCACACACCTGTGGTCCCGGCTACTTGGGAGGCTGAGGTGGGATGTCAAGGCTGCAGTGAGCCATGATCGCACCACTGCACTCCTGCCTGGGCAACAGAACAAGTCTGTGTCTCAAAAAAAAAAAAAAAAAAAAAAGAATCATGGCCTAGCTACCCAGAGTTTTGATAATTGTTAGGCCCAGGCGAGGGCTGAGCAGGAAGAGGGGTCCTGGGCCTCCCAGAGGAGGAGGTGAAGGTCGGGAGATAGGACAGACCTGGGAAGTACTGAGAGGCAGGGTCCTGGCTCAAGCCCCCACCCCACTCTGCCTTGTGGTGTCACTACAGGAAGGTCCTCTCAGAGCCTCAGTGACCACATCTGAGCAATGGTGCATGAGACAAAACTGTCTCCAAAGACCCTCCCCAGCCCTGACGGGGAAATGACATGACACAAAATTACAAAAGGGTCTTTATTTGTAAAAAGCCAAAGGGGCCCCTGGGGCAACAGGACAGGCAGGCCGGCTTCTCAGGGGTCAGGGGCATTTGGGCAGATGCGCTTGAGTGGGGGGGCACCCTCCGAGTCCTCTGTGTCACCCTGGGCTGCCTCAGGGACAGGTGGCACTGGCTCAAAGACAGGGTAAGCTTCGGGGGCCTGGAGAGGAAGGGTGGACAGGCGTGAGCTCCACAGAACCCAGGCGTCCAGCCTCTGAGCCTCTGCCTTCTCCAAAGCCTCCACTCCCCTCCCCTCCTGGGCCCGGGAGGCAAGCCCAGGGCCAGATGCCCAGGATGCAGAGGAAGCAGGCACCAAAAACAACAACGACAGTGACACTGTGTGGAGGAACGAACCTGATATTTGATATTTCTGAAAATGCCTCGAGGTAGCCTCGTGAGAAATGTCAGAGGTTTATAAGGAATTTTCTTATGCTAATTATACAGTTAGATATTTTTTGATATTTTTTGAAAATGCATGGAGGAGCGCCATGATTTTGTCAGGCTTTATTTATTTATTTATTTTTGAGAAGGAGTCTCGCTCTGTCACCCAGGCTGGAGTACAGTGGCGCGATCCTGGCTCACTGCAGCCTCCGCCTCCCGGGTTCAAGCAATTCTCCTGCCTTAGCCTCCCGAGTAGCTGGGACTACAGGCACGTGCCACCACGCCCGGCTAATTTTTGTATTTTTAGTAGAGACGGGGTTTCACCGTGTTAGCCAGGATGGTCTCGATCTCCTGACCTCATGATCCACCCGCCTCCGCCTCCCAAAGTGCTGGGATTACAGGCGTGAGCCACCACGCCCAGCTTTGTCAGGCTTTTAATGGTCTCAATCAGCCCTGATCCAGCCCTCAGCACTTTGTCTCTGAAACACCCTTTCTTTTTCAGTCCCAAGAACCCAGCCCCTAAGCCTTCAGCTCTGTCCCAGGTCTGCCTCTCCTCCAGGCCCTCAGGACGCAGGCTCCAAGCCTTCGACTGCCCAGATCCCCCATTCCCTCCAAGACCCAGGAGTCCAGCCTTCTGGCCTCTCTCACCTCAGCTTCCAGCAGTTCTGGAACAGGCTCCTCCTTGGTCAGCATTGGGGGTTCGTCGGTGCTGCCAGCAGTTATGCCCCCGGGATCTGGAACGTCAAGGTAACAAACATCCCCTGAACAGCCACTCTGTGCCAGCAGCACAGACAGTGGGGGAAACAGATGGTCACAGGCCCCAGTCACAGAGGGCAGAGGGCCATGGGAGCAGAGAGGAGAGAGCAGGAACCTGGCTGTGCCCCAGGAAGCAGAGGAGGGAACACTGATGTGGGAGCTCGAGGGTGATGCGGTGGACAGGAAAGTATGACACGTGAGACAGAGGGAATGCATGCTAAGTTGCCACAGATTCTGGGCTTGGACTGCCTGGGTTCAAATCCTGACCTTGGGCCAGCTACTTCATTTCCATGGGCCTCAGTTTCCCCATCTGTAAAATGGGGATAATGATAGTAATTACCTCATGTGGCTGTTGTGAGGGTCAGATGAGCGGATGCAGGTAAAGCACAGTGGCTGGCACACAGTAAGTGCTCAATAAATGCTTGCTACCATTTTTATATTAGCAAAGGTATACAACTGCTTGGCACTGTCTAGACCCAGACCCAGTCCACAGGCCCACATCAGGGTTTTCTTTTTGTGTGTTTGTTTGTTTTAGTTTTTGAGACAGAGTCTCGCTGTGTCCCCCAGGCTGGAGTGCAGTGGCGCGATCTCGGCTCACTGCAACCTCCGCCTCCCAGGTTCAAGTGATTCTCCTGCCTCAGCCTCCCTAATAGCTGGATTACAGGCATGTGCCACCACGTCCCGCTGATTTTTTGTATTTTTAGTAGAGACAGGGTTTCACATTCTGGGAGGCTGAGGCAGAAGGATCGCTTGAGCCTAGGAGTTTGAAACCAGCCTGGGCAACATAGTAAGACCCTGTCTCTATAAAGAATAACAACACTAATTAGCTGAGCATGGTGATGCATGCCTGTAGTCCCAGCTACTCAGGAGGCTGACTGAGCCCAGGAATCCAAGGCTGCAGTGAGCCGTGATCACGCCTCTGCATTCCAGCCTGGGCGACAGAGTGAGACCTTGTCTCAAAAAAAAAAAAAAAAAAGCAAAGCTTAAAAAATGAAGGAAAAAGTTGTTCTGGCAGCTGTGTGGAGGTGACTAGAAGAGACCAGCTGGAACCAAAAACGGGTGAGAAATGGGAAGGCCAGGGACAGGGAGCCTAGGAGGAAGAGGTGCCAATCAGACGGGTTTGACTGCATGGAAGAAAGCAGAGCTGGCTGGGCACGGTGGCTCAAGCCTGTAATCCCAGCACTTTGGGAGGCCGAGGCAGGTGGATCACGAGGTCAGGAGTTCAAGACCATCCTGACCAACATGATGAAACCCCGTCTCTACTAAAAATACAAAAATTAGCCGGGTGTGGTGTTGTGCAGCCTGTAATCCCAGCTACTCAGGAGGCTGAGGCAGGAGAATTGCTTGAACTTGGGAGGCGGAGGTTGCAGTGAGCAAGATCGTGCCACTGCACTCCAGCCTAGGTGACAGAGTGAGACTCCATCTCAAAGGAAAAAAAAAAAGCAGAGCTGATGAGGACACAGGCCCAAGATGCTGGCTCACTGGCTGAGTTACTTCTCTGGGTCTCAGTTTCCTCATCTATAAATAGGGATCATAACAAGATCATCACCCTTATAAGGTTGTAGTAAAAATTAAATGAGAAAAAAACACGTAAAGTGTTGGCTGGGCACGGTGGCTCACACCTGTAATCCTAGCACTTTGGGAGGCCGAGGCGGGCGGATCACCTGAGGTCAGGGGTACGAGACTAGCCAGGCCAACATGGTGAAACTCCATCTTTACTAAAAATACAAAAATTAGGCCAGGCACGGTGGCTCACGCCTGTAATCCCAGCACTTTGGGAGGCTGAGGCAGGCGGATCACCTGAAGTCGGGAGTTCGAGACCAGCCTGGCCAACATGGAGAAACCTCGTCTCTACTAAAAATACAAAATTAGCGGGGCATGGTGGTGCATGCCTATAATCCCAGCTACTCGAGAGGCTGAGGCGGGAGAATCGCTTGAACCCGGGAGGCAGAGGTTGCGGTGAGCTGAGATTGTGCCATTGCACTCTAGTCTGGGCAACAAGAATGAAACTCTGTCTCAAAAACAAACAAACAAATAAACAAAAAAAACAAAAATCAGCCGGGCATGGTGGCATGCCTGTAATCCCAGCTACATGGGAGGCTGAGGCAGAAGAATCGCTTGAACCTGGGAGGCAGAGTTTGCAGTGAGCCAAGATCGTACCACTGCTCTCCAGCCTGGGCAACAGAGCAAGACTTCATCTCAAAAAAAAAAAAAAAAAAGGCTGGGCGTGGTGGCTCGTAATCCCAGCACTTTGGGAGGCCAAGGCGGGCAGATCACCTGAGGTCAGGCGTTTGAGACCAGCCTGGCCAACATGGCGAAACCCCAACTCTACTAAAAATACAAAACCAGCCGAGCATGGTGGTTCATGCCTATATTCCCAGCTACCCAGGAGGCTGAGGCAGGAGAATTGCCTGAACCCAGGAGGTGAAGGTTGCAGTGAGCCAAGATTGTGCCGTCGCACTCCAGCCTTGGCAAGAGCGAAACTCTCTCAAAGAAAAGAAAAAGAGAAAAGAAAAAAACCCAACCACGTAAAGTGTTTACCAGGGCACCTAGCACACAGTAAGAGCTCAATAAATACTAGCTGTTGTTATTCCTATTATTGTTAATCACCCCTATGACTATCACTATTATTTATTCACTCAACAGATATTTACTGAGCACCTACTATGTGTCCCATATTATTCTGAGGATACAGTAGTGAACAAGATCACATAGGGCCAGGCACAGTGACTCACGCCTATAATCCCAGCACCTTGGGAGGCTGAGACAGGAGGATCATTTCAGGCCACGAGTTCAAAACCAACCTTGGCAACATAGCGAGACCCTACCTCTACAAAAAATTTAAGAATTGGCTGGGCATGGTGGCACACACCTGAGTCCCAGCTATTTGGGAGGCTGGGGCCAGAGGATCCCTTGAGCCCAGGAGTTTGAGGCTGCAGTGAGCTATGATTGCACCAGAGTACTCCAGCGTGGGTGACAGAGACCTTGTCTCTAAAAAAAAGGGGGGGGAGGGCCGGGTGTGGGTGTGATGGCTCACACCCGTAATCCCAGCACTTTGGGAGGCTGAAGGTGGAGGACTGCTTGAGCAAGTGAGTTTGAGACCAGCCTGGGCAACATGGTGAAACCTTATCTCTACAAAAAATACAAAAATTAGCCAGGTGTGGTGGCATATGCCTGTGGTCCCAGCTACTTGGGAGGCTGAGGCGGGAGGATCGCTTGAGCCCAGGAAGTTCAAGGCTGCAGTGAGCTATGATCACACCACTATACTACTCCAGCCTGGGTGACAGAGCGAGACCCTTTCTCAAAAAAAAAAAAAAAAAAAAAAAAAAAAAAGGATCAATATGGGCCCAACATTCAGGAAACTGACATGAGAGTGAGGAGAAAGATAAACTAGTAAAAAATTAATTTACATGAAAATCTCAGACAGTGATATGTCTGTATAGATTCTAAGAGACCAGAGGAATGAGACTGTAGCTACAGGGAGATTCTGCAGGAGTCGGAAGGCGCCTTGAGGAGGGTGCACAAGACGGGGAGCAGGTATAGGGATGAGCTGGTAGGTTAGACTCTGGAGAAGACAGGACTTAGAGGAGAGAGCTCCTGGGAGGTACCTGGTCCTACCTCTCTCTTGGCCCAGCCGTGGGGGCTGAGCCTCCTCAGGGACCCCTTCTGGGGGTCCGGCAGGTGACACAGGGCGGCTGGGCTGGGGGGTGCCCCCAGGACTGGGCTCTGTGCCCTTTTGCAGGGAACCTTCCGAATGGAAACTCTGGTTGCTGTTCTCATCTGCGGGAGCAAGAGCCGAGATGGTTGGCCTGAGATCCCTAGTACACTCCTTCAGTCCCCACAGCCCCCCGCGTTTCAGGATCCCTACCTACCATTAAGATCCAGCAGGATGAGAGGGCCACCCCCTCGGGGACTGGCGCCCCTGCCCCGACGTTCCCGGCCACGGGATCTCTCTGCCCCGCCACCTGCCCGCCTTCGCTCCTGGGGGTTAGAGGATTAGGGTCAGAGCTCTTGGAAAGCCCCACCATACACCTAAGGAAACTGAGGCACTGAGAAGCAAAAGGGCTCAAACTCAGGGGGTGTGGAGCAGAAAAGAGGGCAAAAGGGGAGGAGCTGCTAATGATGGTTCCCGTCTGTCCTGCTGCATCTGAGGTCTCGGGGAGCTGGAGGTAGAGGTCAGCGTGGGGAGGAACTTGCCTGAGGTTGCACAGATGCAGGGCCTTGTGGGAATGGGGGTTGCTCACCTCCTCCTGGGGATCCACCACTGGCACCCACTTGAAGATACGAAGGGAAGTGTCGCCCACAGTCACCCATCGCTTCTCCCTGTGGGAGGGTGGGGGGCTGGGTCAGAGAGGCCTGAGGGGAGACCCACCCCCCTAGGAGCTGGACACATCTGGGGGTACCTGCAGAGGTTGAGGAGGCACAGGAGGATAGCAACAGTTTTGCTAATGGGGCATAGTTACATGGAGGAAGAGAGTCCTGCAAACCCCAGGGCATAGGCGGTGGGTGCCTCTAGAGAGAGGATATGATTTGGGGCCCTGGCTCTGCGGACCCCTGGGGCACACATGGGGGGCGTGGCTATGGGCCTGGCCCGGGATCAGAGCCCTGCAGATCCTGGGGCGCACCTGCAGGAGGGGTGTCAAAGCTTTAGGGGGCGGGGCACAAGAGGGGGCTCCCGCTCTGGGAGGACACGGCTGGGGATCACGCTTTGTAGACCCCCAGGAGTAGCCAGGCGAACGGGGACAGAGCCCTGTGGATCCAGGGCAAAGCTAGTGGGTGGAGATACACCGAACACCCGGGGCCCAGAGCTGGCGAGGGCAGCGTAGACGCCTTTGGTGCTGGTGGTCCCGCTGTGTCCCGTCCCTGGCCCCC
The DNA here is from genome assembly GCF_000001405.40 of Homo sapiens. Lineage (NCBI taxonomy): Eukaryota > Metazoa > Chordata > Mammalia > Primates > Hominidae > Homo > Homo sapiens. The sequence continues at coordinate 30,893,840 of NC_000016.10, forward strand.
GAGCAGCGCTCACCATCTCCGGACCTTCTCGATGGTCGCCATCACCTTCTTGATGTCATCCTTGGCCCGGCTCCGGGTCTCGGCCCGTACAGTCCGGCCGGCCATGCTGGCGGGGCTGGGGCCGGGGCCGAGCCCGCGGCGGGGCCGCCTCCCGTCCGGCGGGCTCAGGCTCCGCGCCAGGCCCGGGCGCCGCGCTCTCGGCCTGCCGTCCCCCCTGGAGTTGGCCGCGCCCTCTCTCGTCCCCAACGCCTCCGCAAGTCCCCGCCCCGTTTCCTGCCGCCGCGCCCCGCCCCGGCCTGTCCCCGGAGCGGCCCGGTGGCGCGGGCGGCCAGAGCCCAGGCCTGGAAGCCCGGCCGGCCCCGCCCCGACCCGGGCCCGCCCCCTTGGAGCGCCTGGACGCTCAGCGCCCCCTGCCCGCCGCCGAGAGCGGGAGTTGGGGACGGACGCGCGAGTTGGGGACGGAGAGCGGGAGTTGCGACCGGACGCGCGAGGCAGGGCCGAGGCCGTGTGTTCAGACCACGTGGGCGCGGGGTGCGCGACAGGGTCTGTGTCCTGCGCTGCGTGAGCCGCGGTGGGTGTCCGCGAAACGCTGTGTGTGGAGTGCGTGCGTGTGTCCGCCCTCGCCAGGCTGTTGGTCTACACCGCCCAACTTACTCAGTCATCCATTCATTCAACAGTCTTGTTAACTGAGTGCCAATTACGCTCCAGGCGCTGCGAATACGAGTGGGTCTCCACCACCAGAATGGCTAAAGTGAAAAAGACCGCACCGTGTGGAGGCGAGAAAGTAGAGCGACTGGACCTCTCTTGTATTTCTGGGGGAGTGTAAATTGGTAGAGACATTTTGGAAAACTGGCAGTTTTCTAATGAAGCCGAACATATGCCACCTCTGTGATCCAGCAGTTCCACTCCTAGGCTGTCAACACCCAGCAGAAATGTGTAGGTGTGAGCATCAAGAGGGTGCATGGGAATGTTCAGAGCCCTTTCATAACAGCCCCAAACTGGAAATAACCCATCAACAGAATGGAAAATGAATGATGCCCTACTCACTACCATGCACATAGACACAGCAACGGGATTGACATGCCCGGCTACACACAGCAACATAGACAAGTCGCATGATGAAATCTTGAGTGACAGAAGCCAAATGCAACAGTACATACTAGATGGTTCCAGGTGTATTACGTTCAGAACCAGACAAAACTAATTTATAGTGCACCAAAGTCAAGATAGTGATCGCCCTTAGGGTTGGGAGGGGACGAGGGGAGAGCTTCTGGGAGCTGATCCAGTTCTGTTGTGTAATCTGGTGCTGGTTCCCTGGGCATATGTATTCTGTGAAAATCCATCACATGACTTAAATAAAATGTACATTACTTAAATAAAATGAGTGTGTCTTTGTTGACTTTATTTGAGGCTGGCTTGTCAGCAGATAAGACCATGTCAAAATTTGTGCTGCTGTTGTGTGTGTGTGTGTGTTTCAAGGTGTGGCTGTTGTGTCTGTGAATTTGGGCGTGACCATGTCCAGAGGTTAAGGGTATAAGGGGTTAGGAGCATGGTTAAGACAGCATTTTTTTGAGCCAAGCTGCTTAGGTAAAATCCCAGTTGTGCCACACCTAACTGTGTTACCCTGGACAAGTCACTTCTCTCTATTCCGCATCTATAACACAGGAGTTAGTTAATGTGCATATGGCTCTTAGAACAGTGCCCAGCACATGGTAAATGCCCAATAAATATTTACAGTTAATACACATGTGATTGTGGGCCCTACCAATTGTCTGGCTCAATTCTATCTGCTGTGCCCTCTCCAGTTAAACTCTTTCTTCTTTTATTCCAGCAATTGCTCACGGCAATACACACACCCACTCACACGAACACACGCACACACATGCACGCGCACATGCACACACGCGCACACCTGCACACTCACACGCACACAAATCCACTCGCACACACGCATGCTCACACGCACACACGTCCGCATGCACGCACACACGCAGACACACGCAAGCGCACACACACACGGGCCTCCTCGTCTTCATTCACAAACCCCATTAGCTTCTGTTGTCTATGGGCTTCCTCGACAGACCGCGAGCCCCTCGCGGGGGCCAGAAACCAAGTATGGATCATCCCTATGTGCCTTCCTTTCCGTCTACACCAGGTTAATGGGGTTGACGTATGGGTGTGACTTCCTGTCCAGGTCTCTGTAGCTTGTTCTCCTGGGGGTGGGGGGCGGGGTGTGATTGTTACTAGGCCTGCTAAGAAGAGGAGAGCAGTGTATCTGTCTCCCTCCTGGTGGGTGTGACAATGAGATTGGAAGCCATCTAAGATAGGCCAGGAGATGTATGTCTGGACAAACATGCCCCAAGCCTGACGGCCCCCATCGTAGCCTCCCTCGCAAGCCGCGCCCCAGACTAGAGAGAGGGCCTGCGCATTCCTGTCCTGCCAGTCCGGCAGTTCCCTCTCCTGTCTCCTCAGCTTTACACCCAAAGCAGCCGCTGCCTCAGGTCCAAGCCTGAGCCCGCGGCAGAACATTGGGCTGCCTCCCAGGCCCTGACACCCCCAGCCCCGAGGTCCTGTCCACCCGGCAGACAACTTGCCTTCCCCCTCGGGCCCCTTCCCCCACTAGGCCCCACGGACGAGGAGCTGAGCTCAGGGCCAAGGAATCCTGTCTCAAAAGGGGGGGTAGGATGAAATGTTTGGGGTCTGGGCTCTGATTGGCTGCGCCCGGGCCACGCCCCCAGCCCTTTCCCCTTTCTCCCCCCTCGAAAGGGGGGCGTGAAGGGAGCCGGGATCAGCCAGGGGCCAGCATGAGCCGGAGGGAGGGAAGTCTGGGTAAGGGGCTGAGGGACCGGACGCCGGGTCGCTGAGGGGCGCAGGAGTCAGAGGGATTGGGAGCTGGGGGTCTGGGTTTCCGCCACCCCCGGGTCCGGGAGGGGAGCGGCCTTGGCGGGGAAGGGCAGGGCTCCGGTGTCAGGTAACGAGTGAGCGGGTGAGTTGTGAGAAACAGCAGGCGCTAGGGTTTAGAGGAGGCCTGGGGCTGAGGTTTCAGGGACCTGGGCTCAGGGCTTAGATCACCGGTTCGAGTACACCCAGGGGGAGGACTGGGGTCGGGGCTGGGGCAGGACCCCTGCGTCCACTGAGTCTCGGGAAAGAATCAGAGCTGGGGGGCTGAAGGAAGGGGTAGAGTAAGGGAAGGCAGTCTTGGAGTCACAGGAAGTAGTGAGTGACAACAGGAGACGAAAGTCTGGGCTGCTGAGGATCGCGACTGGTGCTGGGAAACTTCGGGGGTGGGGCGGGGGCGGGGCACCGGGTCAGGACTACATTCCCCAGCACGCATCGGGCGCGCGCTGTGCGTTTCGGGAAATGGAGTCCCTCCCGGGGCGCCAGACACTGGCTCTTGCGGACCTTGATTCGCTGACTAGCCAGGCCAGCGCCTTGCATGGATGGGGCATCAGGGAGAGAAATGGAAATGGAAGTCAGTCTCCCTATCTGTAAAATGGGCCTTCAAGGCACATTTTGATATGAAGTTCTGTACTTCGATGATGTTGAAGTCCACTAGCAGTCACTGAGGTAGAAATATGTAAGCCCTGTCTTCAAAGGGCTCTCAGGCTAAGGCAGATACACACAGAAAAGCCGTTAAAAGAGCTACCCTGGAACTCATGCAAATGGCCTTAAGTCAAAGGAAGGAGTTCGTTTATAAAGGAGAAGTGATTCTGGAGGCTTCACTGAGGAGGCAGTACAGTCATGCACTGCATAACAACATTTGGTCAACAGGTGGACCGCACAGACAATGGAGGTCCCATAAGATTCTATGCATTTTTAGCCTGGGCAACATGGCGAAACCCTGTCTCTACAAAAAAATACAAAAATTAACCGGGCATGGTGGCGCATGCCTGTAGTCCCAGCTACACAGGAGACCCAGGCGGGAGGATCGCTTGAGCCCAGGAGGTCGAGGCTGCAGTGAGCCAAGATTGCACCACTGCACCCCATCCTGGGCGAAAGAGCAAGACTCCGTCTCTCTCTCTCTCTCTCTTTCTCTTTTGGGATGGAGTCTTTCTCTGTTGCCAGGCTGGAGTGCAGTGGCCTTGGCTCACTGCAACCTCTGCCTCCTGGGTTCAAGCAATTCTCCTGCCTCAGCCTCCCAAGTAGCTGGGACTACAGGCGTGTGCCACCAAGTCCAGCTAATTTTTTTTTTTTTGTATTTTTAGTAGAGATGAGGTTTCATCATGTTGGCTAGGATGGTATTGATCTCTTGACCTCGTGATCCACCTGCCTCAGCCCTCCAAAGTGCTAGGATTACAGGCGTGAGCCACTGCGCCTGGACAATTTTTTTTTTTTTTTTTGAGACGAAGTCTCGGTCTGTCACCCAGGCTGGAGTGCAGTGACCTGATCTCAGCTCAATGCAACCTCCTCCTCCCAGGTTCAAGCGATTCTCATGCCTCAGGCCCCCTGGTAGCTGGGATTACAGGCACCCACCATCATGCCTGACTAATTTTTGTATTTTTAGTAGAGACAGGGTTTCACCAGATGGTCCCGAACTCCTGACTTCAAGTGATCCGCCCGCCTCATCCTCCCAAAGTGTGGGATTAAAGGCGTGAACCACTGAGCCCAATGCCTGGCTAATTTTTGTATTTTTAGTAGAAACGGGGTTTCACCATGTTGGCCAGGCTGGTCTCAAACTCCTGACCTCAAGTGATCTGCCCATCTCGGGCTCCCAAAGTGCTGGGATTACAGGCGTGAGCCACCACGCCTAACCGATATATATTATATAATAAAATACATACCTATATATGTATTTTAACTGTAGCTTTTCTATGTTTTTATTTATTTATTTATTTAGAGATAGGGTCTTACTCTGTTGCCCAGGCTGGAGTGCAGTGGCACACTCACAGCTCACTGCAGCCTCGACCTCCCGGGGTTCAAGTGATCCTCTCATCTCAGCCTCTCAATTAGCTGGGACTACCGGCATGTGCCACTATGCCTGGCTTATATTTGTATTTTTTGTAAAGATGGGGTTTCACCATATCGCCCAGGCTGGTCCCAAACTCCTGGGCTCAAACAATCCACCTGCCTTGGCCTCCCGAAATGCTAAGATTACAGACATCAGCAATCTCACCTGGCCCTTTTCTATGTTTAGATACACAAATACCACTGTGTTCCAGTTGCCTGCTGTACTGTAACATGCTGTCCAGGTCTGCAGCCTAGGAACAATTGACTAACACCACATAGCCTGGGCGTGTAGCAGGCTGTACCACCTAGGTTTGTGTAAATACACTCTACGATGTATTTACGTACTCTACGATGAAATCGCCTAAGGATGCATTTCTCAGAATGTATCCATGTTGTTAAGCAAGGCATGACTGTCTTTGAATTTGACTTTAATAGGATTTCAACAGTGATTTGGGGACAGGCAATACATTTCAGGTAGACCACCTGCTTGACAAAGTTCTGGTGCCTCATTTTCCTTCAGTTGGAATGGGACAGACCCTGATGGGGTCAGGAACAAAGAGCCAGCGTGGGAGAGGTGATCAATGAGCAGGAGGTTGGCCATCCTCATTCCTCCCCCCTTTCCCACCAGAAGACCCCCAGACTGATTCCTCAGTCTCACTTCTTCCCCACTTGGAGGCCAAGATCCGTCAGACACACAGCCTTGCGCACCTCCTCACCAAATACGCTGAGCAGCTGCTCCAGGAATATGTGAGTGGGAATGGGGGTGGGGGTGCCGGGGGCCTGGGGAATGGGAGCAGACATCACAGAGGTCCTCGATCACCCATTCTCTCAACCTCATTTTCCAACTGTGGAAATCAGGGCTCCTGAGAGGGACAGCAACTTGCCCCTGGCCACACAGCAAATTGGAAGAGGACCCTGTCTGTGACCCAGATGCCACTCTGTCCTCTCCAGCTTAGAGGCACCCTCCTCAGTGCTTTGTTTTTGAGAGGAGGCCTCGCTCTGTCGCCCAGGCTGGAGTGCAGTGGTGCCATTATGGCTCATTGCAGCCTCAACCTCCTGGGCTTAAGCAATCCTCCTGCCTTAGCCTCTCAAGTAGGTGGGGCCACAGGCACACACCATCATGCCTGGGTAATTTTTTCATTATTTTGTAGAGGCAGGGTCTTGCTGTATTGCCCAGGCTGGTCTTGAACTCCTGGGCTCAAGTGACCTTGGTGCTTTAAGTCAGAGGTAGCCAGGTAGCCTGGGGCAGTGAAGAGAACTCTGATCTGTATCTCAGGAAACCGAGGTTCTAGGCTCTGCGTGACCTTGACACCTCCCCTCCATGGGCCTTGGTCTCTCCCCAACAGTAAAAGGAGGCAGCTAAATATGATTAACTCTGAACTCTCCCACCTGGGATATTCAGGGAAGCCAAGAAGAGGTTCCAATCTGGAGCAACAGTTATCCCAAGAGGGCACTTTCACAGAAGACAGGGATCTGCTGACATCTTTAGTTGGGCAGAGGACCCTGCCCAAGGAAAGAAAATATTTCCCCAAATTACCCTCGTGTAGTGAAGGGAGGGTATAGCTTTGAATCAGACTGCAGGCCTGCCAACTTGTTAACTGTGAGCTTGGGCAGTAACAATAACATTAAAAATAATAATGTAACAATTATGGCAGCGGATAGTGGGAGAATAGTGGCATAATAGAACTAGCTTTGGGCTGGGTGCGTTGGCTCATGCCTGTAATCCCATTGCTTTTGGAGGCTGAGGCAGGAGGATTGCTTGAGCTCGGGAGTTCGAGACCAGCCTGGGTAACACAGTGAGCCCTCATCTCTTAAAAAAGAAAAGAATAAAAGAAAAGAAAATAAAAAGGAAAAGAAAAAAATAGCCAGGCGTGGTGGTGTATGCCTGTGGTTCCATCTACTCAGGAGGCTGAGTGTGGAGGATTGCTTGAGCCCTGGAGGCTGTGTGATCAAACCATTGCTCTCCACCCTTGGCGACAGTGTGAGACCCCATCTATTTAAAACAAACAAAGAAAACTAGCTTTGTACTGCTATGAACTTTGGTTCAAATTCCAGCTCTGCCACTTCCTAGGGTAAGTCACTATAGTCACTGTATCTCCAGCCCAACATTTTTTTTTTTTTTTTGAAATGGAGTTTCGCTCTTGTGGCCCAGGTTGGAGTGCAATGGTGCGATCTCAGTTCACTGCAACCTCCGCCTCCCAGGTTCAAGGGATTCTTCTGCCTCAGTCTCCTGAGTAGCTGGGATTACAGTCACCACCACCATATCTGGCTAATTTTTGTATTTTTAGTAGAGATAGGGTTTCACCATGTTGGCCAGGTGGGTCTTGAACTCCTGACTTCAGCTGATCTGCCTGCCTTGGCCTCCCAGAGTGCCTGGATTACAGGCGTGAGTCACCGTGCCCAGCCCCACATTTATCTTTCATTTGTTCATTCATATGATGTTGATTCATTGAGCCCCTGCTCAATGCAGGTACAGAGGTTGGGGAGGATAGGGAAGGGAATGAAGCCCCCTTGGCCCCTGGACTATCTTATATGATTTCCATGAAGACAGGACAGGAAGCTTCCCCATTCATTGTACAGATGAGAAGGCTGAGGCTCAGAGAAGGGAAGTGGTTTTGCCCCAAACTGCACAGCTAGTAAGTGGTGAAGATAGGATTTGAACTCTGGTCTGTAAGGTAACTTTAATAAAAGAGCTGACATTTTTACTGAACTCTTCCTGGGACCAGGCCCTGTCTTGAACACTTGACATGGTCATAACTGCTTTATGAAGTTGCTGCTGTTATTAGGTCCTATTTATTTATTTATTGAGACAGGGTCTGACTCTCACCCAGGCTGGAGGGCAGTGGTGCCATCATAGCTCATTGAAGCCTTGACCTCCTGGGCTCAAGCAATCCTCCCACCTCAGCCTCAGCCTCCGGAACAGCTGGAACTACAGACATGCGCCACCACACTCGCTATTTTTTTTTTTTTTTTTTTTTTTAGAGCTGTGGTCTTGCTGTGTTGCCTAGGCTGGTCTCGAACCCCTGGGCTCAAGTGATTATCTCACCTTGGCCTCCCAAAGTGCTGACCTAAACTGGCCCAGTCTGGGTCCAGTTTAGGGAGGAAGAAACAGGCATTGGTGTCAAGCGCATGCCACTTTGTTTTGCCTTAAACAGAGCAGCTCTGTTAGGAGGGATTATCATCTGCAAGATGAGGAAACTGACACCCCCAGAGAGCGGGTTGGAGAGCCCAGTTAACAGCCCCCTGCCCGTGCTCCGGGGCCCCGCTGACCCGCCGGCCGTGTCTCCGCAGGTGCAGCTCCAGGGAGACCCCTTCGGGCTGCCCAGCTTCTCGCCGCCGCGGCTGCCGGTGGCCGGCCTGAGCGCCCCGGCTCCGAGCCACGCGGGGCTGCCAGTGCACGAGCGGCTGCGGCTGGACGCGGCGGCGCTGGCCGCGCTGCCCCCGCTGCTGGACGCAGTGTGTCGCCGCCAGGCCGAGCTGAACCCGCGCGCGCCGCGCCTGCTGCGCCGCCTGGAGGACGCGGCGCGCCAGGCCCGGGCCCTGGGCGCCGCCGTGGAGGCCTTGCTGGCCGCGCTGGGCGCCGCCAACCGCGGGCCCCGGGCCGAGCCCCCCGCCGCCACCGCCTCAGCCGCCTCCGCCACCGGGGTCTTCCCCGCCAAGGTGCTGGGGCTCCGCGTTTGCGGCCTCTACCGCGAGTGGCTGAGCCGCACCGAGGGCGACCTGGGCCAGCTGCTGCCCGGGGGCTCGGCCTGAGCGCCGCGGGGCAGCTCGCCCCGCCTCCTCCCGCTGGGTTCCGTCTCTCCTTCCGCTTCTTTGTCTTTCTCTGCCGCTGTCGGTGTCTGTCTGTCTGCTCTTAGCTGTCTCCATTGCCTCGGCCTTCTTTGCTTTTTGTGGGGGAGAGGGGAGGGGACGGGCAGGGTCTCTGTCGCCCAGGCTGGGGTGCAGTGGCGCGATCCCAGCACTGCAGCCTCAACCTCCTGGGCTCAAGCCATCCTTCCGCCTCAGCTTCCCCAGCAGCTGGGACTACAGGCACGCGCCACCACAGCCGGCTAATTTTTTATTTAATTTTTTGTAGAGACGAGGTTTCGCCATGTTGCCCAGGCTGGTCTTGAACTCCGGGGCTCAAGCGATCCTCCCGCTTCAGCCTCCCTAAGTGCTGGGATTGCAGGCGTGAGCCACTTTCCCAGCCTCTCTTTGCTTTGCCTGCCCCGTTCTCTTAACTCTTGGACCCTCCTCGTCTGCATGGTAACTCCGTCTGAGTCTACCATTTTCTTGCTCTCCCTCCTTCCTTGGGCCTGCCTCAGTTCCCTTTGGCCTCCCCCTTTACCCAGCTCTTGGGGTGTCTCTGTTTTTTCCATCCCCACTTCCTGCCTTCTCGTGGCCCTGTGTGAGCACATGTGTACATCTCAGCCTTATCTCAAGGAGGTGACACCTTCTCTCCTTGTCCCCATCTGGCTGTCTCTCTGTGCTTCCCTGGCCAGGGGCGTGCCTGCTGGTCCTATGGGGGGAAGGCTACTCTGCATCTCAGCCACCTTCCTCAGGCTCACTCCACCTACATCCCCAGTCTGCCACACCCCATCCCTTTGGGCCTCAGCCCTGTCCCTTTGATGTCCTCCTTTCCTTCAGCCCCTCTGCCCTGTCCCTGCACACCTCCACTGCCTCCCAGCAGATCTGTGGAGACAAAACAAGCAACACCTTAAAAGAGTTTTATTTCTGAAAATAAATTAATTTTTTGTAAATAAAATGTTTAAAAATAAAAAAGAAACTAAAGTTACTTGTATATATAGTTGTTGAAAATGGGGAGACAGCTTTAGGGAGAAAAGGACCCTTGGGATGCAGCCTAGTCCCCCAGACATGCCCAAGAAGCCCAGCAGTATAAATAGGAGGCTGACAGCCCCTGGCCAGTGGTGCCCTCTGCCAGCCCAGAACAGGAAGTGGATGTGTCCTAACAGGAAACAGATGTGATGCAGTCCTTAGTTCTTCAAGAATTGGGCTTCCATGGATCAGGAAGTGGAGCCCCTGAGGACAGGAAGTGGAACAGTAGCCCCAGAGAGACAGGCCAAGGAGGGGAGCCAATGAACTTCAGCAGGAAGAAGGAAGCCTATCCGCTTAGAAAGGCGGGCTCTTCATACAGCGAATGAGGCAGACAGAGACAGGAAGGCAGCCCCAACCGTCCCAAAATTACAAAAAAGGGAAGGTCTCAGGGAGAGCCTAGGAAGGGGACCAACTGTCCTCTCCCTGTAGAGTGACAGGTGAAGCCTCTTTGGAGAGGTGCATCTTTCCAACCAGGAAGTGGACACCCAGTACCACTGGATGGGTAACCCATGGAATGGCATCCATGGAGGTTGACCCAGACCTAGAACGCAGGCCAGAGGACCTGGGCCGGAAGGCCCTGAAATAAGGAAATTGAGGCCTGGCTCCCAGGAAATATTCCCATACATGGCACCCAAGCCCCATCTGCTAGATGAGGTTTATCTCCTTTTCTAGCCCACAAGCAAGGCAGAAAAGAGGCCATTGTGAAAGAGGAAGTGCTGCAGCCTCTGACAGGAAGTCCTACCCCTCTATGCTGAGTACTTAGCCTTGAGCAGAGCCAAGTCTCTCACAGCTCGGTCTGTCCAGTGGCCATATTCCCGGGTCACCACGTAGCCTCGACATTTCCTCTCAAAGGCCGAGGCCCCAAAGGCAGCAAGCCCTAGAGTATCCTCTTCTGGGGGGATTGGCAGCCCCAGGGCCGTCATGATGGCGGCCATATTGCCCAGCAGGCCTTGGGCCCTGAGTCTCGCAGCCCCGAGCTGAGCCGGCAGGATGGGACTGCCAGGGTTCAGGTCGCTCTGGTCGTCCTCCACGAGCTGGAGGTGCTGGGTCAATGGCCCTCTGGGCAAGGCTCAGCCGTTCCCCGTCATCCAGGGCGTGCCAGGTCTTAAAGAAGGCGGTGGCAGGAGGCAGGCTGCTGAGCTGGAGCTCAGGGGCTGAGAAGCCAGGGTCACTAAAGGGGCTGCCCTGGTACTGGAGCTGCAGGAGGGACAGAGACAGACAGGAGTGAGGGGACCAGAGCGGTGCCTGGGACTCTGACTTCACGCCTGCCCACTGAGACTGGCTTCTTCCCAGGAGTCGTCACTTGCTGCGTCTCAGGGAGCTGCTGGGATGTCCTGACACAGGGCAAGGGCCCTAGGAGGCTCAGGTGTGTCATCCTCTGCACGCTAGCTGTGCAACGTGGAGTCACAAGCTTCAGAAATTCCCACCTGGCAGTGTTATGAAGATTATAGGAAATAATATATATAAAGCCCTTAGCAGGCCGGGCACGGTGGCTCACAGCTGTAATCCTGGCACTTTGGGAAGCCGAGATGGGTAGATCACTTGAGGTCAGGAGTTTGAGACCAGCCTGGTTAATATGCCAAAACCCTGTCTCTACTAAAAATACAAAACTTAGCCAGCTGTGGCAGTGCACGCCTTCTATGCCAGCTACTCAGGAGGCTGAGGCACGAGAATCACTTGAACCCAGGAGGCAGAGGTTGCAGTGAGCCGAGATCATACCACTGCACTCTAGCCTGGGCGACAGAGTGAAACTGTAAAAAAAAAAAAAAAAAAAGCACTTAGCACAGAGTCTAATATACAATACAGCATCTGATATACAATAAGGGTGTGATAAGCCATCATTAATAATATATTTATATTAATATCAATGAACACTATGATTACATTATTTACTGTAATGTTTTCTTTTCTTTTATTATTTATTTATTTATTTTGATACAGAGTTTTGCTCTTGTTGCCCAGGCTGGAATGCAATGGTGCGATCTTGACTTACTACAACCTCTGCCTCCCAGGTTCAAGCGATTCTCCCGCCTCACCCCCCAAGTATCTGGAAACCCACATTACAGGCACACGCCACCACACTTGGCTAATTTTGTATTTTCACTATGTTGGTCAGGCTGGTTTCGAACTCCTGACCTCAGGTGATCTACCTGTCTCAGCCTCCTAAAATGCTGGGATTACAGGCACGAGCCACCACACCCAGCCAACTGTAATATTTTAAACCAAGTATATTATTGACAATGTAGTTACAGCCTGGTATCTTTTTTATTTATGGCATTTAGTTATGTTTGTTTACTTTATTTTATTTTATTTTATTTCATTTATTTCCCGAGATGGAGTCTTGCTCTGTCGCCCAGGCTGGAGTGCCTTGGCATGATCTCTGCTCACTGCAACCTCCGCCTCCCGGGTTCAAGCAATTCTCCTGCCTCAGCCTCCCAAGTAGCTGGGATTACAGATATGTGCCACCACTCCCAGCTAATTTTTGTATTTTTAGTAGAGATGGAGTTTCACCATGTTGGCCAGGCTGGTCTCGAACTCCTTACCTCAAGTGATCCACCCCACCTCAGCCTTCCAAAGTGCTGGGATTATAGGTGTAAGCCACAGCCTCCAGCCCTGGGACCTTAGTGCACACTGATAGATGTCCTAACTGGCAGATTGCCTGGTCCCATTTTACAAGTGGAAAAACTGAGGCTAAGGGTGCCCAAGGCTATCCAGGGAATAGTGACAGCTGTGGGACTAGAAACTAGGTCGAAAGGTTCAGTCACTTCACAGGGGCCAGAAATCTGGCCCAGAGAAAGAGCTCCAGATGTCAGGGGCTCCAGGGCCAGGCAGATCGTGTCAGTTGTGAAGAAGGCAGGACTACGATGCCAGGTGGGAGTTTTGACCAACAGTATCCCTGTGCCTGCTATAGACAGGCATTCCATTCATATTCAAACTTTGAACAGGAGCTGTATGGGCCAAACAAAAAAACAGCTGTGGGTCAGACTCAGCCAGCAGGCTTCCAGCTTTAACTTTGAGATGGTGTAGAAGGCCATGGAAAGGGGAGGAAATTCCACAGACCTGGCTTCAGATCCTGGCACTGCCAGTTATTAGCTCTGTGACCTCAGGCAAATTATTCACCCCCCTCTAAGACTCAGTTTCTTCACCTGTAAAATGGATTATAATTCCACCTGCTAGAACTGTTTGAAGAGTCAGTAAGATAATGGGGGTAAAGGACAGGCACAGTGGCTCACGTCTGTAATCCCAGCACATTGGGAGGCTAAGGCAGGTGGATCAGTTGAGGCCAGGAGTTCAAGACCAGCCTGGCCAATATGGTGAAACCCTGTCTCTACTAAAAATACAAACATTAGCCAGGCGTGGTGACATGCACCTGTAATCCCAGCTACTCGGGAGGCTGAGGGACAAGAATCACTTGAACCCGGGAGGTGGACGTTGCAGTGGCCGAGATCACACCACTGCACTCCAGCCTGGGTGACAGACATTGGGGGTAGAGTGCCAAGCAGGCATGGGCCCAGGTAATCACACAGCATGAATGGTGAGGAATTAAATGTGGCTGTGTAAAGCCCTTCTCTCTCGGTGTGTCCTTTGAACACTGTCACAGTCCTAGGAGGTCAGCAAAGGCACGCTCAGCATCCCATTTTGCAGATGAGAAAGCTGAGACCAAGAGAGGAAGAATGACTTGCCTAAGGTCACCCAGCCACCAGTGACATGAGTGGCACAAGTGAGTGTGGCTCTAGTGAACACTAGAGTGTTACAGGCATCCCTGTCCCCTCGGGCCATGGAGGAGTCTTCTGGACTTGCTCTGCTCACCCTACCCATGGCAGGGCCTGGGAGGCAGCATCCCTCTCCCCTCGTCCCCTGCTCATGCCCCTTGTCATTCACATAAGTCCGCAGCAGCGCTGAGGTGTTCTTCTGCATGTAGAGGGCCAGGCTATAGGCTTGACTGATGGGCTCAGCTGGGGAGATGGAGGCTGCTGAGCTGAGGGGTGGCGACAGCAGGGTCAGCAGGCAGAGGCGGGCTGGCAGAGGAAGCCGGAGGTCAGCACCAAGGCCTCGACCCTGCCTCCGATTCATTCATTCATCTCCACAACTCCGGAAAAGGTCCCATCCCTTGTGGGCTACAGCGATCTTGCATGTCCAAGTCAGTGACAAACCCTCCTGCAGGTAGATTATCCTGGCCCAGAACCCTCTGAACTCCAGGCTCATTGATTCAGCTACTTGACATTTTCAATTGAATATTAGTAAGCATCTCAAACCCAAAATATCCAGGGTTTAATTCTGGAATATTCCCCCCAAGCCCCTCCTCTCCTAGGCTCCCCTGTCTCAGGTAAAGGCATTTCAATTCTTCCAATTGTTCAGGCCAAAGTCATGGTGTGCTCTTTGATGCTTCATTTTTTTTCTTACTCTACACACCCAATCCCACAGGAAATCCTGCTAGCTCTATGCTTTAAAGGCAGCCAGCACAAGTGTGAATTTTTTCCTTCTTTTAGAGATGGCGTCTTGCTCTGTCACCCAGGCTGGAATATAGGGGTGTGATCATAACTCACTGCAGCCTCGAATTCCTGGGAGCAGGCGATCCTCCCACCTCAGCCTCCCAAGTAACTGGGACTACAGATCCACACCACCACACTCAGTTAATTTTTTAAATTTTATGTGGAGACAGGGTCTCGCTATGTTGCCCAGACTGGTCTCCAACTCCCGGCCTCAAGCAATCCTCCTGCCTCGGCCTCCCAGAGTGCTGGGATTACAGGTTTGAGCCACTCCACCTGGCTGCATGCTTATTTTAAATGTAAATAGATGCTGCCAAATTGTCCTCTCAAAGATCTGGTCCAAGCTGGGCGCAGTGGCTCATGCCTATAATCCCAGCACTTTGGGAGGCCAAGGCGGGTGGACCACAAGGTCAGGAGTTCGAGACCAGCCTGGCCAATATGGTGAAACCCTGTCTCTACTAAAAATACAAAAAAATTAGCCAGGCGTGGTGGCAGGTGCCTGTAATCCCAGCTACTCAGAAGGCTGAGGCAGGAGAATTGCTTGAACCTGGGAGATGGAGGTTGCAGTGAGCCAAGATCAAGCCACTGAACTCCAGCCTTGGTGACGCAGTGAGACTCTGTCTCAAAAAAAAAAAAAAAAAAAAAAAGGCCGGGCACGGTGGTTTATGCCTGTAATCCCAGCACTTTGGGAGGCCGAGGCTGGCAGATCACGAGGTCAGGAGTTCAAGACTGGCCTTGCCCACATGGTGAAACCCCATTTCTACTTAAAAATGCAAAATTAGCTGGGCATGGTAGTGTGTGCCTGTAATCCCAGCTACTCAGGAGGCTGAGGCTGGTGAATCGCTTGAACCCAGGAGGCGGAGGTTGCAGTGAGCTGAGCTCTCGCCATTGCACTCCAGCCTGGGTAATAGAGTGAGACTTCGTCTCAAAAAAAAAAAAAAAAGAAGAAGAAGATCTGGTCCAGTTTATGTTTCTACCAACAGTGTGAGGCTCGGAGAGGAGGAGAATGACCTAAGGTCACCACCCAGGAGAAACAGAGATGAGAGGCAAACCCAGGGCGGCCTCCTTCATCCCCCTTGCCACATTCCTGAGTTCCCAGAGTTCAGTAGCAACTCAGAGAAGCCTGAGAGGGAAGACCATTTCATTCCTTCATTTCACAAACTTCGGGCTTGCAGTGGTTCACACCTGCAATCCCAATATTTTGGGAAGATCGCTTGAGCCCCAAGTTCGAGACCAGCCTGAGCAACACAGGAGATCCCATCTCTAGAAAAAGTTAAAAAAAAAATATGTCAGGTGCAGTGGTTCATGCCTGTAATCTCAGCACTTTGGGAGGCCGAGGCAGGTAGATCACTTGAGGTCAGGGGTTCGAGACCAGCCTGGCCAACATGGTGAAACCCTGTCTCTACTACCAATACAAAAATTAGCCAGCCGTGGTGGTGGGCACCTGTAATCCCAGCTACTCGGGAGTCTGAGGCAGGAGAATCACTTGAACCCAGGAGGCAGAGGTTGCAGTGAGCTGAGATCATGCCACTGCACACCAGCCTGGGCAACAGAGCAAAAACTCCGTCTCAAAAAAAAAAAAGAATTAGCATAACCTGGTGTCGTACACCTGTGGTCCCAGCTATTCAGGAGGCTGAGGCAGGAGGATCACCTGAGCCCTGGAGTTTAAGGCTGCAATGTGCAAAGATTCTGCCACTGCACTCCAGCCTGGGCCACAGAGCAAGACCCTGTTTCAAAAACCAAACAAACCAACAAAAAAAGCCACAGTTGGATCACTGCACCACTTTCTGTCACACTAGCTTTACAATTTTCTTGTTAGTACACATATTATGTGTCTGCAGAATGAAATTTCCATGAGGCCATGGATTTTTGTCTGTTTGTTCACTGCTGTCTCCCCAGATGCTTCCAACAGTACCTAGCACATGATAGGCATTCAATAAATATGTGTTGAATTAATGATGAAGGAAGCCTTGATGTAGGGGGATTTGGAGGTTTTCAGCAGGTGCAAAGAGAGCTGGACACCTGAGTCAGAGAGAGGAGGGGCTCTGCGGGTCCCCCTGTCCTGTGTCTCTGGGGCCTGGCGCTCCTGCCCCTCACTCACCCAGTGAACAGCTCATGCTCTCTCCTCGGCTTCTTCCTCTCTGCAGCCTCTGGGTCTTTCAGGACACCTGTCCTTCTGCCCCTCAGGTGTCTTTATACCTGGGGCTGAGCCCTGGGGTGGCCCAAGAGGGAGGGAGGGAGTCACATCCTGGGGAGAGGGGCAGGAGCAGGCAGGGCCCTGGCAAAGAATGAGAGACAGACCTGGCCACCAGACAGGACAGGGAGCGGGTGGGAGGACCCAGAAGGGGGACATATGTTCCGCACGGGGAGGCCTCGTGTGCAGAAGCCCCAGAGGAAGGAAATGGGTAGGGAAGGGGACACAGATGGGACCCCCAGGCCCCTCCAGCTCCCAAACTCGACCCTAAACCCTGGTGGCTGGGAGGGAGGGGGCGAGGGCGTGATGGGGATTATCCAGGGACAAAGGGGCCGCCCCGCTCCCTGCTGTTCTGCAGGTCCTGGGATCCAGTTTCCCAGAGGAGGCCGCCCCCTGCTCCGCCCCACAGGGACCCAGGCGCTGGGCCCGGGCTCCCAAGGAGTTTGGAAAAAGGACAGGAGGGATGGTGTGTGAGCAACATCATCGTCCACACCCAGGTTCACCCTTAGGCACAGGAACAGTCACACGTCTACACAGGCATTGGCACGTGGGCACACACAGGCATGAGCACACACTTTCATGCGCTCATTCATTCAGGACTTATGGGCCCTGACTGTGCACCAGTCCCTGTTTTAAGTGCTGGGGACAGAGTATGGAACAAGACAGACAAAAATCCGTGCCCTCGTGGAGCTGACACTTTAGTAGACATGGGTACATATATGTGGGATCATGCCAGGCCTACACACATCACACACACAGTCCCAGACACACGCGTGCACACAGGGGAACCCATAGTGCATCCCTGGGGGCCCAGCCAGAGGCACCTACACAGAGCAGACGTGGGACACACACCTCATGCCCATAGATGCACGCAGAGGTGGGGACCAGGGGTCATGGGATCTGGCCACGTCTTAGCCTCTGATACACTAGGAGATCTCCTCCCTCTGCCCAGGCACAACACACTTGGACTTACACACACACACCTAAGACACTGTCCCTCGGGGAAGCCTTGCAGCAGAGGGGCAGGGTCGGAGAGGCAGATGCTGGGTTCTGGTCTTTCTCCAGTACTCCCCCAAACTCTCCATCATGGAACCAATGTTAAGTTCTCATCCCTGCCACCCCCTGAGTCAGGCAGTGATCGGTCAGACTCCCACCCTAGTGGGCTGGAATACTGCTCCACCCTAGCTTCCCTGGTCAGGTGGTAACCTGGAGGCAGAGGGGCCCACACAG
The DNA here is from genome assembly GCF_000001405.40 of Homo sapiens. Taxonomy (NCBI): domain Eukaryota; kingdom Metazoa; phylum Chordata; class Mammalia; order Primates; family Hominidae; genus Homo; species Homo sapiens. The sequence goes on from NC_000016.10 coordinate 30,911,516, forward strand.
TCACTCAAGAGGTGTTTTATTTTTATTTTTATTTTTTATTTTTGCGACGGAGTCTCACTCCGTCGCCCAGGCTGAAGTGCAGTGGCACGATCTCGGCTCACTGCAACCTCTGCCTCACCTCCCAGGTTCAAGTGATTCTTCTGCCTCAGCCTCCCGAGTAGCTGGGATTACAGGCAAGTGCCACAACGCCCAGCTAACTTTTATATTTTTAGTACAGACAGGGTTTCGCCATGTTGGTCAGGCTGGTCTCGAACTCCTGACCTTGTGATCCGCCCGCCTCAGCCTCCCAAAGTGCTGGCATTACAGACGTGAGCCACTGTGCCCGGCCAACAGGTGTTTTTTTTTTAAGAGACAGGGTCGGCCCGGCCGGACACAGTGGCTCACGCCTGTAATCCCAGCACTTTGGGAGGCCGAGGCGGGCGGATCACCTAAGGTCGGGAGTTTGAGACCAGCCCGACCAACATGGAGAAACCCCGTCTCTACTAAAAATACAAAATTAGCCGGGCATGATGGCGCATGCCTGTAATCCCAGCTACTTGGGAGGCTGAGGCAGGAGAATTGCTTGAACCTGGGAGGCAGAGGTTGCAGTGAGTCGAGATCACACCATTGCACTCGAGCCTGGGCAACAAGAGCGAAACTCCGTCTCAATAAAAAAGAAAAAAAAAAAGGCTGGGCGCAGTGTCTCACGCCTGTAATCCCAGCACTTTGGGAGGCTGAGGCGGGCGGATCACGAGGTCAGGAGATCGAGACCATCCTGACTAAAAAACAGTGAAACCCCGTCTCTACTAAAAATACAAAAAATTAGCTGGGTGTGGTGGCGGGCACCTGTAGTCCCAGCTACTCAGGAGGCTGAGGCAGGAGAATGGTGTGAACCCAGGAGGTGGAGCTTGCAGTGAGCTGAGATCACGCCACCGCACTCCAGCCTGGGCCACAGAGCAAGAATCCGTCTCAAAAAAAAAAAAAAAAAAAAAAAAAAAGAGACAGGGTCGGCTGGGCGTGGTGGCTCATACCTGTAATCTCAGAAATTTGGGAGGCTGAAGTGGGTGGATCACTTGAGGTCAGGAGTTTGAGACCAGCTTGGCCAACATGGTGAAACCCTGTCTCTACTAAAGATATAAAAATATTAGACAGGTGTGGTGGCACAGGCCTGTAATCCCAGTTACTAGGGAGGCTGAGGCAGGAGAATCACTTGAACCTGGGAGGCGGAGGTTGGAGTGAGCTGAGATCGTGCCACTGCACTCCAGCCTGGGTGACAAAGCAAGACTCCATCTCAAAAAAAACAAAAAAAAAAAAGAGAGAGAGACAGGGTCTTGCTCTGTTCCCTAGGCTGGACTGCAATGGCACCATCATAGCTCACTGTAGACTCCACCTCCCAGGCTCAAGTGATCCTCCCACCTTGGCCTTTCAAAATGTTGGGATTACAGGTGTGAGCCACTGCACCTGACCCCAGTAGCTATTAACACAGCACCTACTGTGTGCCAGCACCAGGGTGAATAATGAGGCAGGTAAGGTCCCTGCCTCACGGGTACACAGTCTGGTCGGGGAGACCAGCACGAAACATGTGAATTAACACACAGCAAGGTTTCCTAAAGTGACATGGTGCTGAGAAGAAGCCCAGACAGGTTGGTGTGATGAGCTGGGTGTTCGGAATACTTAGATAAGGAGCCTGAGGCCCAGAAAGGGGCGGCTACTTACCTGGAGTCACACAGCAGAGTCAGGGCAGATGCTGGACTCCTGTCCCCAGCTTGGGGCTGGCTGTGGGGTTCCAGATCTGAACTGTGAGCTGAAGGAAGGAGGAGGTTGAAGGAAAAGATGGATTCTGAGGTGAGGGGTCCTAAACAGGCTCTCCAAGGCTGGGGGCTGCTAGGGCTGGCCGGCAGGGCCTGTGCCAGGCAGGTGGTGATATCAGGGGATTATAGGAGGCCCATTAAGTGGGTGCACCGAGGCATGGGCCGTGCCATGGTAGTAGAGCAGGGGGAAGAGGAGGTACAGGAGGGGGAGAGTGAGGCAGATACTCGATCTGGTACTATTCACAGGTGGACGGCCTACATGGGGCAGGCCTCACCTGGGAGGGCAGGCTAACCCCACCAGAGCCCACCACCACCCGCCTCTCTCTGGGGCTTCCCTTTCTCTCTCTCTGACCCCCACCCCAGGTGGCTTTTGTTTTTGTTTTTGTTTTTTGAGACGGAGTCTCGCTCTGTTGCCCATGCTGGAGTGCAGTGGCATGGTCTAGGCTCACTGCAACCTCCACCTCCTGGGTTCACACCATTCTCCTGCCTCAGCCTCCCGAGTAGCTGGTACTACAGGTGCCTGCCACCACGCCCGGCTAATTTGTTGTATTTTTAGTAGAGACGGGGTTTCATTGTGTTAGCCAGGATGGTCTCGATCTCCTGACCTCGTGATCCACCCTCCTCGACCTCCCAAATTGCTGGGATTACAGGCGTGAGCCATGGGCCTGTCTTTTTTTTTTTTTTTTTTTTTTTTTGAGATGGAATCTTGCTCTGTCACCCAGGCTAGAGTGCAGTGGTGTGATCTCGGCTCACTGCAACCTCCACCTCCTGGGTTCAAGTGATTCTCCTGCCTCAGCCTCCCAAGTAGCTGGGATTACAGGCACATGCCACCACACCTGGCTAATTCTTATATTTTTAGTAGAGACGGGGTTTCACCATGTTGGCCAGGCTGGTCACAAACTCCTGACCTCAAGTGATCCTCCTGCCTTGGCCTCCCAAAGTACTGGGATTACAGGCGTGAGCCACCACGCCCAGCCCCCTCAAGGTGCTCTTCACATCTGGAGGAATTAGCCGCATCCCAGGCCCAGCTCTGTTGTCCAAGGCATCTGTCTCGGTAGAGGTCAGAGGTCAGCAGCTCTGCCCCCTCTACCCCCATCGTGCCCCACCCTGCAGGCCAGCTCATCTTCTGTTTTGGTTACACCAGAAGCTGAATTCTTGGGAATCCCAGCAATTTAGGAGGCAGTGGGCTTCGGTTCAAGTCCTGCCTTTGTTCATCTTTTTTGTTTGTTTGTTTTGAGACAGTCTCACTCTGTCACCCAGGCTGGAGTGCAGTGATCTTGGCTCACTGCAACCTCTGCCTCCCAGGTTCAAGCAATTCTCGAGCCTCAGCTTCCCAAGTAGCTGGGATTACAGGTGTGTGCCACCAGGCCCGGCTAATTTTTTGTATTTTTAGTAGAGACGGGATTTTGCCATGTTGGTCAAGCTGGTCTTGAACTCCTGGCCTCAAGCAATCTGCCCGCCTTAGCCTCCCAAAGTGCTGGGATTACAGGCATGAGCCACTGCGCCCAGCTCCTGCCTTTGTTTATCACTAGCTTGGACAAGTTCCTTAACCTCTCTGAGCCTCAGTTTGCTCCCTTATCTGGAAACTGGGATAATAATTCCCACTCACAGGTTCTAACTCACAGGGCACACCCACCAAGTGCCCTGACCCCTCCTATGAGGCCTCTCCTGGGCTTGTCAAGGGTTGCCCCAGTAACATATAATGCCGCCAACCAATGGCAAAGACTCAATGTCCCATGAGCCTGTGCCTGGAGCCCAGCCCCATGCCCCGGCTACACATGTGCTCCCAAGAGATCTGGTACCTTTGCTCAAGCATGACCCAGTGTTGTCCAGAAAACCACACAGTGGGGCCCATTCAGAACAGAGGCAAGGGTGCTGGGCGCAGTGTCTCACACCTGTAGTCTTAGCACTTTGGGAGGCTAAGGTGAGGGGATCGCTTGAGGTCAGGAGTTCAAGACCAGCCTGGGCAGCATAGCAAGACTCCTGTCTCTACAAAAAAATACAAAAATTAGCCAGGCAAGGTGGTGTGCACCTGTAGTCCTAGCTACTCGGGAGGCTGAGATGGGAGGATTACTTGAGCCTGGGAGGTCAAGGTTTCAGTGAGCTGTGATCACCCCACTGCACTCCAGCCTGGGTGACAGAGTGAGATCCTGTATTTAAAAAAAAAAAAAAAGGCCGGGAACGGTGGCTCACACCTGTAATCCCAGCACTTTGGGAGGCTGAGGTGGGCAGATCACAAGGTAGGAGTTTGAGACCAGCCTGGCCAACATGATGAAACCCCATCTTGAACCCGGGAGGTGGAGGTTGCAGTGAGCTGAGATTGCGCCACTGCACTCCAGCCTGGGCGACAGAGCAAGACTCTGTCTCAAAAAAGAAAAAAAAATAGTACTTAAGAAAAAGATTAATAACGTTATCATTATTGTTAAAATACCTGTTCATTAGAAAACTTGAAGCAGATCATAAATGAACAAAGAAGAAACCAACAAACCACCCTATTTTACCACCCAGAAATAACTATGACTGTTAACATTTAGTGAGCATCATTCTAGACACCTGATCAGATAAATAGAAAAAGATTTTATGACAATCAATTAATACTAGATATCCTATTTTTAAAATTACATTTAACTTTATTTGAATTTAACAAAAGGAACAGAAATAGAAGTTTAATTGAAAGAACTGTGGAACTTCAGATAAATGTTTCTTCACTATAAATAATATTTCCTGTAAGATTCTTCCAAGTTTAAAAAAAAAGATTTGAAAACCATGAAGGATAAACTCATTATTTATTTATTTATTTAATTTTATTTTTGTGAGACAAGAGTCTCGCTCTGTTGCCCAGGCTGGAGTGTAGTGGCACAATCTTGGCTTAATGCAACTTCCACCTCCCAGGTTCAAGTGATTCTCCTGCCTCAGCCTCCCGAGTAGCTGGGATTACAGGCGCCTGACACCACACCAACTGATTTTTGTATTTTTAGTAGAGGGTTTCACCATGTTGGCCAGGTTGGTCACAAACTCCTGACCTCAGGTGATCCGGCTGCCTCAGCCTCCCAAAATGTTGGGGTTACAGGTGTGAGCCACTGCGCCTGGCCCCCCTAAGGTGTTTCTTCACACCTGGAGGAATTAGCCTCACCTCAGGTCCTGCTCTGTTGTCCAATGCGTCTGCCTTGGCAGAGGTCAGAGGTCAGCAGCTCTGCCCTCCCACCCCCACCTCCATTGTGCCCTACCCTGCAGGGCGACTTGTCTCCATCTTTGTTTTGGTCACACTAGAAGCTGAATTCTTGGGAATCCCAGCAATTTAGGAGGCAGTGGGCTTTGGCTCAAATCCTGTCTTTGTTCATTTTTTTTTTTTTTTTTTGAGACGGAGTCTCACTCTGTTGCTCAGGCTGGAGTGCAGTGGCGCGATCTTGGCTCACTGCAACCTCTGCCTCCCAGGTTCAAGCGATCCTCAAGCCTCAGCCTCCCGAGTAGCTGGGATTACAGGCATGCGACACCATGCCCGGGTAGTTTTTACATTTTTAGTAGAGACCAGTTTTCACCATCTTGGCCAGGCTGGTCTGGAACTCTTGGGCTTAAGTGACCTGCCTGCCTTGACCTCCCAAAGTGCTGAAATTACAGGCATGAGCCACCATGCCCAGCCCAGTCGCTATTTATTTTTAATATTTTCCTCAGTCTTCCCCTACACCCAGATTTTTTCATTATATTACTACTTTCAATTTACTAGTATTCATAACATGTATAGTATATTCCATTCTGTACCTCAGACTTTTTAAATTATTTAATCTTAGATTGATATTTAAATATTTTCAATGGTAGCCAACTATGTATTTATTTATTTGTATTTTTTATTTTTAGAGATGAGGTCTCATTCTGTTCCCCAGGCTGGAATGCAGTGGCTCAGTCATGGCTCACTGCAGCCTTGACCTCCCAGGCTCAATCTCCTACCCCAGCCTCCCGAGTAGCTGGTACTACACGTGGGCACCACCATACCCAGTTGATTTTGATTTTTTTTTTAATTTTGCCAGTAGAAACCCCGCTATTGGCCTCGTGTGGTGGCTCATGCCTATAATACCAGCACTTCCAGAGGCCGAAGATCACTTGAGCCCAGGAGGTCGAGGCTGCATTGAACTATGACTGCACCACTTCACACCAGCCTGGGCAAGAGAGCAAGACCCTGTCTAAAAAAAGAAAATAAACCCAAACCCAGCCATTGATGCCATCCATTCCCCCAGGATCACTGGCCAGTGAAGTCTACTAACATGTTCCTCGGCCATCTGAAGCCATACACACTGCTGGGCACTTCACTTCTGGGATTTTCAGTAACCAGATCCACTGCAGCTTGGAGAGCTTGGCTTTTTGGTGATTGCTGATCCCAAGGCTGACCCTGAGCTTCTCACAGAGGCATTTTCCGTTCACTCGCCCAAGTTGGTCAGTGTCAATCAGACTCCTCTGTTCTATATCGATGTTGCCATCCCACATAACAAGAGTTCAATTATTGGGTGCCTTGCAGTGGGTGGTATCCCAGAAAAAGCCTCCATCCTGTGGCACTAACTTCCCCTGGGAACCGCAGGAAGCTGTGCTTGTCATAAGGGCTGTCCACAGGTTTTCTAGTTCTTCTCCCAAGCATGTGGCAAGAGTTGGCTTCTCTAACCCCTTTAATTAGTTATGGCTATCTCTGTAATATATATACATATTTTTTGAGACGGAGTCTCGCTGTCGCCCAGGCTGGAGTGCAGTGGCGCGATCTCGGCTCACTGCAGGCTCCACCCACCGGGGTTCACGCAATTCTCCTGCCTCAGCCTCCTGCGTAGCTGGGACTACAGGCGCCCGCCACCTCTCCTGGCTAATTTTTTGTATTTTTAGTTGAGACGGGGTTTCACCGTGTTAGCCAGGATGGTCTCAATCTCCTGACCTCGTGATCCACCCGCCTCGGCCTCCCAAAGTGCTGGGATTACAGGCGTGAGCCACCACGCCCGGCCTATCTCTGTAATATTTTTAGACAGGGTCTCACTCTGTCGCCCAGGCTGGAGTGCAGTGGCTCGATCATGGCTCACTGCAGCCTGGACCTCCTGGGCTCAAGCGATCCACCCACCTCAGCCTCCCGAGTAGCTAGGACTACACATGTGCACCACCACTCCAGCTAATTTTTGTATTCTTTTGCAGAGACACAGCCTTGCCAAGTTGCCCACGCTGGCCTTGGGCTCCTGGGCTTGAGCAGTCTGCCCAACTCAGCCTCCCAAAGTGTTGGGATTACATGCATGAGCCACCTTGCCTGGCCAGGGTTAGCTATTTGACAGGTCAATAAAATGTGAGCTGAATTGACATGTCACTTCTAGGCAGAAGCTATAAAAACCGCCTTCTTCTTCTTCTCCTTCTCCTTCTTCTTCCTTCTTCTCCTTCCTCCTCCTTCTCCTCCTTCCTCCTCCTCCTTCCTCCTCCTTCCTTCTTCTCCTTCCTCCTCCCTCTTCTTCTTCCTTCTTCTTCTTTCTTCCTCTTCTCCTTCCTTCTTCTTTCTTCCTTCCTTCTTCTTTCTTCTTCTTCTCCTTCTTCTTCTTCTTCTTCTTCCTTTCTTCTCCTTCTCCTCCTCCTCTTCTTCTCCTTCTTCTCCTTCTTCTTCTTCTTCTTCTTCTTCTTCTTCTTCTTCTTCTTCTTCTTCTTCTTCTTCTTCTTCCTTTCTTCTTCTCCTTCTCCTCCTCCTCTTCTTCTTCTTCTTTTTGAGTTTCACTCTTGTTGCCAGGCTGGAGCACAGTGGCATGATTTTGGCTCACGGCAACCTCTGCCCCCCCGGTTCAAGCGATTCTCCTGCCTCAGCCTCCTGAGTAGCTGGGATTACAGGTATGTGCCACTGTGCCTGGCTAATTTTGTATTTTTAGTAGAGACAGGGTTTCTCCATGTTGGTCAGGCTGGTCTCAAACTCCCGACCCCAGGTAATCCGCCCACCTTGGCCTCCCAAAGTGCTGGGACTACAGGCATGAGCCACCACACCCGGCCCTTTTTTTTTTTTTTTTTTTTTGAGACTGAGTCTCGCTCTGTTGTCCAGGCTGGAGTGTAGTGGCATTGTCTTGGCTCACTGCAGCCTCTGCCTCCCAGGTTCAAGCAATTCTCATGCCTCAGGATCCTGAGTAGCTGGGACTACAGGTGCACGCCACCACGCCCAGCTAATTTTTGTATTTTTAATAGAGACGGGGTTTCACCATGTTTGCCAGGCTGGTCTTGAACTCCTGGCCTCAAGTGATCCAGCTGCCTTAGCCTCCCAAAGTGTTGGGATTACAGGCATGAGCCACCATGCCCGGCCTTTTCTTCTTCTATTTTTATTTTTTTAAATACAATCCACGGTCCTGGACTAGATTTCAGGACTTTTCAAGAGAAGCTGGAAATCCATTTTGCCTGAGAAATGTGTTGTTGTTGCTATGCCAAATTAAATGCACACATGACTGGATTTGTTGTTTCTGCATGTTGTAATAGTTCTGAGCATGAGTTCGGGAGTCTGGGGTTTGAATTTTGGCGGTACCACTCATCCATTCTGCATAATTGAGGGTCCCAGTTTCCTCGTCTCTAAAATGGAATTCTACCTCATAAGGTTGTGTGGGTTTTTTTTTTTTTGAGATAGAGTCTCGCTGTCGCCCAGGCAGCAGTGCAGTGCTGTGATCTTGGCTCACTGCAACCTCCGCCTTCCAGGTTCAAACAATTCTCTTTTCTCAGCCTCCTGAAGAGCTGGGACTACAGGTGCACACCACTACACCTGGCTAATTTTTCTATTTTTAGTAGAGATGGGGTTTCACCATATTGGTCAGGCTGGTCTCGAACTCCTGACCCCAGGTGACCCACCTGCCTTGGCCTCCCAAAGTGCTGAGATTACAGGCGTGAGCCACCATGCCCGGCCCTCAAGATTTTTATGAGGACCACATGAAATGCTGAAAGCACTTAGTAGTATGTCCAGGAGCAGGGTCTTGCTCTGTCATCTAGACTTGAATGCAGCGAGTGGCATCGTCATAGCTCACTGCAGGCTCAATCTCTCAGCCTCAAGCAATCCTTGCCCCTCAGCCTCCTAAGTAGCTGGGACTACACGTCCAGCTAATTTTTGTATTTTTGTAAAGATGGGGCCTCACTATGTTGCCTTGGCTGGTCTTGAACTCCTAGTTTCAAGTTATCCTCTCACCTTGGCCTCCCGAAGTGTTGGGATTATAGGCGTGAGCCACTGCAACTGGCCAGGACAGTGATTGATTGATTGATTGATTGGTTTGAGACAGAGTCTCACTCTGTCGTCCAGGATGGAGTGCAGTGGCACGATCTCAGCTCACTGTAACCTCCACCTCCCGGGTTCAAGCAATTCTGCTGCCTCAGCCTCTCGAGTAGGTGGGATTACAGGCACATTCCACCATGCCCGGCTAATTTTTGTATTTTTAGGAGAGACAGGGTTTCACCATACTGGCCATTGCTGGTCTCGAACTCTTGACTTCATGATCCGCCCGCCTAGGCCTCCCAAAGTGCTGGGATTGACAGTGGCATTTAAATAGAGACCTTTTAGAAAAGTGGGAAAGTAGAAAAATAAATAATAAATACATAAATAGAGACCTGTAAATGATGAACAGTGAACTTGGTGGAGAAGTGAGATGGGCATGGGGAGGATAGCCCTCAAGCAGAGGGAACAGGGTAGAAATCAATCATGCAACACCAAATTCAAGCAGTGAGGATAGAGGGGACAGCCAATCCTCTAGGGAGGGCTAAGGATTTCCTGACTGATAAAGCCTGAGCGGCAAAGAAGCCTCCTATCCAGCCTTGGGCAAGTCTCTGCCAAGCTGGGACTTCACACTACACTGGCCAGCCATTGACTTCCCTGATAGAAAAACCACAACCAACAAGTCCTCGCTGGGGCTGGTCTGCCAAACACAGAAGACAGAGGGAAGGGGAGGGGGCTGTCTTGGGGTCAGAAGTGAGCAGGTTTTCCAGGGGAGAAGGAAGATTGAGAAGAGGGGTATGGCTGCTGGCTCACACCTATAATCCCAACACTTAGGGAGGCCAAGGCGGGAGGCACACTTGTGGCCAGGAGTTCGAGACCAGCCTGGGCAACATAGCGAGACTTCGTCTGAACAAAAAAAAATTATAGTTTAAAAATTAGCTGGGTGTAGTGGCGCGTGCCTGAAGTCCCAGGTATTCACAAGGCTGAGGGAGGAGGATCGCTTAAGCCCAGGAGGTCGAGGCTGCAGCAAACTATGATCCTGCAACTGCACTCCAACCCAAGTGACAGAGCAAGACCTTAAAACACACACAAAAAAAACCAAAAAACGGCAGAAAGATGAGAAGCCGTTCCATTTGCATAGGCAGTTGAAGTGTCTAGGCAGAGGCCTCCAAGGCTGACTGGATATCAGGCAGGGGATGAGGCTGGACAGCCTGCAATGCCTCCAACTCCAGGTTGCGGAAATCGTGTTTGTAGTACCTCAGTCGAATGGAGATTGAGCGCCCCCTGGGAGCAGTGCTCGGTAACAGACGCTGGAGGACCCCGATGAGGAGGGGCGGGGGTCGGTTCAATCTGGGAGGAGCCTGCGGGTCAGTTTTCTTCTCACAGGAGCGAACTCTGTCCGGCATCATGGATTCCTGGGCTCCCAGAACGGCTGGGCTGGAAGGGACCTTAGAAAGGGATCTACCACCGCGTGCCCCGTGCCAGAGTTGGGCACTTTGGTGACAAGAACATTGGCTTGTTTAACACTCACAACTGTGCTTCGAGGTGGGGATCATTATCCCCATTGTCCCCATTTTGCAGATGAGAAAAAGCAAGGTTTGGTGGCTTCCCGGGGCGGGGCGGGGATTCGCTGTGACTCCAGGTCCTTTTCCCCGGAGCCCGCACGTCTTGTAAGACACTGATTCCCGGAGGTCTGAGGAGCAGGAATCGAGTGGGAGGTGCCCAGGCTTTCTAGGGAACAAGAGTGTGAATGCACTCTCGACGAGAACCACGCCCCCCTGTTCGACAAGACTGATTCCTGCTGCCTTCCTTTAAGGGCCCTCCCCTGAAACGCGAAGTCCTCGCCCCATGGAGAGGCGGACATTCTTTATTCCCGGATCGCCCGACGTTTTTCTCCCCCACCCGCACTGATCCCCACTGGTGACATAAATCCTTCCCCTCCACTCGCGAGTGAAAGCTTGGGACTACATTTCCCGCCAGGCTGTTCAGAAGCCGGTGGCGGAGAGAGGAGAAAAGAGTCTTTCCGTTTCCGTCGCCTCGCAATTTGGCGTGTCCGCCGGGATTCACATTTCAACAGCGACGTCCTTTCTCTGTTGGACTCGGCAAGGAACTACATTTCCCAGCAGGCACCGGCGCAGAGGTCGAGGGGCGAGGTCGCCATCTTTTTCGTAGTCCTCTCCCTCATTTCCGCAGGGAAGAGGCCAGACGCCTGGACTACACATCCCATGTCGCAGTCGCCCCGGCCCTGCAGCCGCCATCTTTGCCGGTGGCCCCGCCCCATCCCCTTCCATTGTCTCGACTTGAGATGATAGACGGGAGCCGGGAGACTGCAACTCCCGTCAGGCCGTGCGCCACTGGTGGGGGGGATTTCGAGACCACAGGCGGGCGAGGTGCCCAAGGTGGTGGAAAGCGGAGACCGGGAGAGGCTAGGTAGCCTGCCATCTTTACGGTAGTCTCCTCGTCCTCCTGGTTCCGCCATTCTTAAGGAACACTGGAAGGCTATAAAACTACTAATCCCATCGCACCTCGTAAGATCGACTACTAGTCAGGTGTATGTCCCTCTTCCGCCATCTTGCTTGTAGTCCTCTTTCCTTTTCACCTTTCCATTGTTCCTGACGAGTAGAAATGGCAGCGGGAAGGCAGCAGATGGACTGCGACTCCCGTCAGGTACCACACACGCGGAGGGTTGTGGACAGGAGGGCGTGTGAGTGCCTGGGAAGGAGGTCGGGTCGGGGGAGAAGGCCATCTTGTTTGTAGTCATCGTTCCCTCTCCTTCTCGATGTTCTGCAACTGGGAGCCTCGGGGCAACGGGACTCTAACTCCCGGCATCCTCGGCTCCCGGCTGGGCACGCCCTCCGCCGTCCTGTTTGTAGTTCCCGCTGTCCCCAGCGTCCTATTGTTCCCCCGTAGCATCAGTGGCCGCAGGACTACAACTCCCGTCGAGCCCTGCGTGCGTTCGTCCTGGAAAGTGGAGGTGGTGGAGGAAGGAGGGGGAAGGGGGCGGGGTTCCTCTGGGAGAAGGAGGGAGTAAAGAGGGGGAGGAGGAGGAGGAGGAGGGAAGGAGGAGGGAGGGGAGGGGAGGGGGGAAGAGAGGAGGAAGGAGGAAGGAGCTGAGGAGGGATGAGAGAGGCGGCCAGGGCCCCGGGCCGTAGCAGCGCGGGGCTGGGGGACCAGGGGGGCTGAGACACCCCAACTGCCCCCTTCCCCTTTCCCTCTCCCCCTCTATCCTTTCCTTCCACCCTCCCGCTTGAGGAGGGGGATTTATTCAAATTTTATTTAAATCCCTATCTCCCGAGGGTCGCGCGCTTGGGGGAGGGGGAGAGGTCGGGGGTGCGCGCGGGCTGGGGGGGGCGGGGCCGGAGCAGCTTCCTTCACCTCCCCCTCCGCTCGCCTCGCAGCCGTAGGGCAGGGGGTCGCAGTCCAGGGGCGGGCCCAGGGGAGGGGGGCAGGTTACAGCGACCCCCCCCTCCCCGGGAACCGGCGGTGGGCGGGCTTGAACCCCGGAAACGGTGGGGGGGGCCCAGGCCTGGCACTGGACCCCTGGGCAGTGGGGTCCGGGAAGGGGCCAGTTAAAGGGCCAGGGGCGCTGGGGAGAGGCGGGGCGGGGTGGGGGGAGGGGAGCTGGGACTCGGACCCGGGACTGAGTGGGCCCCGGGCAGAAGCTGAGCACCCTGCGCCCAAGGAGCCCCCGTTGGCCTGGGGGGGCTGAGGGACTGAGCCTCCCAGAGCAGGACCTCCCCCTGGAAGGGCCGCGCCGCAGCCCGTGGGAGGGCCTCGCCCCCGGCGCCCCCCATCTCCACTCGCCGCCGTCCCGGCCTCCGCCGGAGGGAGGGGCCGAGCGCCCTCGGGGGGCCGTGGACCCCGGCGTTCTGAGCGTTCCGCGCCCCGCGCCGCCCGGCCCCCCCGCCGCCGATGGCCGCCGACCCGCCGGGAGCTGCCGAGAAGGGAGAGATGGCTCCCGGGACACGTGTGAGGTGGGTTCATGCGGCTCCTCCTCACCCCCAGACCTGGGCAGCGCCCACTCCCATTCATCCTCAGCCCGGCCTCTCTCTACCTTCCCCGCCCCCAGCCTCACCCTCTCTCTACTCCAAACTCATCTCCAGCCCTCCTTCCTATGACCTCTCCACCCTGGGGAACTGGCCCTCCTTCCTAGACCCTGCTTCCCCTTGAAAGCCCCCACCCCCGCCTGCAGTCGCCGCCCTCCAGGCCCCTCCCCTGGAGCGCTGGAGGGCCCCTTAGCCCCATGGATGGGTATGAAAGTCCCCGGAAAGGGGGAATCTGGGGTAAGACTGACTGGGAAGAGACCCTCCAGGCTTCTAATTCCACATGGGATCTTGGAGGATCTGGTTTCCATGGGAGGGGGAGCCCAAGGGATTCTAGATGATTAGGGATGAAAGCAGCCCGGGAAGCTGGGGGTCCTAGGACTGAGCCCATCCTCAGTTCTGGGAAGATGTCAGGCTGGATTCTAGAATCCCAAGGAATTTGGGAGATTGCCCAGGTGGACCTGAGGGATCCAAGAGGAGGGTGTCCTGGAGGAGGGAACCCTGTGGGGAACAAGAGGGGCTGAGATCTTGGGCTGAGAAGGGTCTCTGAAGAAGCATCTCCAGGGCTGTCAGAGCTCTGGGGAGTTAGTGGGCAGAGGAGATCGTTAGGGACTTGGGGGCAAGGATCTCGCTGGATCTGGTGAGGATAACTGGGTTGAGGGGAAGAGAGATTGGATGGCTGCTGTGGATGAAAAGGTTGGTGGGGCGGGGGGGAGGAAAAGTCCGGAGCTTCCGTCTAGGAATCTCTGGGTATCTGGGAGGTGAATCTGGGCAGTTTACCCCAGATTGAGGTTGGGGAGAGCCTGGGATATTCTACACTCGGATAACAGGGGAAGAGTTGGGATCTCTCCAAGCTAACACCACGGACAAGGAGTGCCTGGCCTTTCCAAGGAGCTCCGGTGTGGGGATGGCAGAGGAGAGGGCCTCGGTGTCCCCTCCTGCTCCCTGGGCTAGGGAAGGGACCCTGAGGAGGCGGTAGAGGAGCGAGGCCAGGAAGCAGTTCTTGGGCTCCTCTTGAGCTGCTGCAGGGAGACAGGCCTTGAGTAGAGGATTGGCCCCCAGATACACAGAAGGGGGTGACCTCCTTGTCCCCCTGAGGAAGAGGGCAGGCTCTAGCTGCCTGTAGGTGGAGGGACCTGTCAGGGGTCTCCCAGGCCAGGGCCCCAGTGGGCCCATCTGACCCTGCCACCATCCACCTACAGCCCTCGGCGTTGCTGACGCCCCCAATGTCGTCGAGCAGCCGGGGGCCGGGGGCCGGAGCGCGCCGACGCCGAACCCGCTGCCGCCGCTGCCGGGCCTGTGTGCGAACTGAGTGCGGGGATTGCCACTTCTGCCGAGACATGAAGAAGTTCGGGGGGCCCGGGCGCATGAAGCAGTCGTGCCTGCTCCGGCAGTGCACTGCCGTGAGTTCTGCCCCCACCTTTGGGCTCTGCCCACCCTTCCCAATACCTTCTTGGAATGGCTGGTGACTGCCTCCCAGCCTGTACTGTGGAGTGGCTGTTTGTTCACTCGTTCATTTCTTCCCTTCATTCACTAGTTTGTGTCAGTATCCATTTTTGTCCTCAGCTCCAAGCTGGGGGCAGTGTCCAGGTGCACAGAAGGATCTGACCCAGTCCCCACTTTCAGGCTCTTCCCAGCTCTCAGAGTCACACCCCCGCAGAATGCCCAGCCCCTGCTCTATCACCCCCCAAGATGTCTCTGTGCAGGAGGGGGCCCATCCCCAGAGATGGCCCCCTTCCAACAGGTCTTGCCCTTCTCTGGCCTCTTCCTCACCCAGGGTGGTCTTGGATTTGAGGCTAAGCTCACCCTTTATGTGACCTTGAGCAAATCATGCTGAATGAACCTCAGGTTCCTTCTCTGTAAAATGTTTCCTTTGCTGAGTTGTAAAGATTAAACAATGGCATGGATGCGAGTGTGTCTACCACAAGGCCCAGCACACAGTAGGGATCGGGGAAGCATGGGTTTCCGCCCTGCCTTCCTCATCCTTTGAGCCTCCCTGGGCTCCAGAGCACGGCCCCTCCCCAGCAGCCGCGAGGAGCCAGCTGCATCCTGCGTCCCCCTCCCCACTCTGCCACCTCCCTCTCTTCCTCCTGCCACTCTTTCCTGGTTGGTCTCTTCACCCCTCAGCCCCTCACTTCTTTTCCTTTATCCCCCAACCCCTTGCCTCACTTTTCCTTCTCCCCCTACCTGCATCTTCCTTGATCCTGCCGCATCCTTGTTATGACTCAGTCCTACCACTGTCTTCCTCAAAGTCACACTGTCTGAGGCTGCCCCCACTTCCCCAAGACTAGTGGCTTCCCTAGTGTTCCCAGGGGGTCTTGCCAAAACCGGATTCATTGTGGGATTCAGAGCAACCCTTGGGCTGCTCATGGAGCGACCTTGGTATCACCCTAAGCTGTCTTCCCCACCCTCTGAGTGTTACTGTCCTCCTCTCCAAAGCCAGCTGTAATTTCAGGGTCCCACTGGCCCTGGGTCCAGCTATAACAGTCACAGGTGATAACAGCTACATATCAGTGTCTCTCGCGTATTATTTTGCTCTCCCAAGAGTCCTGCGAGGGAAAGATTCTTAGCCCCATTCTGCAGATGCAGAAACGGAGACTTAAGGAGGTTAAATCAGTTGCTTGAGGTCACACTCCCAAAAGGAGCAAACTCAGGATCAGACCCAGCTTGACCCGTGGGTGCTGCACCTCATCCGTCACCTGGCCAGGGTCCCTAGAAGGAAGGGTCTTTCCCCTGTTGTTAGCTTTCGGGGCCCCTGATGTCCCCTCTCCCCCAACAGCCCGTGCTCCCACACACAGCTGTGTGCCTCTTGTGTGGGGAGGCTGGGAAGGAGGACACGGTGGAGGGAGAGGAAGAGAAATTTGGTTTGAGCCTCATGGAGTGTACAATCTGCAACGAGATCGTCCACCCCGGCTGCCTGAAGGTGATGGCCCTGGGACCCCGGCGTCTGGGGTGGGGCAGATTGTCAGGGAGCAGAGAGTGGGGGATCACCCTGGCTCTGGGCTTCCTGGCCAACCCCCCACTCACTGCCCTCCTGCCTACAGATGGGGAAGGCTGAGGGTGTCATCAATGCAGAGATCCCCAACTGCTGGGAGTGCCCTCGCTGCACCCAGGAAGGCCGCACCAGCAAGGTAGGGGCTGGGCTGGGCTGAGCTGTGGGTAGGTGGGTGTTGGGGAGCTGTGCAGGTCCTCACCCCCAGCTTCTGTCCCGCCTAGGATTCAGGTGAGGGGCCTGGCCGCCGTAGGGCCGACAACGGCGAGGAGGGCGCCAGCTTGGGGAGCGGATGGAAGCTGACAGAGGAGCCACCGCTTCCACCGCCCCCGCCCAGGCGCAAGGGCCCCCTGCCTGCCGGGCCCCCCCCGGAGGACGTGCCTGGGCCCCCCAAACGAAAGGAAAGGGAGGCAGGGAATGAGCCTCCCACCCCAAGGAAAAAGGTGAGCCACGGAGCACGCTCACTAGGCTTGTCCTGAGGAATTCTGGGAGCTGTAGTCCTGGCTGGTTCTGTGGGGCTGTGTGGGCCTGGGAGCGTGCTCTGTGGGTTCCCCAAGGACTGTTGGGAGATGTAGTTCAGGAGTTGGGTGGGGGGAGGATAGAGCATGCTCAGTGTGGAGGAGGGGGGGGACAGGTGAGGTGAGCTGGCACTGCAGGAAGCTTTGGGAGCCCTGGGTGGGTTAGGGAGGCAGGAGAGAGCATGCTCAGATCATCCCTGCATGAGAGGAGGGAGGGGCTGGAGAGGGCCTGAGGGGAGGAAAGAGGAGATGGAGCATGCTCAGTGGGCTAGGACGCTGGGTGCAAGGTGAGCATGCTCAGAGTTATCCCTGGGACGGGGGCTTCTGGGACTTGTAGTCTAAGAGGAGGGCATGGACCTTAGATTTCTGGCCCATGAGGGCCTAATGGGGTCTCTCCCTTCCTCCATATCTCCCTCTCACCCTGGTAGGTGAAAGGAGGCCGAGAGAGGCACCTGAAGAAGGTGGGTGGAGACGCCTGCCTCCTCCGAGGATCGGACCCAGGCGGCCCGGGCCTGCTGCCCCCCAGGGTTCTGAATCCGAGCCAGGCTTTCTCATCCTGCCACCCTGGGCTCCCTCCCGAGAACTGGGAGGTGTGCCGGGGACCTCCTCCCTCCCCTTCCCACCTTCCCTTGCCCCACCCTTCACCCTGGAGCCCAAGACCTGTCCCTTCCTGCTCACCTTGTTCTGCCCCAGCCCCACTTGGCCACGGTGGGTGTCCGGACACCTGGGATGAGTTGGGTGGGAGGGTGGGTTGAGTCCAGGCCACAGGAGCCCCTGACTTCCCAAAAACCCTTAGGGCTCATCTGACCTACTTGCCTCATCTTTCCAAGCCTTACAGGGGAGAGAACTGAGTTCAAATTTCTGTCCGACCGTTTACTCTTTGTATGATCCTAGCAGCTTGTCAGCCACCCTGAGCCTTAGTTTCTTTATCCATGTAGTGGAGATGCTGCTGCCTGCCTTGCCCCCTTATCCCGCAGAAGTGTATAAGTC
The DNA here is from genome assembly GCF_000001405.40 of Homo sapiens. NCBI lineage: Eukaryota > Metazoa > Chordata > Mammalia > Primates > Hominidae > Homo > Homo sapiens. The sequence continues at coordinate 30,929,029 of NC_000016.10, forward strand.
TTACGAGGTTCTGAAAGGCAATGAGCTTTGTAAGCTATAAAATTTACCCAGATTGAAGGGAAATAAGGCCCAGAGAGGTTTGAAGACTTGTCCAAGTCACACAGTAAAGCCAGAATTGAGGTATTACTTGGCACGGACACTCAACACAGGAGTCCGCCTGATTGGGTCCAAATCCTGCCTCTGCTGTTTGTCAGTTTGTAACCTTGGACAAGTCACTTTGTGCCTTTAAGCCTCGGTTTCCTCATGTCTGAAAAGAGTGGCCCAGGTCACCACTGTGTTAGAATACTGTGAGGATGGAATGAGTCAGCCGATGCGGGGTGCTGCTCGTGGGGCCAATCACTGTTACCCTCAGTTGATAGACAGACGCCTGCTCCAGCTGGTCCGTGTAGTGGATGATGAAGCAGGGGCTTCCCACAGCCATCCAGAGTTGAGGGCAAGCCAGGATTCAAAGCAGGGTCTCTCATTTCTCCATTCCCTACTGCTTTTGGAACTGCCTAAGCCATGCAAACCCATAAGGGCTGGAAATTATTTTATTTTATTTTATTTTTGAGACAGAGTCTCGCTCTGTCGCCCGTACTGGAGTGCAGTGGCGTGATCTCGGCCCGCTGAAACCTCCACCTCCCAGGTTGAAGCAATTCTGCCTCAGCCTCCCGAGTAGCTGGGACTACAGGCTTGTGCCACCATGCCCAGTTTATTTTTGTATTTTTAGTAGAGACAGGGTTTCACTATGTTGGCCAGGATGGTCTCGATCTCTTGACCTCGTGATCCTCCCGCCTCGGCCTCCCAGAGTGCTGGGATTACAGGCGTGAGCCACTGCGCCCGGCTGGAAATTATTTTAATTAGCACTCTTCTGTTACCAATAAGAAAACTGAGGCCCAGGGCCTGGCAGTGGCTTTAGCAAGGTCTCTCACTGTCCGGAGCAGAGCCAGGGCTGGAACTCAGGACTGTCCCTCGGGCTGTTCATCCCCTGGTGACTCCTCGGGGTAGGGGGGTGGGAAAATGTATCCCAGGCCCTAGAACAGCATCAACCCTGTCTCCCTGCAGAAACCAAAGCCGCCTTTGGCCTCTGCAGAGGGCCCAGCGGTGCCGTCCCCGTCCCCGCAGAGGGAGAAGCTAGAGCGTTTCAAGCGGATGTGCCAGCTGCTGGAACGGGTGCCTGACACCTCCTCTTCCTCCTCGGACTCAGACTCCGACTCCGACTCTTCGGGCACATCGCTGAGTGAGGACGAAGCCCCCGGCGAGGCCCGGAATGGGCGACGGCCAGCCCGGGGCAGCTCTGGCGAGAAGGAGAACCGTGGGGGGCGGCGGGCTGTGCGCCCTGGCAGTGGGGGGCCCCTACTCAGCTGGCCCCTGGGCCCAGCCCCACCACCCCGGCCTCCACAGCTGGAGCGGCACGTGGTGCGGCCCCCGCCTCGAAGCCCTGAGCCCGACACACTCCCCTTGGCTGCTGGATCCGACCACCCCCTGCCCCGGGCCGCCTGGCTTCGCGTCTTCCAGCACCTCGGGCCGCGGGAGCTGTGTATCTGCATGCGAGTCTGCCGAACTTGGAGCCGCTGGTGAGTGGCCTGGACAGGCCTGCGTTCCGTGGCCAGCAGGCTTCCCGCTTGCTGGGTGACCTGCGGTAGGTCTCTGGCCCTCTCTGGGCCTTGCTTTTATATTGGGGATACTTCTCTAGTATGCACAGATTACAGTGCATCCTTCCGTATTTCCCGTGTGCAGGCTACTTTCCACTTATGGGCTCATTTAACCCCCTAGACAACTTTGAGGTAGAGGTTATTTTCCCCTTTTTCAGATGAAGCTGAGGCCCAAGGTCATGTGGAAGAGAAGTGGTGGTAGAACTAGGCATTGGAACCTAGGCCCTTTGGCTCCAGTGCCTTTCCTCCTAATAGTAGCGACTATATTGAGTGTCTAGTGTGTGTCAGCCATAGCACTGAGTGCTGTACTGCATTGTCACTTCTCATACTGCCACTTCCGAAAACAGTCTGACGATTGGTTCCATTCACTTAGGAGAACGCCATGTGCTGGGCTGCCCCTGCCCTCGAAAGACAGCCAGGCTTGAACCTCCTGACTCGGTTCCTGCTTTCCTTCTGCCCTGGAGCCACCACTAATGCCCTCTGCCCATCCCCCAGCCCCCCAGCCTCTATTAGAAATGTCGGTCATCCTCCCGAGCCTCTTGTCTTCCTCTCTGATCTCGCCCCCAACAAAATTCCTCCTCCTCTCTATGAAACTCCCACAGCACTCTGTTCCCCTCATAGAGCAAGCAGAGGCCTTCGGCGTGTTGACAAGCCTTCATTCATTTACTCATTTCATGTTCCCATCAGTTGCTGGGGTGGGAGCAGATAACTGTGTCTGTTTTATCTTCACGTCCCTAGCACGGGACAAAGGGCGGTATAAGTGCCCAAGAAATGTTGCAGTAAACGAGGCTATCAGGCTCTTTCCCAGGGACTCGCTGTGGCTGGGACCAGGCTCCCTGTTGGGCACTGCACCAAGGTTAGCTGATTTGACCTTCATAATGGCAGCCCTGTGAGAGAAAAGGGATACCTGAAGTTACAGTACAAGTTCATGGCTGAACTCAAACTCTAGTCTTCTTTTGGGACCAAGTCTGGGCCACTGGTGCCTTCTGGTATCTGCAGAGATTGTGCAGCCAAAAGTACCAGAGTGCAGGCTCTGGAGGCAAATTGCCTGTGACAGAATCTTTTTATTTTTATTTTTTTTTAAGACGGAGCCTCACTCTGTGGCCCAGGTTAGAGTGCAGTGGCATGATCTTGGCTGATTGCAACCTCTGCCTCCCGGGTTCAAGCGATTCCCCTGCCTCGGCCTCCTGAGTAACTGGGATTATAGGCACCCACCACCACACCCGGCTAATTTTTTTTTTTTTTTTTTTGTAATTTTAGTAGAGACAGGGTATCACCATGTTGGCCAGGCTGGTCTTGAACTCCTGACCTGAAGCGATCCGCCCGCCTCAGCCTCCCAAAGTGCTGGGATTACAGGCATGAGCTACCGGTTATGGTTATAGCTGAAGAGCTATAAACCATTAGGCCAGTCACTTAACTTCCTGTGCCTCGGTTTCTTCATCTGAAAAACCAGATAATCAACGCTCTTGCATAGTGTTTTCTTGAGCTAATACACATGAAGAACTGAGCACAGTACCTGGGAAATAGGAACTACTTGAAAGAGCTCTCATTGTAGCCAGTATTTACTTAGTTGCAAATAGTTGCTGAACGCACAGCCTGTCAGGCCTCAGAATGTAGATCTGTGCCCTTGAAGAGCATATAGTTAAGCTGCAACATAGAAGCAGATAGTTACAGAAGTTGCAGGGGATGACACCTGCCTCATGTACTAATCAAGGAAATGTTTGCTGAGGCCCCTTCAAGGCCAGCTCTGTGCCTGGCATGTGGGAGCCAGAACTGAAAGGGACCTGATTTCTGCTTCAACGGGAGACGTGTGGCCCGAAGCAGACAAAGCGAGAGGCAATGGCTCCCAGTGTGGGCCCTGGACTCTGCATCCTTGAGTTTCACTGGCTGCGTGGCCATGTGTGGAGAGCGATACCTCTTGAGGCCCTGGTTTTCTCATCTGTAGTCTGGGTTTGTATGAATACTCACCTTTTGGGGATTAAGTGAAGTGATTCCTACAAAGCCCGCAGCACAGTGCCTGGAGGGTACTAAACACTCAATCAGATGGCACCTCCCAATGAAAAGGACACGAGCCGGGCAGAGCAGGGGCCTGTGGGGGCACAGCAGGACCACTCAGGAGGCTCTGCGAGGTCTGGGCACAGAAGCAGGGGTAGTGGGGAGAGATTTGCAATGATAACTTTTTTTTTTTTTTTTTTTTTGACAGAGCCTTGCTCTGTCACCCAGGCTGAAGTGCAGTGGCATGCTCTCGGCTCACTGCAACCTCCACCTTCCACGTTCAAGTGATTCTCCTGTCTCAGCCTCCCAGGTAGCTGGGACTACAAGCACCCACCACCATGCCTGGCTAATTTTTTTTTTTGAGATGGAGTCTTGCTCTGTCACCCAGGCTGGAGTGCCTTGGCGCAATCTCAGCTCACCACAACCTCCACCTCCCAGGTTCAAGCGATTCTCCTGCCTCAGCCTCCTGAGTAGCTGGGACTACAGGCATACGGTACCACGCCTGCCTAATTTTTGCACTTTTTTAGAAGAGACAGGGTTTCACCATGTTGGTCAGGCTGGTCTCGAACTCCTGACCTCAGGTGATTCGCCTGCCTCAGCCTCCCAAAGTGCTGAGATTACAGGCATGAGCCACTGCGCCTGGCCTAATTTTTGTATTTTTAGTAGAGACGGGGTTTTGCCATATTGGTCAGGCTGGTCTCAAACTCCTGACCTCAGGTGATTCACCCACCTTGGCCTCCCAAAGTGCTTGGATTACAGGTGTGAGCCACCTTGCCAGGCCTTATTTTTGTTTGTTTTGTTTTTCTTTTTTAGAGAGGGTCTCTCTCTGTTGCCCAGGCTGGAGTACAGTGGTGCAGTCATAGCTCATTGCAGCTTCAACCTCCTGGGCTCAAGCAATCCTCCTGCCTCAGCCTCCTGAGTAGCTGGGATTGCAGGCACATGCCACTGTGCCTGGCCAATTTTTAAAACTTTTTTGCAGGAACCAGGGGCTCGCTGTTACCCAGGCTGGTCTTGAACTTCTGGCCTCAAGTGATCCTTCCACCTTGGCCTCCTAAAGTGTTGGGATTACAGGTGTGAGCCACTGCGCCCGGCCAAGAACTTTTTTTTTTTTTGAGATGTAGTTTAGCTCTTGTTGCCCAGGCTGGAGTGCAATGGCATGATCTCGGCTCGCCACAACCTCCACCTCCTGGGTTCAATCAGTTCTCCTGCCTCAGCCTCCCGAGTAGCTGGGATTACAGACATGCGCCACTATGCCTGGCTAATTTTGTATTTTTAGTAAAAACGGGGGTTTCTCCATGTTGGTCAGGCTGGTCTCGAACTCCTGACCTCAGGTGATCCACCCGCCTCGGCCTCCCAAAGTGCTGGGATTACAAGCATGAGCCACCACGCCCGGTGTAAGGACTTTTTAAGAAGTGGAATGGCTTGGGCCAGGCATGATGGCTCATACTTGTAATCACAGCACTTCGGGAGCCCAAGACGGGCGGATCACTTGTCAGGAGTTCGAGACCAGCCTCGCCAACATGGTGAGACCCTGTCTCTACTAGAAATACAAAAAATTTAGCCAGGCATGGTGGCATACATCTGTAGTTCAGCTACTTGGGAGACTGGGACAGGAGAATCGCTTGAACCTGGGAAGTGGAGGTGCAGTGGGCCGAGATCACACCATAGCTCTCCAGCCTGGGCAGGAAGAGTGAAACTCCATCTCAAAAAAAAAAAATGGCCGGGCACGGTGGCTCACGCCTGTAATCCCAGCACTTTGGAAGGCCGAGGCAGGCGAATCACCTGAGGTCAGGAGTTTGAGACCAGCCTGGCCAACATGGTGAAACCCTGTCTCTGCTAAAAATACAAAAATTAGCTGGGCATGGTGGTGGGCGCCTGTAATTCCAGCTACTCGGGAGTCTGAGCCAGGAGAATCGCTTGAACCCGGGAGGCGGAGGTTGCAGTGAGCCAAGATTGAGCCACTGCACTCCAGCCTGGCCAACAGAGCAAGACCCTGTCTCAAAAAAAAAAATGTGGAATGGCTTGGACTTGACTAACTGGCAGTGGGGACAGCAGGGTAACCCTCAGGTGAGTTTCTGACCCAGGAGCCTGGATGGGCAACAGCATCATTCCCCAGGCTCAGGAGGAGCAGTTTCCAGGAAGGTAAAGAGCTCAGATGACTGACGTGTGTGGTGTGCTCAGGACGTGTGGGTCTGATGCTCAGGAGAAAGATACACGTTTGGGAGTTCTCAGCCTGTAGGTAGCAAGCCAAGCAGCTTTGATGAAGAGGGCAAAAGATCATACATCAGTACTTGTGAGTTAGAGCAAGAGCCTAGCCAGATAATTGGAGGAGCTCATGGCCAGAGGTGTGCCCCCGAGTAGAGAACGAGGCAGGAGGGAATGTGGTAAGCCAAGGAGGATGCTGGTGAGAGGCCGTGGGAGATCAAGGACCAGGAAGTGGTGGTTGGATTTTGCTACCAGGAGGCCTTAGTGTCCTCAGCTGTGCTCTGGGGGTTGGGGGTCCAAAGCCAGATTGAATGGAGTCGAGAACATCAGCTTCCAGGCAGGGACTTGATTCGTTTGTTCCTGTTGTGTTCCTGGTGTCTAATGGCACCTGGCGGACAGTGGGCAGTGAGATCATCTTCGCTGAATGAGTGAAGGACAAGAGAGCAGGATGCAGTGTGGAAGGATGTACAGAGGGTGGCGCTGGAGAGGCGTGTGTAGGGGACAGCAGGAGGCTGCAGGCTTTCCTGTCTGGTGGCTTCCATCTTTTCTTGGAACTGAAAGGGAAGTGATCCCTTAAGAGTGAAGAGTGAAGAGTGGAGAGAGGGCAGCAGGGAAGGCGTGCAGGGGTTATTGAGATGCAAGGAAGAGGGTTGGGGCTTTTGAGGACATGGACAGAGAGAAGGCAGCAAGGAAGGGACTGGAATACAAGGTGATCATGGTCGGGTAGGGTCTGGAGGTGGACAGATTGGAGGGCAGTGGTAGCATCGGGGCCCAGAGAGCTACAAGAGGTCGGAACTGGCAGTGCTTGGAGCCCTAGGGGCCGTGAGCCTTCAGAGGGCAGTAAGGGCTGGTCCAGCTCCCTGTTCCCGGGGGCTTCTGCAAGAGGGAGGGTTAGGATTGGAATTGAGGGTTTGCAGGTCGGCCTAGTAGGAGAGGACTCATTGCGGGGTGGCTGGAGTCCAGGAGGAAGTGAATGGGTTAGGGGACTTTGGCATCAAGCCACATGTCTCTGGGACGACGGCACACCTTGGCTCTTAGAGCTTTCCCTGCCTCTTGTCTCAGTGTCATTCTCCAGCTTAGAAAGAACCCACCTGTGGCTCCCTGTCGCCCTCACAACAGACGCCCACCATCGCAGTCCTGTTGGACATATGGACATGAACTGGGCCTACCGACTGCACCAACCACTTCCCTGAGCTGTGTCCCTTCCTTGTCACAGCAACCTCTGAAGGAAGCGCTGTTCTTCACCCCACTGTACAGTTTGGGAAATGGAAGCCCACACAGGGCGAGTGACTTGCCTGAGGCCCCCCAAAGCCTGGAGGTGGCAGAGCTGGGATTTAGATCCCCATAGCTCACATCCTCAGCTCTGGGCTCTGTGACCATGATAGTCTATGGCCTGGCATTCCAGCCCTCCTTGACATGACACCCATCCCTCCTTTGCAGCTCCACTCTTGCCTCTTCTCTCCTCAGAATTCAGGCTTTCCACCCAGACGGGCTAGGTGGAACCCCGCCTCTACTACCTACCACTTGGTAGTTGTGGGACCTTGAATACATTTCTCAACCTTTCTGGGCCTCATTTTTTTTTTTTTTTTTGAGACGGAGTCTCACTCTGTCACCCAGGCTGGCGACAATCTCGGCTCACTGCAAGCTCCGCCTCCCGGATTCACGCCATTCTCCTGCCTCAGCCTCCTGAGTAACTGGGACTACAGGTGCCTGCCACCACGCCTGGCTAATTTTTTTTCTTTTTTTTTTTTTTTTTTTGTTTTTTAGTAGAGACGGGGTTTCACCATGTTAGCCAGGATGGTCTCGACCTCCTGACCTCATGATCCACCTGCCTCAGCCTCCCAAAGTGCTGGGATTACAGGCGTGAGCCAGCGCGCCCGACCTTTTTTTTTTTTTTTGAGGCAGAGTCTGACTCTGTTACCCAGGCTGGAGTGGAATGCTGTGGTCTCGGCTCACTGCAACCTCTGCCTCCTGGGTTCAAGTGATTCTCCTGCCTCAGCCTCCTGAGTAGCTGGGACTGCAGGCGCGTGCCACCACACCCAGCTAATTTTTGTATTTTTAGTAGAGACGAGGTTTCACTATGTTGGCCAGGCTGGTCTTGAACTCCTGACCTCGTGATCCGCCCTCCTTGGCCTCCCAAAGTGCTGGGATTAACAGGCGTGAGCCACCGCACACGCTTGCCTCATTTTCTTTACTGTAGAAAGGAGATGATGATGGTAATGTTGACCTCCTAGGGCTGGCGTGAGGTTCAGTGCTTAATGCATGGGACAGTGCCTGGCACACAGTGAACCCTGGATGATGGCTGGTTAGTAGTGCTGAAGTCACTGTGATCAGCGTGACTCTGGTTATGATGATGAGTTCCTGTGGCCTGGGGTTTCCAGAGCTCTCCGTCTTGTCTCTTGTGGGCCTGGACACAGGTTCTTGCCCATCTGGAACACACACCCTCCTCCCCCTCCCCTTGCTGAAATAACTACTGCTTTCCTCGGAGTCTCAGGTCAGGCATTGTCCCCCCAGGAGGCTCCCCCACCCAGTCCTTGAGGTGACTCTTACCATGCCCCTTGTCACCTCAGTTACTGCGGACTGTCCATGTCTCCCTGACTGTATGGCAGGAACCTGTCATCTTTGCCTCCTCCGTGCCCAGTGGAAGCCAGATACTTGGGATCAGTAGGGCCCTCAGTGACTGTTGGTTGTCCCTCTGAGGTTTAACCCCAGTGTCCTGGTTGTACAAGAGCAGGGGGACTGATGAGCTGTAGCCAAGGAAGGTGTGGGAGACTTCCTGGAAGAGGAGGCACTGGAGCCGAGCCACGAAGGCTCTGGGTTGGCATTTCTGGCAGAGGCACAGCATGTGCCACAACGTGTTGGCATCAGACAGCACTGTGTCTATAGGTGGGCAGGTGTGTGGCCTGGCTGTTGTGGAGTATGATACAGAAACACAACTGGGGTCCTGTGGGTGCCCCCAGGGAAAGGGGCTTCCTTCCAGCTGTGGACCGTGGAAGGGAAGTGGCTTCAAGGAAGTGGTGACAGTTAAGCTGGGAGGCAGTCGTGGCAGGGTCACAGTGGGCAGAGAGAGGTTTTGGATAGAGCAGATGTCACCGATTTTCTTGCTCACAGAAAGAGCAAAGGGGCAGGACCTAGGGGTAGAAGCTGGGTCGGGCATGAGTTGGTTTTTTTCCTTTTCATGTTTTGAATTGGAGAGATTTGCAGATGTTTATTAGTTGAGAGGAAGGAATCAGGAGAGGGAGAGGCTAGAATGCCAGAAAAGCAGGATGAGGGTAGGAGGGAACAGGAGAGCGAGTGGCAGAGGGGTGAAGGTGTTCGGACTGAAGCCTTGGTGTCTGTGCCCTCAGCCTTCTCTAAAACGTCACACCAGGGCTGGGCCCAGTGGCTCACGCCTGTAATCCCAGCACTTTGGGAGGCTGAGGCAGGAGAATTGCTTGAGCCCAGGGGTTCAAGACAAGCTTGGGCAACATAGTGAGACCCCCATCTCTATTAAAAAAGAAAAAATTAGCTAAGCATACCTGTGGTCCCAGCCACATGGGAGGCTGAGGCAAGGGGATCACTTGAGCCCAGGAGTTTGAGGCTGCAGTGAGCTATGATTGCATCACTGAGCTCTAGCCTGGGCGACAGTGAGACTTTGTCTGAAAAAAATAATGAAATGACACACTGGGCCTCTGGAGTAGGTCTGGCATTTTTCAGTGACACAAAAATATGGCTTAATCCCTCTGTGAGTTTTGGAAAGGAAGTCTTTCCATTGGAAGGAAGTCTCTCCATCGGGTGCTTTTTTTCTTTTTTGAGATGGAGTCTTGCTCTGTCGCCCAGGCTGGAGTGCAGTGGTGCAGTCTCGGCTCACTGCCAGCTCCGCCTCCTGGGTTCACGCCATTCTCCTGCCTCAGCCTCCTGAGTAGCTGGGACTACAGGCGCCTGCCACCACGCCCGGCTAATCTTTTGTATTTTTAGCAGATACGAGGTTTCACCGTATTAGCCAGGATGGTCTCCATCTCCTGATCTCGTGATCCGCCTGCCTCGGCCTCCCAAAGTGCTGGGATTACAGGCGTGAGCCACTGCGCCTGGCCACTATTGGGTGCTTTTTCTAACACTTCTCTGATACTTATCTCCCTGTTTAACAAAAGTAGTCTTCAGGTAGTAGCCTAAAGCCACAGCAACACCTGGCTAGGATTTAATAACTCTGGTCTTTTTTGTGTTTTATTTATTTATTTATTTATTTTTGAGACAGAGTCTCGCTCTGTCACCCAGGCTGGAGTGCAGTGGCGCAATCTCGGCTTACTGCAAGCTCCGCCTCCCAGGTTCATGCCATTCTCCTGCCTTAGCCTCCCAAGTAGCTGGGACTACAGGTGCCCGCCACCACGCCCGGCTAATTTTTTGTATTTTTAGTAGAGATGGGGTTTCACCGTGTTAGCCAGGATGGTCTCAATCTCCTGACCTCGTGATCTGTCCACCTTGGCCTCCCAAAGTGCTGGGATTACACCACACTTGGACTTTTGTGTTTATTTTTAAGATTAACATATTTATGTGAAACAATACTGGGGTTTTTTTTTTTGTTTTTTTTTTGAGACGGAGTCTCGCTCTGTCGCCCAGGCTGGAGTGCAGTGGCACGATCTCGGCTCACTGCAAGCTCCACCTCCCAGATTCACGCCATTCTCCTGCCTCAGCCTCCCGAGTATCTGGGACTACAGGCGCCCTCCACCACGCCCAGCTAATTTTTTGTATTTTTTTTTTAGTAGAGACGGGGTTTCACTGTGTTAGCCTGGATGGTCTTGATCTCCTGACCTAGTGATCCACCCACCTCGGCCTCCCAAAGTGCTGGGATTACACGCATGAGCCACCGCGCCCGGCAACAATACTGGTTTTAAGTGCAAAGAGGAGATGATTCAAAGATAAATCATGTTACGCAGATAAGTGAACAGCAAATACTGGAGCTTGGGAATCACTGCCCCAGCCCAGGGCTTCTACAAGGAAAAGCCTTTCAGAGTCATGAGGGCAGGGAGGGAGGCAAGAGAAAGCTTCCCTTGGGAGGCCAAGGGAAGGATCGCTTGAGCTCAGGAGTTCAAAACCAGCCTGGACAACCTTGTCTCTACTAAAAATAAAAAAATAGGCCAGGCACAGTGGCTCACGCCTGTAATCCCAGCACTATGGGAGGCCAAAGTGGGCAGATCACCTGAGGTCAGGATTTCGAGACCAGCCTGGCCAACATGGAGAAACCCTATCTCTACTAAAAATACAAAAAATTAGCCGGGCGTGGTGGCGCATGCCTGTAATCCCAGCTACTCTGGAGGCTGAGGCGGGAGAATCGCTTGAACTTGGGAGATGGTGGTTTCAGTGAGCCAAGATCACACCATTGCACTCCAGCCTGGGCAACAAGAGCGAAACTCTGTCTCAAAAAAAAAAAAAAAGTCAGGTGTGGTGGCATGTGCCTGTAGTCCCAGCTACTCAGGAGGCTGAGGTAGGAGGATGGCTTGAGCCCAGGAGTTTAAGGTTGCAGTGAGCTGTGATCGCAGTACTGCACCCCAGCCTGGGTGACTAAGCAAGACACTGTCTCAAGAAAAAAAAAAAAAAGCTTCCTGGGCCTGCTGCTTCTGACACAGTCTATTGAGTCTCAGAGGCATTTCTGGACATGCCTTTGAGAACTACTGAACTCAGAGAAGAGAGTTCTCAAACTGAGTCCAAAGGAACTTCAGTGTACTACAAAATGTTACTAGATTACCTTGGGAGAGGTGGGGAAGGATTCCTGGGGAAGTACGTTTGAGAGGCCCTTCTCCAGTTCACTGCATGTTTTTTGTTTGTTTGTTTGTTTGTTTGTTTTTGAGATGGAGTCTCTCACTGTTGCCCCAGCTGGTGTGCAGTGGTGCGATCTCGGCTCGCTGCAATCTCCGCCTCCCGGGTTCAAGTAATTCTCCTGCCTCAGCCTCCCGAGTAGCTAGGATTACAGGCGCCCGCCACCATGCCCAGCTAATTTTTTGTACTTTTAGTAGAGACAGGGTTTCACTAGTAGAACAGCCAGGCTGTTCTCGAATTCCTGACCTCATGATCCACCCACCTCGGCCTCCCAAAGTGCTGGGATTACAGGTGTGAGCCACTGCACCCAGCCCACTGCATGTTAGATAGTCTGTTGAGGCCTGTGGAGTGCTCGGGTTAGGAAACCTGTTTAATGTTGCTTAGGACTCGTTCATCTTTGTAGCTTCAATACTTGGGACCTATAACGCTTTCTATAATCAGAGTGAATAAATGAAATGCTGTAGATGAGGAGGTGGGGGAGAGTGGTCAGTGGAAGCTTTAAGTAGTTACTAGCTTGATTCATTCATTACAAATGGGCAGCTGGGTGCAGTAGCTCATGCCTGTAATCCCAGTGTTTTGGGAGGCCAAGGCAGGAGGATCGCTTGAGGCCAGGAGATCAAGACCAGCCTAGGCAACATAGTGAGACCCTGTCTCTACAAAAAAATTGTTTAAAAATTAGCCAGGCGTGGTGACATGTGCCTGTGGTCCCAGCTACTCAGGAGGCTGAGGTGGGAGGATTGCTTGAGCCCAGTAGGTTGAGGCTGCGGTGAGCCTGAGTCCAGCCTGGGTTACAGAGTGAGACCCTGTCTCAAAAAAAATTTTTTTTCAAAAAGTGGAAAACGCAAATCTGCCCTTGTGGAATTTACATTGTAGTTGGAGGAACACAGTAATGTAATAGGGAAGATATTAGGGCTGTAAGTCCAGCTGCGGGCAGCTGGCTGTCAAGATGGGACAGGTGTGGATCAGAAGCAGAGATGAGTAAAGGAGGCAAGGACCCATGAGCACCAGAACTCAGTCAGGAATCAAGAAGCCCAAGGGTGGCTGGAGACGACTGGATAACACCAGTCCCCTTGGCATGACATCAGGCAGCATGCGTGGCATTTGTGTATGTGTTGGGCAGCACACTTTCTATGCTGGGAGGCCCACAGCTGGGATGAGCCCATGTGACCTGACAGCTGCCCTGTGGGCAGGCAGAGTGGGGGGGCTATTGCCTTCAATCATAAACGAGGCTTCTGAGGCTCAGGGAGAGGAACAGACTTGCCCAGGGTCTCATTTCCAGTTAGTGATGGAGTTGGGTTCCAATCCCAGTGCTCTTGGCTGAGGTCAGGTGCTTCTTGCTACCCTGTTGTCTGTGTGGCCAGAAGAGAGCTGGGGTGCACCCTTGGAGCTGGGGAGCCTGGGAACTGTGGGCTGCTGAGAGCTGAGGGCTGAGGTCTCTGTCTCCCCCCTATGGCCGCCAGGTGCTATGACAAGCGTCTGTGGCCTCGAATGGACCTGAGCCGGCGGAAGTCACTGACCCCGCCCATGCTCAGTGGTGTGGTTCGCCGCCAGCCCCGTGCCCTGGACCTCAGCTGGACAGGTGTCTCCAAGAAGCAGCTCATGTGGCTTCTGAACCGACTACAAGGTAGGGTGTGTGGTACGGAGGACAGGGTGGGGACAGGGACAGGCCTGGGATGGAGTCCTCACAGCACCTGCTTCCTGACTGCCCCCTCTCCGCAGGCCTGCAGGAGCTGGTGCTCTCTGGCTGCTCCTGGCTCTCTGTCTCTGCCCTGGGCTCAGCCCCACTGCCAGCCCTGCGGCTCCTGGACCTCCGCTGGATCGAGGATGTTAAAGACTCCCAGCTCCGGGAGTTGCTGCTGCCTCCACCAGACACCAAACCAGGTGCAACCTCTGTTTGCTTTTCTGGAGAATGGGCTGGGCAAGGGTAGGGTAGGAGGCCTCTCAGGTCTCTTCTGACTCATGCTGGATGGTAAAGTATTTGAAGAAAGGAAAGAATACATGAGTTTGAATAGGAAGGCCCTGGTTGGGCATTATTCATTCATTCACCCACCTGCTGTGTACTTTGAACTGAGTCTTGAAAGGAACAGGGTTTTCCCAGGGAGTGTGAGACTCAGCAGTTTGGTGGGGCAGGAGGCCCATATTGGCAGAGGGGGATGCTGGGAGCAGAGGCCATCTCTCTTCATCTACTTAAATCTCATCATCCTTTAGGCCTGGGTATAAATGCCACTTCCTCCAAGAAGCTCTCCCTGATCCCACCCCACATTGAGCTCAGAGTCCCTCTCAGCTTTGAGAGCAGCCCGCCAGCATAATACTGGGCAATTGTGGAGTGCCTTGATGCACATCTGTGCCCTCCTGCCAGGGTCTCCAGCTCCCTGAGGGCAAGCGCTGGCTGGTCCCCCAGCACGTTCTCAGTGGCTGCTCCATAGATAGCTGTTGAATGAATAACTTGAATGAGCAATCAGGATGGGAGAGGTCTAGTTTGAGGAAAGATTTTCAAAAGGAGATTTGCAGTCCCCTGAAATAAGATAATCCTTTTGTTTGTTTTTGTTTTTTGAGACCATCTGGCTCTGTCACCCAGACTGGAGTGCAGTGGCAAGATCTCGGCTTACTGCAACTTATGCCTCCTGGGTTCAAGTGATCCTCCCCACCTCAGCCTCCTGAGTAGCTGGGCCTACAGGCGTGTGCCACCACGCCTGGCTAATTTTTTTGTAATTTTTTTTTTTTTTTTTTTTTTTTTGAGGTGAAGTCTTGCTCTGTCGCCCAGGCTGGAGTGCAGTGGTGCTATCTCGGATCACTGCAAGCTCCACCTCCCGGGTTCACGCCATTCTCCTGCCTCAGCCTCCCAAGTAGCTGGGACTACAGGCGCCCGCCACCACGCCTGGCTAATTTTTTGTATTTTTAGTAGAGACGGGGTTTCACTGTGTTAGCCAGGATGGTCTTGATCTCCTGACCTCATGATCCGCCTGCCTCGGCCTCCCAAAGTGCTGGGATTACAGGTGTTAGCCACCGCACCCGGCCTGTAATTCTTATAGAAACAGGGTTTCATCATGTTGTCCAGGCCGATCTCGAACTCCTTGTCTCAAGTGATCTGCCCACCTCTGCCTTCCAAAGTGTTGGGATTATAGGCGTGAGCCACCACACCTGGCCAAAAGAATCTTTTCTTTTGGAGTTCTTTCACCCCTCTCTTTCATAGTTCCCTTCTTCCCACCATGCCCCCTCCACAACAGCCCTGAAAGGGGAGAATAGAGAAGCAACTAAGATTCTTCCCGTATTCTAGATGAGGCACTGGAGGCCCAGAGGGATTGACTGCTGCAGGTCACCCAGTCAGGCCAGAGCACTCAGCCATTGTCCACTCTTACCAGAATTGGACTGAGTTGGAGAGCTATGGGTGGGGGGTAAGGTGGGCATTGGGAATGGTGCATCCTGGGAGGTGAGAAAGTGCTGGCTGGTCCATTTCCTCCTGCTGGAATTCAGTTCAGTTCAGCCCTTTATCAGGAGCTCAGGAAGGTGGGCCTTTTTTTTTTTTTTTTTTTTTTTTTTTAGTTTTTAAATTTTTTTTTTAACTTTTAAGTTCATGGGTATATGTGCAGGTTTGTTAAATGGGTAAACTTGTGTCATGGGGGTTTGTTGTACCGATTATTTCATCACCCAGGTATTAAGTCTATTTACCATTAGTTATTTCTCCTGATCCTCTCCCTCCTCCCTCTGAAAGGCTCCAGGGTGTGTTGTTCCCATGGATGTGTCCATGTGTTCTCATCATTTAGCTCCCATTTCTAAGTGAGAACATGCAATTTCTGTTCCTGCATTAGTTTGCTAAGGATAATGGCCTCCAGCTCCTTCCATGTTCCTGTAAAGGACATGATCTTGTTCTTTTTTATGGCTGCATAGTATTCCATGGTGTATATGTACCACATTTTCTTTATTCATTCTTTCATTGATGGGCATTGAGGTTGATTCCATGGCTTTTACTATTGTGAACAGTGCCATACACCTTCAAACTCTTGCCCAGCTTAAATGCCACCACCTCAGTGAAATCCTCACTGATGCCTACTCCTCCCTGCCCAAGCCAGAAGTGACTTCTCTTTCCTCTGCTTTCCTCTATGGGCCTTTCCTCCTTGTGCCTTTAGCTGTGGCCCAAGGTTGAGGGCATCTGTAAAGGTATCCCCTCTCCAGGCGCTTGGCTCCTCAAAGACAGGAGGAGGGGTTAAAATTTAGGGCTTGCAAAGTCAAGTGCCCATAGAGTTGGCCTGGGAGGTAACAGAAGTGATGCATTGGTGTAGGACATTAGGGAGTGGCACCTAGCCACCCAGCTCCCCTCAGTCATCATCTGGTGGGAAGGAGTGCCTAGTGAGGCCACATCTTACGATTCTTCAAGGAAAAGCTCAGTATGTAAATTTATTTATAAAAATGTCCTTTTTGTAGTGTTAGTCATTAAGGAAGTTTTTAGCATTCTGTAGACTCCATAAAACATGTTTGGAGGGCAGCCTCATGGTTTGTGCCATCTGATCTATTAATAGTTTATCTTAGGGATAGGCTGGTGCCTGGGAGGCAGACAACACTGTGGTAAGAGTTCAGATTCAGCATCACCAGGCCTGGGTTTCCTGGCTGTAAACAGGAATGATGATCAGAGATCTTGTCTCCCAAGGCTGTGGTTCTTAAAGTGTGGTCGGGGGACCAGCAGCATCCACAAAACTGGAGAACTTGTTAAAAAAGTAAACTCTGGGCCGGGCATGGTGGCTCACACCTGTAATCCTAGCACTTTGGGAGGCCGAGGTGGGCAGATCACTTGAGGTCAGGAGTTTGAGACCAGCCTGGCCAACATGGTGAAACCCCATCTCTACTAAAAAAATACAAAAAATTAGCCAGGCGTGGTGGCAAATGCTTTTAATCCCAACTACTTGGGAGGCTGTGGCAAGGAGATTGCTTGAACCTGGGAGGTGGAAGTTGCAGTGAGCCGAGATTGCACCACTGTACTCCATCCTGGGTTACAGAGTGAGACTCCATCTCAAAAAAAAAAAAAAAAAAGTAAACTCTGGTCAGGTGCGGTGGCTCAGGCCTGTAATCCCAGCACTTTGGGAGGCCAAAGTGGGAGGATCAAGGCTACAGTGAGCTACAGGGAGGTTGAGGCTGCAGTAAGCTGTGATTGTACCACTGCACTCCAGCCTGGGTGACAGAGCAAGACTCCGTCTCGGGGAAAAAAAAAAAAAAAAAAAAAAAAGGAAAACGTATGTATGTCAGAAAAATGCATATAATATGTCAAATGGTGAGAAAAAGAGGAAAAAATGATGCAAGGAAGTGGTAGGAGTGTGGAGAATTACATTAGTTTTTGCATTGCTATAAAGAAATACCTTCGGCTGGGTAATTTATAAAGAAAAGAGGTTGAATTGGCTCAGGATTCTGCAAGCTGTACAGGAAGTATCGTGCCTGCGTCTGCTCAGCTTCTGGGGAAGCCTCACGTAGCTTTTACTCTTGATGGAACGTGAAGGAATCGGCATGTCACATGGCAAGACAGCAAGAGAGAGGAGGGGAGGTCACAGACTCTTTTATTTATTTATTTATTTATTTTGAGATGGAGTCTCGCTCTGTTGCCCAGGCTGGGGTGCAGTGGCACAATCGTGGCTCACTGCAACCTCCACCTCTCGGGTTCAAGTGATTCTCCTGCCTCAGCCTCCTGAGTAGCCGGGATTACAGGCGCCTGCCACCATACCCGGCTAATTTTTGTATGTTGAGTAGAGACAAGGTTTTGCCATGTTAGGCCAGGCTAGTCTCGAACTCCTGACCTCAAGTGAGCCGCCTGCCTCGGCTTCCCAAAGTGCTAGGATTACAGGCATGAGCCACCACGCCTGGCAGAATATTGTAGTCTCAAATACAATAATCATGGAAGGCCTCCGAGGAGGTGATGTGAGGAGTGGACAGATGAGGTCAGGCCATGAGGGTGTTTTTGAGAAGAGCAAGCCACAGAGTGCACCAGGTCACTCACTTATGTGGGAAGCAGGTGGAGGGCAGATGGTCTGGATACCTGGGCGCAGGGATGGGAGTGGCCAGGAGTGCTGACCTCTCATCTGGCTGCCCAGGGCAAACAGAGAGCCGTGGTCGGCTGCAGGGGGTGGCAGAACTGCGTCTGGCAGGTTTGGAGCTGACAGATGCCTCCCTGCGTCTCCTGCTGCGTCACGCACCCCAGCTGAGCGCCCTGGACCTGAGCCACTGCGCCCACGTCGGGGACCCCAGTGTTCACCTCCTCACGGCCCCCACGTCCCCACTCCGCGAGACCCTGGTGCACCTCAATCTTGCTGGTAAGCACGGTCCCCCATCCGTCCTGCCAGCCTGTGGATCCCCACGGCCAGTGCCAACCCCTTGCTCACCTGCCTGGTCTCAGCTCCACTGCCCCATCCCCAGGTTGCCACCGCCTAACGGACCACTGCCTCCCGCTGTTCCGCCGCTGCCCTCGTCTACGCCGCCTAGACCTGCGCTCCTGCCGCCAGCTCTCACCCGAAGCTTGTGCCCGGCTGGCAGCTGCCGGGCCCCCTGGCCCCTTCCGCTGCCCTGAGGAGAAGCTGCTTCTCAAGGACAGCTAGTTGGGCGCCCCCCACCCTCCCCCGGACTCGACAGGAGCCTGGACCTCCGGCTTCATTTCACCCCTGCTGGGAGGCCAGGTTCCCACCTCACCACCCTGGGATTCCTGAGTGTCAGTGACTTGGGATTCCCACCCAGGGACTCAAGCCAGCCACCCCCTTCTTTCCCCCCTGCACTGATATCTCTGGGGGTTTCTCCTTCCTATGTCCTGCCCCTGCTACCTGCTTCATTGTCCATCCCCTGGGGGAGTGGGTCAGAGGTACTGGAGGGTGCTGAGCCGAAGGGACGGTGGGAGGGGGGTTATGGTGCAAGTGTTGGGGGGGAGAATGGGGAAAGGACACACACAGGATATGGGAGCCAGGGGCTGGGGGAGGTGGAAGGGGCGGGGGGCGGGGCAGACAGCAGACCACCAAGGGTTCAGGGAACAAAGACCAGTTACTTGGAGTGGGGGGTGGGGGTGGGGCCACAAAAGGAAAACCGGAGGAGCAATTGGGGATCCAGGTGTCAGAGGTAGGGGAACCAGGGGCAAGCTGGGGCTGAGCTGGAGGTGGGGATGAGAGCAGGTGTGGGGACAGCAATACCCCCTTGGGGGTCACCTCTCTGCTTCCCCCCTCCCCAGGCTTCAGTTCCTTCCCCCTGACCCTGACTCCTTGAACGTCACTGAAAACGGCAGCTATTGCAAGGAGTGGGGGCCGCGGGCAGCCGCTCTTCAGCTCGCGGCCCAGGGGAGTGGCGAGGGGCGCCCCAACCCCCTGCCCGCCTCTCCGCACAATACTTGAACATTCATCTGTACTGAAGTGTTACTTGAACCGGGGGAATCTCGGACCTGGGGGAGCCGGGGTGTGAGGGGACTGGACCAGCTTGGACTGAGACCTGAGACCGGGCCGGTGGGCGCCCATTTGGGACTGCGCCACCCCCAGGCTTGTTCTTGTTTTACTGTATTGAGCGGCGGCACCCGCCGGACCCGCATTATGGCTGGGGGCGCCAGCCCAAGAATGGGGACCATGGGACTCCTCCAGCCTGGCTCTTCCCACTCTTTCATCGTCATGGAAACTTGTATCCCATTTGCCCAGGGAACTGCCACTCCTGGTTGCCATGGAAATAGCAGCCAACGGACACCTCCCGATGCCAGTGCTAAGGCTGGAAATGGCCCCCTCTTAGTTGCCATGGGAACCTAGTAACAGACTCTGCTGGCCCTCCTTCCCTGCCCCTTCCTCGAGCGCGGGGTGGGGCTTCGGGACCCCGGGGATGAGCCGGGCCAGGTCCCGCCCCTCCGCGCAGGCCTCCGGGGGGCCGGGGCTTACCATGTAGGGGAGGGGAGATCTATCCACATACCTCAGGTAACAGGGAGGTGCGCGGGTGGGGGGAGGGCTGGGCGGACCAAAGGCCGGAGGGGTGGGGCCTGGGGATAGCGAGAGGCTTGAGAATGGGGCCGCTTGGGGGAGGGAAGAGGCAGCCCGGCGAGGGGCAAGCGGGGGACCCAGCCGGGCTGGGCCCCTGGGCCCCGGGTCTGTACAATACGGTTTGCTATAAAACTCAAAATCTTCCAGCCGGGGCTGCGGAGTTCGTGTGTGTATCTGCGGGGTCCCTACCTACAGATGAGTGGGCTCACCTCTCCTGGACTCATTTTGGGAGGGATTTGGAAGTGTGGACACCTGGGGTGTCCAGCTGTACCTTGGAGGGGGCTGGGGTTGGCGTGCACCTCGGTGGGGTCCGGGCGCTTGGATAACGTTCTTGGTGGGTAGGGGTCGCGGGGAATCTCTGCGGGCCCGGGACTGCGGGGACTTGGTCCCCGGCTCCACCCCATCATGTGGCTAGCCCCGGCTCCGCCTCTGTCCCAGTTCCTGTTTTGGCCTCCGCTGTCCCGCTCCGGCTCCTGGGGCTCCCCGCAGACGCTGCTTTTCTTGCTCCACTGGGGGTGCCTCTTCCTGGGCGCCCGCCGCCTGCATCCTGCTCGTCCTGTCTGGGAATGGGGCCGCCCCCGGGCTTGGGCCGGCCCGGCTGGGGCCCCCGAGGCGCTTCCGCCCCGTAGTGACCGCCTGGTGCCGCCCCCCCCCCAGGATGAAGGGCGGCGAGGGGGACGCGGGCGAGCAGGCCCCGCTGAACCCTGAGGGCGAGAGCCCTGCAGGCTCGGCCACGTACCGGGAGTTCGTGCACCGCGGCTACCTGGACCTCATGGGGGCCAGTCAGCACTCGCTGCGGGCGCTCAGCTGGCGCCGCCTCTACCTCAGCCGGGCCAAGCTCAAAGCTTCCAGCCGCACGTCTGCCTTGCTCTCGGGCTTCGCCATGGTGAGGGGCCGGGAGGGGTCACACCCGGTGGGGCAGAGCAAGTGGGGGGCACAGGTCGGGGGGGGGGCGAAGTAAACAGGTCCCAAGGGAGACAGGTTAAAGGGGGCTTTCGTCAAAGGGGGAAGGAACAAGGTCCCGCGGGACTGAGCAAGTCCCTTCTTACGGATGTGTGTGTACAGGGGACCCCAGGAGACGGGGCCACCGGAGGACACGAAAGTCCTAAAGGTGTCGTAGTGGGAGTGGGGTGAACAAATCGCTGGTGGGGTTGACTGCAACAGTGAGGCAGAGTGGTCCAGATGGAGCCTGTACCTGGCAGAAGTGGTTCCTAAGTCCCAGTGCCAGCTTCAAAGGCAGGTCAGCTGGGTGGGGGCTGCATCAACAGGTGGGGGGCTCGAGATGGATTAGCTGGGTGGAAGGGTCACCCAGCTGAAGGTGGGCCCGTCCCAGGGAAGGTGGCCACTCTCCAGCGGGCCCAAGGGGTGCTAGTGTCAACCAGGAAAACTGACAAGAGATCATGCCCGGGAGGGAACCGCTGGGGAAGGAGGCTGATGAGGAAACTGATAAGCGAGTCTCAAGCTGATAAACCCCAGGTGCAGGAGGACGGTGTTGGCTAACGGTCTGCCCCAGCAGTGGCCTCACAGGAAGTGGGATGGAGGGAGGTCCCAGGGTGAGGATCAGCAGACACAGTCCTGGCTCCTCCCTGCTTGTGGCCAGCTGTGTGACCCTGGACAGGCCTCCACCCCGCTTGCAAGCCAGTGGGAAACTGAGATCATGGAGGGTGCGCCCTCTGTAGCCAGCCAAGTAACCGCCCCAGGGTGAGCCAGGCATGTCAGAGCAGGTCACGTACCAAGGATGGCTCAGACTAGCCTGCTAATTGGACAGGTGTGGAAAGTAAAAGCCTTGCCTCTGGGCAGGAGCGAATGAACTGGGACCCAGGGTTGCTGCTCTGTTAGTCTGGGGTTGCCCCACCATCACCCCAGGAAAAAGGAGAAAGTGAGCTGCAGGAGGTACTTTGGGGAACGCACTCCTGTGGGGGTGGATATCAGAGGCGGTTGGGGTGGGGACCATGGCGCTAGGGGATCTGGGCTAGTCCCTGCCCTGTCTGTGCCACAACCTCCATATTTGAACAATGACAGGGAAACTCTCTAACCCTAAGGGTCATCATAAGCCTATGGTCTTCTATGTGGGGTCCCAGAATCCACAGACCAGCTTACCTTTCATGATGGGGGCATCACCTAGGGACAGGATGTTGGCTCCCCTTCATCTGCACAGCCTGCAGAGGGAAGGGAGCAGCCACCCAAGCTGAGGGAGGTCAACCCCATGGTCCAGCCTGTTCCCAAGGAGACAATCCCTCCACGGCAGAATATGCAGGTGCAGGTTGCTGGGGTGACAGCTTAAGGGCCCGAGCCTTCTCTGCAGGAGGAAGGGGCTGGAGGTTTAGGTTCCGGGGGCAGGACTGGCCGCAGTCCTAGCAGGGGTGACCGAGGCTGGGCCAGGCTCTGGGAGAAACCAGGACTAAGCCTGGCCCAGATCCCTGTCTGTGGAAAACACCTCCTGACACCTGCCATGGCCCAATTTCCCAAAATACTCAGCCCTGTTTTCCTACCTCCACCCGCCAGCCTCTACACCTACCTTCTTCTTTCCCCAGGCCCAGAGCAATCGAATGGACCCTACAAGAACCAGGGATGGGGAGAGAGTGGGCTTCTGAAACTCAGGTGGCCTAAGTTAGAATAGCATTATACAAATTGTATCCAGCTGTCACTAAGCACCAGGCACTGCCCTCAGTGCCTTTATATACATCATCTGTTAGCCTACAAAGTGGGTACTGCTACTCTGGCCATTTTACAGATGAGGAAACTGAGGATCAGAGATGTTAAGACACCTGCCCAAGGTCCCACAGCAAGTAAGTGGCAGGATTTGAGCCTAAGCCGTCTGGTTCCAGACTCCAAATTTATAAATTCCTAGAATAGGGTCATCAACTCAAATGTTTGCAAAGGGCCAGGCAGGTAATATGGATGCCAAATTGGCTGG
The DNA here is from genome assembly GCF_000001405.40 of Homo sapiens. Classification (NCBI taxonomy): domain Eukaryota; kingdom Metazoa; phylum Chordata; class Mammalia; order Primates; family Hominidae; genus Homo; species Homo sapiens. Next base: position 30,951,549 of record NC_000016.10, read on the forward strand.
GTAGGGACTAGCAAGCAAGAGACCCCATGACATTGGGGGTGATGGCTCACACCTTTCATCCCAGCACTTTGGGAGGCCAAGGCAGGAGGATCGCTTGAGCCTAGGAGCCCAGGAGTTCGAGTCCAGCCAGCCTGGGCAACATAGCAAGACCTGGCATCTACCAAAAAAAAAAAAAGAGAGACCCCATGACCTTTCCAAGGGGAGCAGCCATGACTGATTTGAGCTGATAGTTGCCATGCAGGAACGCAGGCCAAGTGTGGCTAGTTCTTCCAAGTTTTCAAGGGGATCTGGAAATAGGGATATAAGAAATCTCTTCAGTTTTACAAGTTGGCAGCATCTTCCATTTTTTAAGAAACACACTGTGTGAGCCAAGCAAAACACGTCTGCAAGCTGGCAGTGGTCCACAGTGTGCCGATTTGTAAACTCTGTCCTCAGACTTTAGCATTCACTATAGCAAGAACAGCAAACACATACCTAGTGCTTACTCTGTGCCTGGCACTGTTCTTTTTCTTTTTCTTCCTTTTCCTTTTCCTTTCCTTTCCTCTTTCTTTTTCTTTCTTTCTTTTCTTTCTTATCTTTCTTTTTTTTTTTTTTTTGAGACAGAGTCCCACACTGTCACCCAGGCTGGAGTGCAGTGGTGCGATCTCGGCTCACTGCAACCTCTGCCTCCTGGGTTCAAGCAATTCTCCTGCCTTAGCCTCCCAAGCTCCTGAGTAGCCGGGATTACAGGCGCACACCACCACGCCCGGCTAATTTTTATATTTTTAGTAGAGACAGGGTTTCACCATGTTGGCCAGGCTGGTCTTGAACTCCTGACCTCAGGTGATCCGCCCAACTCGGCCTCCCAAAGTGTTGGGATGAAAGGCGTGAGCCACCACTCCCAGCCCATTTCATGTATATTTCATTTAATGTTTATACCAACCCTATAAGGCAGGGAGGTGCTGTTATCAATCTCTATTTCCAGATAGGAAATTGAGGCACACAGAGAACTGACTTGCTCAAGATTACACAGCTAGAGCAGAGAATGATCCCAGGCAGCCCAGCTCCAGAATCTGCTGTTTGATCCCTATGCAGTAAACCTGTTAGAAGCATGTCATCCAGCCCTTTTTTTTATTTTTATTTTTAATTTTTTTTTGAGACAGAGTCTTGCTCTGTTGCCCAGGCTGGAGTGCAGTCACATGATCTCGGCTCACTCAAACTTCTGCCTCCTGGGTTCAAGCAGTTCTCCTGCCTCAGCCTCTCAAGTAGCAGGGATTACAGGCATGTGCCACGATGCCCGGCTAATTTTTGTACTTTTAGTAGAGACGGGGTTTCGCCATGTTGGCCAGGTTGGTCTCAAACTCCTGACCTCAGGTGATCCACACACTTTGGCCTCCCAAAGTGCTGGGATTATAGGCATGAACCGCCGCGCCCGGCCATCCAGCCCTCTTGATAGGGAGGTGGGGAAACCAGAACAGAACAGAGCCTTTGCAAAGCTGTCCATTCGTTTACTCAACAGAGACTGAATGTCTCTGGTTTCTGCCAGGCACAGTTCTAGGTCCTAGGGATATGTATCAGTGATGTATCCCGATAGGCGGAAAAAATCTCTACAGTTGAGGTTATGGGGAGATCAGTACATCCCCTCTTGTCCCTGCAGGTGGCCATGGTGGAGGTGCAGCTGGAGAGTGACCACGAGTACCCACCAGGCCTGCTGGTGGCCTTCAGTGCCTGCACCACCGTGCTGGTGGCTGTGCACCTCTTTGCACTCATGGTCTCCACGTGTCTGCTGCCCCACATTGAAGCTGTGAGCAACATCCACAACCTCAACTCTGTCCACCAGTCGCCACACCAGAGACTGCACCGCTACGTGGAGCTGGCCTGGGGCTTCTCCACTGCCCTGGGCACCTTTCTCTTCCTTGCTGAAGTTGTCCTGGTTGGTTGGGTCAAGTTTGTGCCCATTGGGGCTCCCTTGGACACACCGACCCCCATGGTGCCCACATCCCGGGTGCCCGGGACTCTGGCACCAGTGGCTACCTCCCTTAGTCCAGCTTCCAATCTCCCACGGTCCTCTGCGTCTGCAGCACCGTCCCAAGCTGAGCCAGCCTGCCCACCCCGGCAAGCCTGTGGTGGTGGTGGGGCCCATGGGCCAGGCTGGCAAGCAGCCATGGCCTCCACAGCCATCATGGTACCCGTGGGGCTCGTGTTTGTGGCCTTTGCCCTGCATTTCTACCGCTCCTTGGTGGCACACAAGACAGACCGCTACAAGCAGGAACTAGAGGAACTGAATCGCCTGCAGGGGGAGCTGCAGGCTGTGTGAGACTGGTGTTAGCCACCGCTCACTGCAAGCACTGCCTCCCTCCGGGGTCTGTAAGAGGCCGCAGGGGCCTACAGACCTCATCCCCCCATCCCCTGGCTGGAGCCACTTCCAGTGGCCACTCTCAGGCAGAGTTCAGATTCCTGCCCGCAGGGTCCTCTGGGCTGGGCCTTGGGGCAGCTCCCACATTCCCAGGGATTTTCCCCATCAGTCTGTCCCTTGGGTTTTGCAAGCTACTCTGCACCTGGGCTGGCCTCAGTTGAAGGATCATGCAGTAGATAGAGGGGAGGCAGGGAGAGCTTGTGGGACCTTCAGTGCTGACTTTAGCCACCATTTCCATTCCTATACAGGATGTGAAGGTCAGAAGGCAGCCAATTGTTGGTTTAATTTTTTTTTTTTTTTGAGACAGTCTGTTTCCCAGGCTGGAGTGTAGTGATACAGTCACAGCTCACTGTAGCCTCGACCTTCCAGGCTCAAAAGATGCTCCCACCACAGCCTCCCAGGTAGTGAGTAGCTGGTACTACAGGTGTGTGCTGCCACACCCGACTAATTTTTTTGTAGAGACGGGGTTTCGCTGTTCCCAGGCTGGTCTCAAACTCCTGGGCTCAAGTGAACCTCCCGCCTCGGCCTCCCAAAGTGCTGGGATTCCTTTCTTTATTTCTGTAGAATCTATTTTATGGTTGGCATTTTGGGGGAAGATTTCGATGGGTTCCACATTCTTGCTTTAGTTGTTGTAGAGGGATTTGGGTGTTTCTACCCAAGGCATTGGTCTAGCTTTTCCTACAATGAACCTATCTTTGGAGGTTCAAGCTCCCCACCTTCCCCCACTGTGGTGACCTGTGGCCACTTGCAGAAGGGATGGTGCCTGACCCACTGCCCTAGCCCCACGCTATGCACCAAACTTGTTCTCCCCGTCCTGGTCCAGGGCTGGGGTCTTTAGAGACTGACAGCCTCTGCCCCAGGCCTGAGTCCTTAGCAAGGGTTGGGTAAGGAGGTTTTAAGGGAGAAGGTCCAGTCCTTAGCCCTTGAAATACAAAGCTCTTCTGACACTGAATTTGGATGCACCTTGTTTTATATAATAAATCGTGTTTCACAGATGTCCCTGTTGCTGTGAAGGGGATGCAGGGCAGGCCTTCTTAGGATAACTTTACTTGTTCCCAAGAGCCGGGTGGTGGCAAGTTTGGGTGGACAGGACCTGGGAGGGGAGTGGGTTTCAGGTGTAACCCTGTCAGATGCTAACAAGGGCCAACAGCTTCTGAATGGGGAGAGTTATTCCAAGGCTACAGGCTTTGAACTCTTGTCCCTGAGTTCAGAGTCTCTATCTCTTCCACTGAGTATTTATTTATTTAGAGACGGAGTCTTGTGTTGCCCAGGCTGGAGTGCAGTGGTGCGATCTCAGCTCACTGTAACCTCCGTCTCCCAAGTTCAAGCAATTCTCCTGCCTCAGCCACCAGAGTAGCTGGGATTACAAGTGTGTGCCGCCACACCCGGCTAATTTTTATATTTTTATTAGAGACGGGGTTTCGCCATGTTGGCCAAGCTGGTCTCAAACTTCTGACCTCAGGTGATCCACCTGTCTGGCCTCCCGAAGTGCTGGGATTACAGGCATGAGCCACCACACCCAGCCCTCCCTGAGTGTTTAGTATAAGCACTCTTTTTTTTTTTTTTTTTTTGAGACCGAGTCTCGCTCTGTCTTGCACTGTCGCCCAGGCTGGAGTACAGTGGCATGATCTCGGCTCACTGCAAGCGCCGCCTCCTGGGTTCACGCCATTCTCCTGCCTCAGCCTCCCAAGTAGCTGGGATTACAGGTGCCCACCACCACGCTCGGCTAATTTTGTTTTTGTATTTTTAGTAGAGATGGGGTTTCACCGTGTTAGCCAGGATGGTCTTGATCTCCTGACCTAGTGATCCCCCTGCCTTGGCCTCCCAAAGTGCTGGGATTACAGGTGTGAGCCATCGCGCCCAGCCGAGACAGTCTCACTCTTTTGCCCAGGCTGGAGTGCAGCTGTGCAATCTTGGCTCACTGCAGCTTTGACCTCCCAGGCTCATGAGCCTCCCACCTCAGCCTCCCAAATAGCTGGCACCACAGGACGTCCCACCAACCCAGCTAATTAATTTTTTTTTTTTTTTGTAGAGAGGAGGGTCTCACTATGTTGTCCAGGCTGGTCTTGAACTCCTGGGCTCAAGTGATCCTCCCACCTTGGCCTCCCAAAGTGCTGAGATTACAAGTGTTAGCCACTGCACCTGGCCTCAAGTTTCTTTCTTGAGCAACTACCACATACTAGGGGACTTTCATAGGTTATCTTATTTAACTCTCACAACACCTTAAGCGTTAAGTCTTTATCATTTTCATTTCAGAGATAAGGAAACAGGCCCAAGAAGGCTGAAGATCTTGCCCAAAACCACACAGCTAGTCCATGAAACTGAACTTGGACTATCTACCCCTCACACGGGAATCTCTCTTTGATTTGAGAAAAGGAACCAGTGCCTTTCAACTGGAACAGAAAGGAATCTGATCTCAACACCTATGCCTCCACGTAAATTATTTTTTTCAGCCTTATTTCCCTCAAAATTGTAGAGTCCTAATCTTCTTCTATCTTGTGGTGTGAGACCTTGGATAAGTCTCCCTTCCACCTTTTCCTATTACTTAAAATGGTGAATTTGCATAAACCAGGCTCTAAGGGTCTTTTCTGCACTGTTCGGATGTGTACAAATTGACATCCAAGTTTAAAGGAAGACTCTGAAACTTAGGTCAATGACTTGCCCAAGGCCATATAGCGAGGGCCTGATGTACACATATCAGGAGCTTGGGGCATCCTCAGCTCAGGAAAAGGGACCTCCTGGGAGTGCCTGCGCCCACACGGGATCAAAACGGTGCCCAGCCTTCAGAAACCTCAGCCCGAGTTCCAGGGGTAGGCCTGGGCCGCTGCTGCCCTTGTGCGGAGGCATCCCGTGAGCATAGGGCGCCATAGCCAAAGAAGCGGGCAGTGGGACCATGACGCCAGGAGGACACACCAGTCCAGTCCCGTTCCTGTAGGACCTCGTTTATTATTACAAGGCCCATTTAAGGGCACTTAGGCCCCACTAGGCTCATCAGAAAACCTTGAGGCGGTCCCTGGATTTAACCACTAATGGTGGGTTTGAGTACGGCAAAGTAGGGCACCTTCTACAGGCCTCACTCTCCCCATCTGGCAAATGGGCATCCTAAGCAGCCAGACACCCAAGGGCAATAACGGGAAGGAAAGGTACCCTGCATTTATGTGCGAGGCGGGGCAAACCGCCTGAGTCACCGCTCACGGTTGTGTTTTTCCACCTCCCGGCCGTCCCTCCCATCCGGGTGAGTCCTCGTGGGTCCTCCCGGAGGCGCCCCCTAGTCCCAGGCTCTGCACGCCCTGGCCCCGCCCCTTGACTCGGCCCCGCCCACAGCGGAATCCGCAGATTCGCCAGGTCGGATCCTCAGAATTCCTCGGGTCCCTCGATACTCGGCTGAAAATTCTCATCGGACTCTGAGAGGAGCGCTGGGCTGGAGGCATTTTCCCCAGGGACAGAAGCGGGCTATTCTCTCACTTGGGCCAGTAAGAAAAATCCAAAAAAAGTTGTCGACTCTGCCAGCAGGGATTGGCTAACGGGCCGTTATTTTCTTGACTCCACCAAGGCGGATGAAGGGGAGGCTACGGCTGAGGCCGGGAACAGTGGCGAATCTGCAGCCTCTCAGAATTTGGCAGTGCAAGGAAGGGACGGGGAAGAGAAGCAAAGCGGCGCGCATCCTGTCCAGCGATTCGCCCCGCCCGCCCGGTGAATCTGCGTCTGCAGAACGCGCCACTGAAGGTTCCCCAGCGCTGGCTGGCCTCCTCCCCTCCGCCCCGCCCCTTTTCCTCAGGGACTAGTCGCAGCTTTCGTCGCCGCCGATTCGTCAAGGTCCCGGGCCGCAGCATCTAGATCGTCGTGGCGAAGCCGACTCTCCGGGGGATGCGGCCAATCTCCAAGCTCCCTGGGCCGCAACTTCCGAGCCTCCCAGGGCGCCGGCCGAGGCGAAGCCGCTACCCTCGGCCCCGTGGGTCCCCCGGCAGCGCCTGTGGCGAAAGTGCGAATGCAGACCCTGTGCCCGCTGGGCCTCGCGCAGGTGGCAGTGGTGTTTGGTGCGCGCGCCGGGGAGGTGGTGGTGGGGGGGCGCCGCCGCCGCCACCGCTGCGGGGCCGGGTCTCGCGCTGCCGCTGCCGCCGCCTCGCGCCGCTGAGGTGCCGCGCGAGGTGGGGGGAGGGGGAGCCGCTCGCCGGGAGCGGGTGAGTGGGGCCGCGCGGCGCGCGTGCGCGGAGACCTGCTGGGGGGGGTGCAGAACGCGCCGGGGCGGGAGGAGAGGGCAGCGGTGCACGTTCCCCCCACCCCCCCGCCCGGATTCGGGGTCGAAGCCGGGTCTCGGGCTCGGTCTCGCGGTGTTTCCAACGCCCCGAAGAGGTGCCACCTTTCGGCCGGAGGATCGGGGCGCGGGGAGGAGAGCGGGTGTGTGGGAGCCGTGGCCGGGCTCGGCCCGGGCCGCTGGCCGGTGAGGAGGCGGGAGGGGGCGGGGCCTGCAGGGGGCGGGGGAGGGGTCTTGCTCCGAGGCCAAGTGGGGCGCGCGCTAGGGAGAGCGGGAAGGTAAGGGGGCTCGAGACGGGCCTGGGGGCCTGACAGTAGAGTTGGGAGGTGGAAAGAGGCTGGGTTGTTGTGGCGAAACAGAGGGTACTTGGGGGAGAATCCGGGGGAGCCCCGGGTCAGGGTGAGGGTTGGAAACTGGAGTGATGGGAGAACCTGGAATCGGGGCTAGCCAATGAGGAAAGGCAGGGGAGTCAGGCCCCAAGTCCTGATCCTTCTTGCGTGTCCCTCTTCCCCTAACAGTGTAAATGAGCAAAGATGGATCAGGAAGGTGGGGGAGATGGGCAGAAGGCCCCGAGCTTCCAGTGGCGGAACTACAAGCTCATCGTGGATCCTGCCTTGGACCCTGCCCTGCGCAGGCCTTCTCAGAAGGTGTACCGCTATGATGGAGTCCACTTCAGTGTCAACGTGAGTGCCCGGGTCTTTGGTTGCCATCCGGGGAGCTCCAGGCGCCCGTCCTCTGTGATTCTGTTCAGCACCTAGAACGGTAGCCTGCCTTCTTGAAAGTGGGCAGTTGGACCCAGCTCTTCTGCATGTGTGTGTCCAGATGGGCTGCTTGGAGCTCCCTAGCCTGGATTCACCCTGAGCTCTCTTTCTGCTGCTGCTTTCCTTCCTAGGACTCAAAGTATATACCAGTCGAAGACCTCCAAGACCCCCGTTGCCATGTCAGGTCCAAAAACAGAGACTTTTCCCTCCCAGTCCCTAAGTTTAAGGTAAGTGTCTGCTGGGCTCCTGGTGTGGTAGTCCTAAGAGGGTGTGGAGGATGCGTCTTGGCACTATAGCTGAATAAAAGGGTTTCCAATGAAAGGATCTCAGCCAGATCTAGCAACCTCTGAGGCTGTGAGACTCAGTTGTTTTGGATAGGAGGTACACTTAATCTTCCAGAAAGGTGCAGGTCAGGTGTCCTAAGTGTATCCCTGGTGGCTGGGGTGTCGACTTCTTGAAGGGTGAGGTAAAGACTCTTTAGCTGCTATACCTATCACTGTATATTCGTAGACAGTGCATCATAGCACACAAGAGTGGGATCTCCCAGTTCCTTGACAGTCAAGGGGAGTGACAAGGCCACTGCCTACCTGGGTAGCACTATTCCCCGCCTCTCATTTGGCGATGTCATTTCCCTCTTGTTTCCTTCGAGGACTCCTATTCTCCACCCTAGACAAGATATTCTTCAGGCCTTGAACTGGGCCTGGAACACTGGTGGTTCTTCATTTCCTTCTCTGATTCTTTATTCTTCCTTTCTAAATAAATTGTTTGTGGGGTCCCTTCATTCTTCTTCTTCTTTTTTTTTTTTTTACTTTGTACACTTCACTTGGACAATCTCTTTCACACCCACAGCTTCAACTATTACCTAAATGTTGATGACTTCCAAGTATCTGTTTCCAGCCAACATCTCTAGGCTTGTATGCCTGGTAGGGGGACAGTTTCATTTGGAGGCCACACATGTTTCAGATTTAAGGGATTTAAAACAAATTATCTACCTCCTTAACCTACCTTTTTCATTTTCCCTCTACTCATATGTGGCAGTACCATCGACTCAGCTGTACAGCCTGGCAGCCTGTGATTCTCTCCTTTTCTCTCTCAGTTGGTCACCGAATCCTCCTGGCTCTTTTCTTTTTTATTCTTCATCTTTCTATTCTCATTGCCACTTAATGTAGACCTTGGTATTCATTTCACCTGGTCTCCTTGCCTTCGTTCTTGCCTCAGTTTCTCCTCTGCCTTGCTGTCATTTGTCTCTTTGGCTTCACTACGCTGCTGTTTTCCTTTTGTTGCCAAGTCCATGTTTTGGGACACTGACATGTATGGTTATTGACCTGGCCAAGCCTTATCCTCCGCCTTGACACCACACCCCTGTGTTACATCCACACCATAACGCTTTGCGGTTTTTCAAAAACACCAAGTTGTTTTATATTTCCATGTTCCAGGGGTCCTTGTCATTTGATGAATTGTTAATCCCCAAATCTCAGTAAGAATGACACCATCTTTATGAATTCTTCCCTGATCATACTCTGTACAAAAGTTTCCTTCCCTGGGCTCCAGAACACCATGTATGCGTCAGCTGCCACTGGGTCGTGTTGTGTTTGTATGTGCATGTCATGCTGCTTTTCTGTATGGGAATCTCTTCCTTTCTATCTCTGTATTTCCAGTGCCTCGTTCATGGTAGTTACCTAGTAAAGGCTGAGCTAGGAAATCATCGCCCTGTAGCTCGTTCTCTCCACGTATATTTATTCCTCAGTGTGTACATTTCTTTCTTTCTTTCTTTTTTTTTTTTTTTTTTTTTTTGAGACGGAGTCTCGCTGTGTTGCCCAGGCTGGAGTGCAGTGGTGTGATCTCGGCTTAGTGCAACCTCTGCCTGCCAGGTTCAAGTGATTCTCCTGCCTCACCCTCCTGAGTAGCTGGGATTACAGGTGCCCACCATCACATCCAGCTAAATTTTTTTTTTTGTATTTTTAGTAGAGACAGGGTTTTATCATGTTGGACAGGCTGGTCTTGAACTCCTGACTTCTGGTGATCCGTCCACCTCATCCTCCCAAAGTGTTGGGATTATAAGTGTGAGCTGCCACACCCGGCCTAGTTTGCACATTTCTGTTCTTAATTCTTGCTGTTATTCTGTGGTGAGAAGAATTCAGGGAAAAGGGGTCAGGTCTGATGGATCCCTTATTTTGGGCCCCTTCCCTTGCCCCTCACTTTCCCGGATCTCTCTCTTGACTTCATGGAGCTTGCTAAAGTTTCCCGAAGGACAAAGGAACAGTGGTCAGTGTTGAGACCCCATACCAACTCCTGTTCTTTCCCCAGCTGGACGAGTTCTATATTGGACAGATTCCACTGAAGGAAGTGACTTTTGCAAGGCTGAATGACAACGTGCGGGAGACCTTCCTGAAGGATATGTGCCGTAAGTACGGTGAGGTGGAAGAGGTAGAGATCCTCCTTCACCCCCGTACGCGCAAGCACCTGGGCCTGGCCCGTGTGCTCTTCACCAGCACTCGGGGCGCCAAGGAAACGGTCAAAAACCTCCACCTTACCTCCGTCATGGGCAACATCATCCATGCCCAGCTTGACATCAAAGGTGAGGACTCCTCTGCCTGCCACTCAGGCTTGGCCTCCAGCGGAGGTTGTACATGCAAATGCCTGTCAGGGTCAGGCAGGCGCCCAGGGTCATGATCTGAAACTGCTGGGGCCAGTTGTGTTTCTGAAATCAGATCAGATTTTAGAGTGGAATTATGGTACATGGATTTTTGTGTGTGTGGTGTCTCCAGCAAGGTCGGGCAATAGGCCATAATCAAGCACATAACTATCTGTAAAAAAAAAAAAAAATCATATGAAGGGTTGTACTAGGTAAGATGAATAGATTGTAGTAAATCAGCCCAGGTCAGGTTGGTTGCTTGGTTGGTTTTTGAGACAGGATCCTGCTCTGTCACCTAGGCTGGAGAGCAGTGGCGTGATCTTTCCTCACTGCAGCCTCCAGCTCCTGGGCTCAGCCACCCCAGCCTCCTGAGTAGCTGGGATTATGGGCATGCACCACCACACCTGGCCAAAGTTTTTTTGATTATTTGCAGAGATGAAGTCTCACTACACTGCCCAGCCTGTTTTTAATTTTTTTTTTTTTTTTTTGAGATGGAATCTCAATCTGTCGCCCAGGCTGGAGTGCAGTGGCACGATCTTGGCTCACTGCAACCTCCACCTCCCAGGTTCAAGTGATTCTTCTGCCTCAGCCTCTTGAGTAGCTAGGATTACATTTATGCGCCACTACGCCCGGCTAATTTTTGTATTTTTAGTAGAGATAGGGTTTCACCCTGTTAGCCAGGCTGGTCTTGAACTCCTGACCTCAAGTGATCTGCCTGCCTCGGCCTCCCAAAGTACTGGTATTACAGGCATGAGCCACCATGCCTGGCCTCTTTTTAATCTTTCTATATGCTATTCTATAACCCATATAGGTTTTGGTGCCAGATTCTCAGAAATACTGGATTTTCTGGGTTTTTAGGTTTGGAAATTTGAGATAGAGAGTAAAGGAGCTGTGAACACAAGCGAGGTGGTCTGGGCTTCTGTGTTGAGTGATGGGGAGCAGTGGGGTCTGTGGCGAGCTGCAGATTGCAGTATTGTCTGGAGGAGGCAGCCATTAGTAGGCACTGGCCAGTTTGCAAGTGGAAATGAGGTTTAACATTCTTGAATTTGGTTTGTAAAAGAAAGCCAGGGCCGGGCATGCGGTGGCTCACGCCTGTAATCCCAAGACTCTGAGAGGCCAAGGTGGGCAGATCACCTGAGGACAGGAGCTCGAGACCAGCCTGGTCAACATGGTGAAACCCCATTTCTATTAAAAATAACAAAAATCCGGACGTGGTGGTTCATGCTTATAATCCCAGCTACTCGAGAGGCTGAGGCATGAGAATCACTTGAACCTGGGAGGTGGAGATTACATCGTGCCACTGCACTCAAGCCAGAAATTTGGGTTTTTGTGTGAAATCTCATGGTTTTTAAATACCATGTTTCTTTCCTCACAAGGTGTTTCTGAGGTGTTCACTCCACAGCTCCTGCAGGCTCCGTTAGTCCCCCGGTTGCTGTTCTGCATGCTTTAGTTTACAGGATAAAGAGCATGGGGTGATCGAGCCTCTGGGTTTGAATTCCAATTTTTCCAATGACCAATTCTGTGACTTTGTGTAGGTCGCTTTTAAGCCTCTAGAACAGAGGTACTGATGCTTCCCTTCTGGTGATCCAACATGGTAAAATAAGTAGAAGTGTTTTTGATAAATCGTGAAGTGTCATAAAATATGTTGTTTGTGGTAGTTTAGAGGTAGAGATAAGGTAGAAGGTCCCAAAGGTAGAGTTATGGTAGGAGAACTGAAATCCTGAAACCCAGATTCCAAGAAATTGTAGGAAACTTGAGGCCTGAGAAAGCAGGAATACCAGATCAGGAAGGAGTTAGTATCTCCATCTGACAATTGGTTCCCATTTCCCTCCCTCCAGGACAACAACGAATGAAATACTATGAACTAATTGTCAATGGCTCCTACACCCCTCAGACTGTGCCCACTGGGGGCAAGGCCCTGAGTGAGAAGTTCCAAGGCTCGGGTGCAGCCACTGAGACGGTGAGAAGTTTGTGGCTACCACAGCCCCTAGCCATGTGGGCATGGTGTCCGGGTGCCCGGAGCAGGAGCAGTCTTCGGGAGGTTCCGGGCTTTCCCGTTAAACAAAGAAGAGCCAAGCAAAGCTGCTGAGATGCTTTCAAAAGACAGGGAACTAGGGGCCAGGCACAGTGGCTCACGCCTGTAATCCCAGCACTTTGGGAGGCCGAGGCGGGTGGATCATGAGGTCAGGTGATTGAAACCATCCTGACTAACACGGTGAAACCCCATCTCTACTAAAACTGCAAAAAATTAGCCAGGCATGGTGGTGGGCGCCTGTAGTCCTAGCTACTTGGGAGGCTGAGGCAGGAGAATGGCATGAACCCGGGAGGCGGAGCTTGCAGTGAGCCGAGATCACGCCACTGGACTCCAGCCTGGGCAATAGAGCGAGACTCCGTCTCAAAAAAAAAAAAAGGGAACTAGGATTCCTGGTTTGGGAAAGGGCAGGTCTCAAGTGGTGTTTGAGCCCATTCCTCTCTCCTTGCCCTGCTCTGTCGCTCTAGGCCGAATCCCGCCGCCGCTCTTCCTCTGACACAGCTGCCTACCCAGCAGGCACCACTGCGGTGGGCACTCCTGGCAACGGCACCCCCTGCTCCCAGGACACAAGCTTCTCCAGCAGCCGACAAGATACCCCATCTTCCTTTGGCCAGTTCACACCTCAGTCCTCCCAAGGAACCCCCTACACGTCTCGGGGCAGCACCCCCTACTCTCAGGACTCTGCCTACTCCAGCAGGTACAGAGCAGACCCCGCCTGGGGCCCCGCCCGCAAAGTCTGGGAGCTGCCACTGGGAAGAAGATGCCCAGAGTCTGTCTCCAAGAGGGAGTTGGAAATAATTTGTCCTAGTTTCTCTGTGGATTCAGTCAACAAATTGCTGTCCTCGGGGAACACACTAGCTAGGAACCCAACATATAGCTCTTCTTTTGGAGGGCAGCATAGAGGGGCTTTGGGCCCTGGGACCCAGTACGCTGTGGTTTGGTCATAGAGAGCTGAGTCCAGCTAACTCCCCTGCTTCTTCTCCAGCACCACTTCAACCTCCTTCAAGCCCCGGCGGTCAGAGAACAGCTACCAAGATGCCTTTTCCCGCCGCCACTTCTCTGCATCTTCAGCCTCCACAACCGCCTCCACGGCCATCGCCGCCACCACTGCAGCCACTGCCTCATCCTCCGCCTCTTCCTCCTCATTGTCCTCGTCCTCCTCGTCATCCTCTTCCTCCTCGTCCTCTCAGTTTCGTAGTTCTGATGCAAACTACCCAGCGTATTATGAAAGCTGGAATCGCTACCAGCGCCATACTTCCTACCCACCACGCCGGGCCACACGGGAGGAACCCCCTGGAGCCCCTTTTGCTGAAAATACAGCTGAGCGCTTCCCACCTTCTTACACCTCCTACCTGCCCCCCGAGCCCAGCCGGCCCACCGACCAGGACTACCGGCCTCCTGCCTCAGAGGCTCCACCCCCGGAGCCTCCAGAACCTGGTGGAGGCGGGGGTGGAGGAGGGCCCAGCCCTGAGAGAGAAGAAGTTCGGACTTCCCCCCGCCCAGCCTCCCCTGCCCGCTCTGGCTCCCCAGCCCCGGAGACCACCAATGAGAGTGTGCCCTTCGCCCAGCACAGCAGCCTGGATTCCCGCATCGAGATGCTGCTGAAGGAGCAGCGCTCCAAGTTTTCCTTCTTGGCCTCTGACACAGAGGAGGAGGAAGAGAACAGCAGCATGGTCCTTGGGGCCAGAGATACAGGGAGTGAGGTGCCTTCTGGGTCAGGGCATGGGCCCTGCACACCCCCTCCGGCCCCAGCTAATTTTGAGGATGTGGCACCTACAGGGAGCGGGGAGCCAGGGGCTACCCGGGAGTCTCCCAAGGCAAATGGACAGAACCAGGTGAGGTTGGGGTCAGCCAGAGGAGGCACCTGGGCTCTGGGAGTCAGGGTTGGGCCTAGGGGAGAGGGAAGGGAACCAGATGAGAAAGTAGGGCTTGGGTCAGGCAGAAGCCTTCTGTGACCCTCTTCTGCCCCCGCAGGCTTCTCCATGCTCTTCTGGAGACGACATGGAGATCTCCGACGACGACCGGGGTGGCTCACCCCCTCCGGCCCCGACGCCCCCTCAGCAGCCTCCGCCACCTCCCCCTCCCCCGCCGCCTCCTCCTCCCTACCTGGCGTCCCTTCCTCTTGGTTATCCTCCCCACCAACCTGCCTACCTCCTCCCACCCAGACCTGATGGGCCGCCGCCCCCTGAGTACCCCCCACCTCCTCCACCACCCCCGCACATCTATGACTTTGTGAACTCCTTGGAGCTCATGGACCGACTTGGGGCTCAGTGGGGAGGGATGCCCATGTCCTTCCAGATGCAGACCCAGATGTTAACTCGGCTCCATCAGCTGCGGCAGGGCAAGGGATTGATTGCCGCCTCAGCTGGCCCCCCCGGTGGGGCCTTTGGGGAGGCCTTCCTCCCGTTTCCACCCCCGCAGGAGGCAGCCTACGGCTTGCCGTATGCTCTATATGCACAGGGGCAGGAGGGCAGAGGGGCATACTCACGGGAGGCCTACCACCTGCCCATGCCAATGGCAGCCGAGCCCCTGCCCTCCTCCTCAGTCTCGGGAGAGGAGGCCCGGCTGCCACCCAGGGAAGAAGCAGAGCTGGCAGAGGGCAAGACCCTCCCGACAGCAGGCACCGTGGGCCGTGTGCTCGCCATGCTGGTCCAGGAGATGAAGAGCATCATGCAGCGAGACCTCAACCGCAAGATGGTGGAGAACGTGGCCTTCGGAGCCTTTGACCAGTGGTGGGAGAGCAAGGAGGAGAAGGCCAAGGTGAGGCCAGCGCCTGGGACCGGGGAGCCCTGGGCTTTGCAGGAGGAAATGGGCCTCTGGCTCCTCCAGGCTGCACAGCTCAGAGGAGACAGGTGATGGAGGCGAGTGGAGAGAGGCCGCAGGCCCTGCAGGCCACCCTGGGTGGGCAGGGGAGTTGAGGGGACAGAGAAGCAGGCACAGATGGGCCTGGGAGGCAGCAGAGCTTTGTCCTGGCTCCATTCCTTGCTGGCTTGCAGTGGACAAGGCCCTTAGCTCTCTTCAAGCTTTGGTCTTCCATTTTGCCACTTGTGAAGTGGGAATGGTGGCTATTTCTTAAGACTGGTGGGCGAAATGACAGACTTTTGAGAAAATGCCGTGCGGGGGCTGGGACAGGTGTGACCAAGATATGGAGCAGCAAGTAGATGCGTTCTGTATTCCTGGGGTCCGGGAGTAGGTCTCAGGCAGGAGGGAATGCCTGGGTTCTGGGCGCTGGGGCTCAGCCCCACTGCTGCCTGCAGCCATTCCAGAACGCGGCCAAGCAGCAAGCCAAGGAGGAGGATAAAGAGAAGACGAAGCTGAAGGAGCCTGGCCTGCTGTCCCTCGTGGACTGGGCCAAGAGCGGGGGCACTACGGGCATCGAGGCTTTCGCCTTTGGGTCAGGGCTGAGAGGGGCCCTGCGGCTGCCTTCATTCAAGGTACTCAGAACTGTCGTTTTGTGGGGTAGGGTGGGGAGAGGGAGAGGGGGCCCCCTTCCTTGGGGTAGGGGTGGTCAGGAACCATGAGTGTTTGAGTTTTTTCTTTTTTTTGAGATGGAGTCTTACTCTGTTGCCCAGGCTGGAGTGCAGTGGCCTGATCTCAGCTCACTGCAACCTCCGCCTCCCGGGTTCAAGCGATTCTCCTGCCTCAGCCTCCCGAGTAGCTGGGGTTACAGGCACCCGCCACCACGCCTGGCTAATTTTTGTATTTTTAGTAGAGCTGGGGTTTCACTGTGTTGGCCAGGCTGGTCTTGAACTCCTAACCTCAGGTGATCTACCTGCCTTGGCCTCCCAAAGTGCTGGGATTACAGGAGTGAGCCACCGTGCTCTGCCTGAGTGTTTGAGCTCTAAACAGGCCCCATCTTTTCCCCATCCCCCAGGTAAAGCGGAAAGAGCCATCGGAAATTTCCGAGGCCAGTGAGGAAAAGAGGCCTCGTCCCTCCACTCCTGCTGAGGAAGATGAAGACGGTGAGCAGGGTCAGGCATAAGGAGAAGGGGTGTGCTGCGTGGGTTCTGATGGGAGAGCAAGAGGTAGGGATGAAGGGGTCAGGTCGTCCTGAGGGCACAGCCAGGTGGAGGTGCAGGGTTGAAATGCAGCAGTTCTGAGAGGTATGGGATGCACCAGGTAGAGTTATCCCCGGATTGTAGTTGCAGGTCTTCCTCTGGTCTGCTGATTTACATTTTCTGTATTTTGGGTTTTTCCATCCATGAAATTCAGTGTCTGGAATCACAGAATTCCGAGTTAAACGAGGCATCTCCCCAAGTTTCCCACCTGATGCTAATGCCCTCCTACCACCTTCCTCCTAGTTTGCCTGAGTTTGAGCCCTTGCTTGATAGCTACCATGGCCTGGAAACTTGCCCATTGAGTCAGATCTGCTTCCCTGGAGACCCACTGGCCTTCATACTCTTTTCTTGGGCCAGGCATAACAAGTCAGCTCCCTCTTCCACCCGACCAGAAAATGATACAAGATCAAATGGACAGGACATATTTAAAACTGTGTGGGCTGGGCGCAGTGG
Source organism: Homo sapiens (assembly GCF_000001405.40). Lineage (NCBI taxonomy): Eukaryota > Metazoa > Chordata > Mammalia > Primates > Hominidae > Homo > Homo sapiens. The sequence continues at coordinate 30,968,138 of NC_000016.10, forward strand.
CTCCTGACTGTAATCCCAGCACTTCCAGAGGCTGAGGCAGGAGGATCACCTGAGGTCAGAAGTTCAAGACCAGCCAGGCCAACATGGCACAACCCTGTCTCTACTAAAAATACAAAACAGCCAGGCATGGTGGTGTTCACCTGTAATCCCAGCTACTTGGGAGGCAGAGGCACGAGAATCACTTGAACCCAGGAGGTGGAGGTTACAGTGAGCCAAGATTATGCCACTGCACTTCAGCCTGGGTGATAGCACGAGACTGTGTCTCAAAAAAAAAAAAAATACATATATATATATATATGTACACACACATATGTATATACACACAAATATATACACACACACATATATATATACACACACATATGCGTATCTGTATATATTAAGGCCAGGCAGGGTGGAGCTCACCTGTAATCCCAGCACTTTGGGAGGCCGAGGCGGGTGGATCACAAGGTCAAGAGATCGAGACCATCCTGGCCAACATGGTGAAACCCCGTCTCTACTAACAATAGAAAAATTAGCCAGGCGTGGTGGCGGGTGCCTATAGTCCCAGCTACTTGGGAGACTGAGGCAGGAGAATTGCTTGAACCCGGGAGGCAGAGGCTGCTGTGAGCTGAGATTGTGCCACTGCACTCCAGCCTGGCGACAAAGCGAGACTCCGTCTCAAAAAAAAAAATATATATATATATGCCAGGCACGATGGCTCACGCCTATAATCCCAGCACTCCAGGAGGCTGAGGCAGGAGGATCACTTGAACCCAGGAGTTCAATACCAGCCTGAGCAACATAGGTAGACCCTGTCTCTACAAAAATTTTTAAAAATTAGCTGGGTATGATTGCATGCCCCTGTATAGTCCCAGTTACTCAGGAGACCGAGGCAGGAGGATCGCTTGAGCCCAGCAGGTTGAGGCTGCAGTGAGCTGTGGTCATGCCACTGCACCCCAGCCTGAGTGACAGAGCAAGACCCCGTCCCAAAAACAAAAACAAATACAAAACTATGAAACATGAGGTAACTGAGGTGTTTGAGTTCCTCTGGTGAGCTTCCAAATTCTCATCTGTGAAATGAAGACCATCAGGAAGATTGGTAATAGTATATGTAAAGCCCCTTGCACAGGGCAAGTATCTTGTGGTTGATGGTAAATTTCCCCAACTACCACTCTGCTGGCCTAGACCCTGAACAAGAGAAGGAGGCTGGAGAGCCAGGACGTCCGGGGACCAAGCCCCCGAAGCGGGACGAAGAGCGAGGCAAGACCCAGGGCAAGCACCGCAAGTCCTTTGCTCTGGACAGCGAAGGGGAGGAGGCATCCCAGGAGTCCTCCTCGGAGAAGGTGAGGGCCCGGGCGCCGGCTCCTGGCCGAAGCCTACTTCCCATAGCCAGCATCTTTGTGGTTGGAGCCCAGGCAGCTGTGCCTGGTGTAGGACCAGTTGTCCCCTTCCTGTTAGTCCTCATTTGTCTTTTTTCTTAAGGATGAGGAGGATGACGAGGAAGATGAGGAAGATGAAGATCGAGAGGAAGCTGTGGATACCACAAAGAAGGAGACAGAGGTGTCGGATGGTGAGCACAAGACAGTGAAATCGACTTTGGGCTCGGAGGAGGGGTTCGGCTGCCTGGCTAGCCCTTTTCTGAGCCCACATGACCTTCCTGCTGGGCTTGTGGGTCACCTTTGCCTTCTGCAAGGGCATCTGTTTGGGCCACATTCTTAGGAACCCTTGGCCCCTTGACAGCAATAAGCTCAGTGCTCAAAATGCTCCCTCCTGCTCCCTCTTCTGCTGAGACATAGCTGTCCAAAAGGACAGCCTGGCAGAACGCTTTTTTTGTTTTGTTTTTTGTTGTTGTTGTTGTTGTTGTTTTGAGAGAGTTTCGCTCTTGTCGCCCAGGCTGGAGTGCAATGGCGCAATCTCGGCTCACTGCAACCTCCGCCTCCTGAGTTCAAGAGATTCTCCTGCCTCAGCCTCCGTTGTAGCTGGGATTACAGGCACCCACCACCACCCCCAGCTAATTTTTTGTATTTTTAGTAGAGACAGGGTTTCACTATGTTGGCCAGACTGGTCTTGAACTCCTGAGCTCAGGCGATCCACCCACCTCAGCCTCTGGAAGTGCTGGGATTACAGGCGTGAGCCACCACACCCAGATTTTTTTTTTTTTTTTTTGAGACAGAGTCTCGCTTTGTCACCCAGGCTGGAGTGCAGTGATGTGATCTTGGCTCACTGCAACCTCCGCCTCCCTGGTTCCAGCGATTTTCCTGCCTCAGCCTCCCAAAGCGCTGGGATTACAGGTGTGAGCCACCACACCTGGCTAATTTTTGTATTTTTAGCAGAGATGGGGTTTTACCATGTTGGCCAGGCTGGTCCCAAACTCATGACCTCAAGTGATCCACCCACCTCGGCCTCCCAAAGTGCTAGGCTTTCACCTGTGAGCCACTGCACGCAGCCTCTTGCAGCAGTCTTGACTGATTTCCCTGTCTCTCTTTCTGTCCTTCTCCCTCTGTTCCAGTCCATTTTCCAAACTGCTTATAGAATCTCTTTCCTAAAATGCACTCCTGACCCTGTGACTTCCCTCCATAAGGTCCTTCCTGGCAACTTGTTCTCCACAGGGTGTCCCCCCAGGCCAACACCATGGGCCGTTTATCTCCTGGCCCTGCTCTGTTCAGCTCCATCTCGCCCTCCTCCAGTCCGCTCCCCAGCTGCCACCACCTTCTAGTCTAACTTATCCAATTCTGTTCCTCAAAAACTGTGAAATTCTTCAGTTTTTTCGAGTCCTTCCCGTACATGAGCAGTCTCAGAATATAGAGCCTGTCGTGTTTTTTAACCTTTTCAGCCCAGAATCCTTTTTCACCCAATCCTTCGTCCAGACTGGGTCCTGAGACCCACTTTAGGAAGGTTTGAGTGCCAGAGCAGCCTGCTTCCCAGTCTCCAAGCCTCCACTTCCTCTTGCTTCCGACATCCCTGTGCAGTCCCCATGTCTGTGTGGTGGACTCCTTGTCCTTGAGTTCAGCTTGTCCCCTGGGATGCTTTCCTTTTCGGGCCTCTTCAGACAGAGTCTGGGGCTTCCTTTGCCATCCTCCCCGCATGCTGATGTTTATCTCACAGTGAAAATGGTTTGCTTATGCAGCTCCTTGGTCTGTTGGACTTCCCCGTCCCTAGCCCAGAGCCCAGCATCCACAGCAGGGAGTGAGTGAGGAGCCCACGGCTGGCCAAGTGAGGTCTGCCCACCTCTCCTGACTGCCCCTTCTGGATTTCCAGGCGAGGACGAGGAAAGCGATTCGTCTTCCAAATGTTCTCTGTATGCTGACTCAGATGGCGAAAATGACAGCACATCAGACTCCGAGAGCAGCAGCTCTTCCAGCTCCTCATCCTCCTCCTCCTCCTCGTCCTCATCCTCCTCGTCCTCTTCATCCTCTGAGTCCTCCTCTGAAGATGAAGAGGAAGAGGAGCGGCCAGCAGCCCTTCCCTCAGCCTCCCCGCCCCCCAGAGAAGTCCCAGTGCCCACGCCAGCACCTGTGGAGGTGCCAGTGCCGGAAAGGGTTGCAGGCTCCCCAGTCACACCCCTGCCCGAACAGGAGGCGTCTCCAGCAAGGCCTGCAGGTAGGTGCCACAGGGCTGTCGGTTAGATCGCTGTGTGTGTGAGAGAGAGAGAGAAAACAGTGGTGCTTGCATTTATTGTGTACAAGTGTGTGACTTTATTAGAAAAACATACAAAGAAAATGTCACCATCTCCTGTCACTACCTTCTAGAGACATTGATTGTCTGACACACTTCAAACTGTACCGTCATGGTGGTTTACAGAACCCCAGGCTAAGCTGCATACTAAAGTAAAATGGGTTGGTCTCTTCTCAAGTAAATTAAGGAGAAAGTGCCCAGTTGAATAAGTTCTTCCTCCTAATTTTTCTTAAGCCTGTTCTTCAGTGAGTAGTGAACAAGTGCAGGTTATTAAATGGGCAAATAGGTAGAAAACAAGTATTAACATAACACAGAACTTGGTCCTAGCTGCTTTTCTTTGTTCATTTGTACGTCTAGTTGTTATACTCTAGCACATTCGCATAGCTTAGCCTGCTGAGGGAACCGCTCTTTCAAGCAGTAGATATTTTTTTGAGTGCTCATCGCAGCCAAACAGTAGGTGCAGGGGATGGGTTGCTGAGCCTCACAGGCAGTGTTCTCACTCTCATCATGCTTACAGTCTACAGGGAAAGACATCTTCATTGAGTAAGAAATACATAGGAGGCCGGGCGCGGTGGCTTACGCCTGTAATCCCAGCACTTTGGGAGGCCAAGGCGGGTGGATCATGAGGTCAGGAGATCGAGACCATCCTGGCTAACATGGTTGAAACCCCATCTCTACTAAAAAATACAAAAAATTAGCCAGGTATGGTGACAGGCACCTGTAGTGCCAGCTACTCAGGAGGCTGAGGCAGGAGAATGGCGTGAACCCAGGAGGCAGAGGCTTGCAGTGAGCCGAGATCGCACCACTACACTCCAGCCTGGGCGACAGAGCGAGACTCTGTCTCAAAAAAAAAAAAAAAGACCAGCCTGGGCAACATGATGAAACCCTGTCTCTACAAAAATTACAAAAACTAGCTAGGCGTGGTGGCGCACACCTGTGATCCCAGCTGCTCGGGAGGCTGAGGTGGGAGGATCACTTGAGCCCAGGAGGCAGAGGTTGTAGTGAGCCAAGATCACACCACTGCACTCCAGCCTGGGTGGCAGAGCGAGACCCTGTCTCAAAAAAAAAAAAAGAGAGAATACCTAGGAAAACCTGTGGTTACGAACCATGAGAAGCACCAGGAAGAGGCACAGGGCAGCCAGCCGGAGCACATCTGCAGGAGGAGGAAGGCTTCCTGCTGAGGTACTGCTGGGCTGAAGTCTGGGCAAAGCAGGCAGCACGGCTGGCTTAGCGTGTGCAAAGGCCCTCCAGCAGGGGAAGCAGCGGGTTGGAAGACTGGAAGAAAGCCGACCCTTCAGAGGGTTGAGCACAAGGGGGCACTGGGGTGGCTGAAACTGGAGAAGTGAGTGAGAGTTGGGCCCAGCAGACAAATAGGCCAGCCATGTCAGGAATTTGGCCTTTATTTTGAAGTAGAAACCCATCAGAGGAATGACATGGTCAGATGTATGTTTCGAAAAAATGCAGTGCAGAGAAAGCTTGGAAAGGGGCCACAGTGGATGTAGGGCGCTTCTTAAGTGGCTATTGTAGAATGTAAGGCGAATTATGGTGATAGCTTGGACTTAGGGTGTTGCAAGGATAGATCAAATAAGTCAGTGTTCAAGATGTGCTATGAGCTTTAGGAGGCCGAGGCGGGCAGATCACTTGAGGTCAGGAGTTCGAGACCGGCCTGATCAACATGGCGAAACCCCATCTCTACCAGAAAATACAAAAATTAGCCAGATGTGGTGTTGTGTACCTGTAGTCCCAGCTACTTGGGAGATCGAGGCACGAGAATCGCTTGAACCCGGGAGGTGGATGTTGCAGTGAGCAGAGATCATGCCACTGCATTCCAGCCTGGGCAACAGAGTGAGACTCCATCTCAAAAATCAGATGTGCTGTGAAGATGTGCATGGCCTCCCGGGGTCTCCCAGTTGCACGTTGTTGAGAATCCGTGGTCTGAGATAGGCAGTGCCCACAGGAAGACCTCCTCACCCTGGTGCACTCTACTAAGCTCCAGACCCCATGAGAGGGGAGTTGAGGCGCTCATTACACCTCAGATGACTCTCCAACCTCTTCTGGGCCCATTGGGTAGCAGAAGGGCCTGTGGGGTCACCGGCAGGTCAGAAGGCATGGATCTTAGTCCTCTTCCATTCTCATCAGAGCAGGAAGGAGAGGGGCCTGACCATATCTGCATTTCAGAAAGCCCATTCTAGCAGGAGGAGGAGAGATTTGGAAGAGAGGAGCAAGGAGGTGGGTGACATGAGGAGGTTTGAAAGGATGCAGGTGAGATTTAATGGCATGAACCAAAGCCGAGCGGTTCTAATGTGGCAGAAGAGTGGAGTGGAAATGGGGGTGAGGATTGGAGGGAAATTTAGGAGGTAGGATGATTTGGTTAAACTTCCCCAGGAAAAGAAACTTGGGAAGAAAACCAGGATTAGGAAGAAAACTGATGAGTGTAGTTGAGGTTGCATTTGAGGTGCCCCTTGGGCTTCCCAGTAGAAACAGTGGCAGTTGGATCCATGGATCTGGGGTCTGGAAAGAACGGTAGGCTGGATATGAGGTCGGTGCTTAGGTCTTGAAAGTGTAGCAGTGAATTCACCTATAGACCCAGGTAGGCGAGTGGGGGGAGAGAAAGGGCAGAGCCTTCCCATCCTGTGAGAGCAGTGGGCAAGCAGGGCCCGAGGAGGCTGAGAGCGGTGACCAGAGGCGAGAAGGGAAGCAGGTAGTGGAGAGGCTCTGCAAAGCAGGGAGTGGCCTTGTATCACCAGGCCACCAGCAAGGCTGAGATAGGAAGTATCTGTTGCATTTGACAGTTAGGAGGTCATTGGTGACCTTATCAATTTCAGTTGAGTGGTTCAGACTGAAGCCAAGTTACAGGGTGTTAAGGAATGAGGGGAGGGCAGTTTTCTGGAAGGGTGGACCACTCTTGCTGAGATAGAAAGGAGAGTTGGGGCCGGGCGCAGTGGCTCACACCTGTAATCCCAGCACTTTGGGAGGCTGAGGTGGGCAGATCACTTGACGTCAGGAGTTCGAGACCAGTCTAGCCAACATGGTGAAACCCCATCTTAACTAAAAATACAAAAATTAGGCTGGGTGCGGTGGCTCACGCCTGTAATCCCAGCACTTGGGAGGGCTGAGGCGGGCAGATCACGAGGTCAAGAGATCAAGACCATCCTGGCCAGCACCAACATGGTGAAACCCCATCTCTACTAAAAATACAAAAACTAGCTGGGCATAGTGGCACATGCCTGTAATCCCAGCTACTCGGGAGGCTGAGGCAGGAGTAATCGCTTGAACCGGGGAAGCAGAAGTAGCCATGAGCCGAGATCGTGCCACTGCACTCCAGCCTGGTGACAGAGCGAGACTGTCTCCAAAAAAAAAAAAAAATTAGCCATGCATGCTGGCAGGCGCCTGTAATCCCAGCTGCTCAGGAGCCTGAGGCAGGAGAATCACCTGAACCTGGGAGGTGGAGGTTGCGGTGAGCCGAAATTGTACCACTGCACTCCAGCCTGGGCGACAGAGCGAGACTTCGTCTCAAAAAAAAGAATTGGGGGTTGTGATATCAGCTCCCATGTGTCAAGTACCTATGTGTGCCAGGCTCTAGGCATAGCATGTTGACAATTCATTTTCTCATTGAATCCCCACAACCTCTCCCTTTTTTTTTTTTTTTTTTTTGAGATGGAGTCTCATTGTGTTACCCAGCCGGGAGTGCAGTGGTGCAATCTCGGCTCACTGCAACCTCCGCTTCCCGGGTTCATGTGATTCTCCTGCCTCAGCTTCCCAAGCAGCTGGGATTACAGGTGCACACTGCCACGCCTGGCTAATTTTCGTATTTTTAGTTGAGACAGGGTCTCACCATGTTGCCCAGGCTGGTCTCAAACCCCTGACCTCAAGTTATCAGCCCACTTTGGCCTCCCAAAGTACTGGGATTACAGGTGTGAGCCACTGCGCTTGCCCCACAACCTCCCTGTGATTCCCATTTTATAGATGAGGGCTTCAAGGCTTAGTGAGATGCAGGAACAAACTAAGGTTACCAGCCAGAGCTGGAGGGAGAGCAAGAAGAGAGGGCAGGGTTGAGGGAGGGGTTAGCTTTTCCAAGTAGATGAGGTTTGGGCATGTTCCACTGAAGGGAACGGGCCAGGTAGATGTGCCGGGAGAGAGGAATGCTTGCTGGCATGGCCTTTTTGGGGAGGTGGAGGAGTAGCTTCCAGATCTGATGCAGTTATACCCTTCGGTGGGGAGGCAGGGAGATGGGGGTGTTGTGCCTGAGTCCTCTTTTGACCCTGTTGCTGTAGGACTGTGAGAGGAAGAGTGGAGTAAGAACCTTGGAAAGTGGAGAAAAGTTGCTCCAGTCCAGGCGCGGTGGCTCACACATGTAATCCCAGCACTTTGGGAGGCCGAGGCAGGAGGATCTCTTGAGCCCAGAAGTTCGAGACCAGTCTGGCTAACAACAACAACAAAAAAAGCCAGGCATAGTGGCACATGCCTGTGGTCCCAGCTTCTGGGGAGGCTGAGTCGGGAGGATTGCTTGAGCCTAGGAGGTTGAGGAGGCTGCAGTAAACAGTGATTGTGCCGCTGCACTGTATCCTGGAGACAGAGCAAGCCTCTCGCCTGGGCCTCCCCATGCTGGAAGGCCTTGCCAGAGCTGGGGCCTGGGAGTGAGGGGAGAAGAGGCTGCTGGCTGGCTCCACAGGGTAAAGGTGTGGTGGAATGATGAGGACCTGGGGCTGTGCTGGGACAGGAGAGGGCAAAGTACGGGCCCTGGGGTCTGGGCAGGGTGGAGGAGGAAGTTGGGAAGAGGGTGATGTGCTAGAGGGAAACTGAAGGATGGGAAGTTGAAGGTGCAGTGGGGCAGACTGAATGGACAGTGGGGAATGTTGGAGAGGATGGGGAATCTCCAAGGCGGAGCCATTCTGGGATTGACAAGGCCAGGTGTGTGGCTGCTTGAGGGGAGCTGAGGGTGATTGAAGGGGATCACTGGAGATGCAAGAATCCAGGTAAACAGGCGTGATTGCCAAGTCCCCTGGGGAGGTGGCAGAGGTGGAAGAGGAGAGGAAGATGCAGGCAGCCCCTTGGTGTCTGGATAGTGAGAGGGCACGACAAGGGAGTCTGAGTTACCGAGGACAGAGGAGCCGTGGCTCAGAGCAAGGGGTGCTTAGTGAAGGCTCACTGTGTTTCTTCTCTTTTTTTTTTGAGATGGAGTCTCGCTTTGTCACCAGGCTGGAATGCAGTGGTGCCATCTCGACTTACTGCATCCTCAGCCTCCCAGGTTCAAGTGATTCTCCTGCCTCAGCCTCCCGAGTAGGTGGGACTAAGGCACGCGCCATCACGCCCGCTAATTTTTGTATTTTTAGTAGAGACGGGATTTCACCATGTTGGTCAGGATGGTCTCGATCTCTTGACCTCATGGTCCACCCGCCTCGGCCTCCCAAAGTGCTGGGATTACAGGCGTGAGCCCCCTCGCCCGGCCAGCTCACCGAGTTTCTAATAACCAGAACCAGTTTCAGTCACCACCGTCTTAGTGATTGCCGCCTGGGGATGTTAGTGATGGCCCTGGGGAGGGGCAGGTTATGCAGTAGGAACTGGCTTCTGGGGCCTCGCCCCATGGACCTGAGCGTGGCAGTAGAGCAGTTCTCAGAGGAAGGTGGTGGGAGTCATATTGACTGGGCAGGTGCCCCCAAAAGTTGTCTCCTAAATGAGAGGGATGGGCAGGTTCCCTTTGGGACAGTCGCAGAGGGAAGTGTGTGTGCAGCAGCTGTGCTGGTGGAGGAGTGTGTTCTTCGAGCGAGGCTTCCCGAGGACATGCATGCTGAAGCGTGAGGTGGTCTGTAGGGGGCGCTGCCCCAGCGTGGTGGGGAGGAAGGTGAGAGGAGGCCTGCATGCATCTGGGTCCTCACTGGCTTCCTGGAGTGGGTTGCTGCCACAGGCTGAGACCCCAGCGGGTGTCTAGAGCCTAAGGTGCAGCCAAGAGCCTGGCTCAGGGCGCCAGGGTTGGGAGTGCGGTGGACTCAGGTGAATCGCTGCCTCCTAGGGCCGGGCCTGGTGCCGGCGGCCCTGTTGGCGCTGAGCGGGGAAGCCAGTTGTGAAGCCAGTGAGTCCGTGGGCTGCAGTTCAGAGCATGAGCTCAACCCACATGGCCTGGGAGCAGAGCTTGTTCTGTCATCTGGTAACTGACCACATCTCTGTGCCTCAGTTTTCCTGTCTGTAAGATAGGACCCTCTGCTGGGTACAGTGGCTCACGCCTGTAACCCCAGCACTTTGGGAGGCCGAGGCGGGCAGATCACGAGGTCAAGAGATCGAGACCATCCTGGCCAACATGGTGAAACCCTGCTTCTACTAAAAATACAAAACTTAGCTGGGTGTGGTGGTGCATGCCTGTAGTCCCAGCTACTCGGGAGGCTGAGGCAGGAGAATCGCTTGAACCCGGGAGGCGGAGGTTGCAGTAAGCCGAGATTGCGCCACTGCACTCCCACCTGGCGACAGGGCGAGACCCCATCTCAAAAAAAAAAAAAAAAAAAGATAGGAACCTCTTTGGGCTGTTGTGAGGATTACATGAGTTACTCTACGTAAGAGGTGTGATTGGTGTTAGGCACAAAATCCATTGGGCTGGCTCTGAGAGCCTCATGCAGGCTTTCCCAGGGATGGCGGCCAAGGGAGGATGCACTCCCCGTCCTGAGGGTACGCTGGGGAGGCAGCACCCCCAGCTCGGAGCCAGTGTGTTCCCTCCCCAGCCACCCGCATCCTGGGATCTCCACTCCAGCCCTGCTTCTCTAGCAGCGCTGTCTCCTGCCCCTCCCTGCAGGGCATGTTCAAATTCTGTAGGGGATGGGGAGGAAGGCAAGTTTCATAAAATATTTTAATACAAAGATGCCACTTTTTAGGTTGTATCGTGTTCACCTTGCTAAACTGAGAATATTGTTTATGATGGAGATAATGGATATTTTAGCTGAAATGTGGCTGACTGGGTCCTTGGCATGTGACATGGCTGGGGCCTGGGCACAGGGCTGTCCCGCCAGTCTGGGTAGGAAAGTGGAGTCCAGGGCGAGTGGTGCCGCCCTTCTCAGCGTGGTTACAGCTTGTTGTGATGGTGTCTCCTGTTGGACTGTGGCTCCGGGAGGACATGGAAGGTGTGTGTGTGGACTCCGAGTGTCCCACACACGTGTCACAGCGGGAACGAATGGGTGGGAAACCCCCTCTCATCAAGGGAGTTCATCTTGCTGGGATGTGGGGCTGAGGCCAGGGCGTCTGTGTTCCCTCCGGGGTTCCTGGGCGGAAGTGGGGGAGAGCACACAGCCTGTGGTCATGGGCGGCCAGGGTGGCTGAGCCTGGGTCTCCCTGACCTCCTTTCCTTCCTATGTGCTTCCTTCCCAGGCCCCACGGAGGAGTCACCCCCCAGTGCGCCTCTGCGTCCCCCAGAACCACCTGCTGGGCCCCCGGCCCCTGCCCCACGCCCCGATGAGCGTCCCTCTTCTCCCATCCCCCTCCTGCCCCCACCCAAGAAACGCCGGAAAACTGTCTCCTTCTCTGCCATCGAGGTGGTGCCAGCCCCGGAGCCCCCTCCAGCCACACCGCCGCAGGCCAAGTTTCCCGGCCCAGCCTCCCGCAAGGCTCCCCGGGGCGTGGAGCGGACCATCCGCAACCTGCCCCTGGACCACGCATCTCTGGTCAAGAGTTGGCCCGAGGAGGTGTCCCGAGGAGGCCGGAGCCGGGCTGGAGGCCGAGGCCGCCTCACCGAGGAAGAGGAGGCTGAGCCAGGGACAGAGGTGGACCTGGCGGTCCTGGCCGACCTGGCCCTGACCCCTGCCCGGCGCGGGCTGCCTGCCCTGCCTGCTGTTGAAGACTCAGAGGCCACAGAGACATCGGACGAGGCCGAGCGCCCTAGGCCCCTGCTCAGCCACATCCTCCTGGAGCACAACTATGCCCTGGCCGTCAAGCCCACGCCCCCTGCGCCAGCCCTGCGGCCCCCGGAGCCAGTGCCCGCACCCGCCGCCCTCTTCAGTTCCCCAGCTGATGAGGTCCTGGAGGCCCCCGAGGTGGTGGTGGCTGAGGCGGAGGAGCCCAAGCCGCAGCAACTGCAGCAGCAGCGGGAGGAGGGCGAAGAGGAGGGGGAGGAAGAGGGGGAGGAAGAGGAGGAGGAGTCCTCTGACAGCAGCAGCAGCAGCGATGGGGAGGGCGCCCTCCGGAGGCGCAGCCTCCGCTCCCACGCCCGGCGCCGCCGCCCTCCGCCCCCACCCCCGCCGCCACCGCCCCGCGCCTACGAGCCACGCAGTGAGTTTGAACAGATGACCATCCTGTATGACATTTGGAACTCGGGCCTGGACTCAGAGGACATGAGTTACCTGCGGCTTACGTACGAGCGGCTGCTGCAGCAGACAAGCGGGGCTGACTGGCTCAACGACACTCACTGGGTCCATCACACAAATATCCTGAGTGTGGGCGGCCTTCCCCGGGCTTGGGTCCTCCCCCGACCCCTCCAGGCACCTGCATCTGTGCCCCACTCTGTCTGCCTCCCCTCTGGCTCCAAGCCATCTTTTCTCTCCTCCTGGTGCCTCTTTTCTGCCTTCCAAAGCATTTCTGGCAGGAACGATGGGGCTGGGGCTTCCTCCCCTGTCCCTCACCTGGGTATGCTCAGCGGCGTGGGCCCCGCCCTCTCCTTTGGCTGGGACGCAGGTGGCCAGAGAGGAGCCGTTCTCTTCCTTAACACCCTGCACTCACCAACCTGACCACCCCAAAACGCAAGCGGCGGCCCCAGGATGGGCCCCGGGAGCACCAGACAGGCTCAGCCCGCAGCGAAGGCTACTACCCCATCAGCAAGAAGGAGAAGGACAAGTACCTGGACGTGTGCCCAGTCTCGGCCCGGCAGCTGGAGGGCGTGGACACTCAGGTGGGCCTAACCCCGCCGCCGCGTCCTCCTGCCACTCACTTCCCTGCCCTGCTCACCTCCTCCCTGCCGTGTGTCTCACAGGGGACGAACCGCGTGCTGTCCGAGCGCCGGTCCGAGCAGCGGCGGCTGCTGAGCGCCATCGGTACCTCCGCCATCATGGACAGTGACCTGCTGAAACTCAACCAGCTCAAGGTGAGGCTGGGCTGCAGGAGGGGCTGGGTGGGGTGGGGTGGGGCAGGAAGGGGCAGAGGCCAGGGGACCACCCAGCAGGCTCCTGTGGTTCCCTCGGGTGGAGTTGGGGGGTAAGCAGCCAGAACACCCTCTGCCCAGGAAGTCTGTGGGAAGAGTGAGGGTCTGGGGTGTGGGAGGTGTCTGGCAGTTGAGTCTCCCTTCTGCCCCCCAGTTCCGGAAGAAGAAGCTCCGATTTGGCCGGAGCCGGATCCACGAGTGGGGTCTGTTTGCCATGGAACCCATTGCTGCTGACGAGATGGTCATCGAATACGTGGGTCAGAACATCCGTCAGGTGAGGCTGCACTCCCAGCCCCGCCCCGGCTTCTGATGCAACAAGACAGCATGGGGGCTCACACACATGCTGTTTGTCCGGTTAAAGCCTTGCACACTCCCTAACCCCGGTACCTAGCCAGTGAGACCAGCCTCCCTCCGGTGTGGTCAGCAGGTGTCAGTGGTCCAGCAGGAGGCATGGCTGATGGCACTGCTCCCTTTCTTTTTTTGTTTTGAGACATAGTCTCTCTCTGTTGCCAGGCTGTAGTGCAGTGGTGCGATCTTGGCACACTGCAACCTCTGCCTCCTGGGTTCAAGCGATTCTCCTGCCTCAGCCTCCCGAGTAGCTGGGACTACAGGCGTGTGCCACCATGCCCAGCTAATTTTTGTATTTTTAGTAGAAATGGGGTTTCACCATGTTGGCCAGGATGGTCTTGATCTCCTGATCTTGTGTTCTGCCTGCCTTGGCCACTCACAAGTGCTGGGATTAACAGGCGTGAGCCATCGCATCCAGCCAAGCGCTGCTCCCTTTCAAAGGGCCTGGGAAGCGGGAGGACAGGCACTGAACAAGTATCCACACAGAAGGATGGTGTTCCAGCCTGAGCAATATTGCCAGACCCCGTTTCTGCAAAAAATACAAAAGCTAGCCGGGCGTGGGGGTACATGGCTGTGGTCCCAGCTACCCAGGAGGCTGAGGTGGGAGGATCACTCGAGACCACGAGGTGGAGGCTGCTGTGAGCCAAGATTGCACCACTGCACTCCAGCCTGGGCAACAGGGTGAGACCGTGTCTCTAGAAAAAACAAAAGCCAAAAGGATGGCATTTGGTATTAACAAGATCTTAACAAGATCTGGGGAGTTGGGCTATGGGAACACACACCTGGGGGGCCTAAGACCTTCCAGAGACCATGGTGCTTGAGTAAAGCTGAAAGGAGCTCGCAGGCCCAGACAAGTGGTAGTGTGTGTGCGCTTGGTTGCGAGACACCATGTGCACAAACCTGGAGGCACGGTCGTCTTGTGAGAGTGTGGAGGTCAGCTTGGCTCATTAGAAACCAGGGCCATGGCCAGGCGCGGTGGCTCATGCCTGTAATCCGAGCACTTTGGGAGGCTGAGGCAGGCAGATCACCTGAGGTCAGGAGTTCGAGACCAGCCTGGCCAGCATGCTAAAACCCCGTCTCTACTAAAAATACAAAAATTAGCCAGGCGTGGTGGCAGGCGCCTGTAATCCCAGCTACTAGGGAGGCTGAGGCAGGAGAATCGCTTGGACCTGGGAGGCAGAGGTTGCAGTGAGCCAAGATCGCGCCATTGCACTCCAGCCTGGGCGACAGAGCAAGACTCCGTCTCAAAAAAAAAAAAAAGAAAAGAAAAAACAGGGTCAGTGGCAGCGACGTGTGGCTGGAGGGAACAGAGAGCCCAGACCGCACGGGCTTGGGAGCCTGTGAATCCACTTGGGCCTGTGGTGAGAGAGGAGGAAAGTCCCGGAGCTTTCTTCAGGAGAGGGTCCTTCCGCAGGAGAGGGTCCTTCCGCAGGAGAGGGCCCCATGGCTAGTGAGCTCCATGTCTAGGCTGACACCAGTATCCAGGCAAAGGCAAGGGTGGCCCGACCCAAGCAGTGGCAGCAGAGGTGACAGAGAGGAGGCTTTGGGTGCAAGGTGGTTGGCTGGGCTCAGCAGTGAGAGGGTGAGGGGGACGGGAGGCCCTCTCTCGGTGCTGCTCTTAGCTGCTGGGAGTATGATGGGAGGGCCAGTGAGATGGGTGTGAGGAGGAAGAACAAATATATGGTCAAGATGAGCTCCAGTCTGGACATGTGGGGTTGCAATGCCCCAGGGACATCTAGGGGATGACGCCCAGCAGCTCCACTGAGGTGGCTTTTGGCTGGAAATGGAAGTTTGGGAGGAGTCCCCACCACATAGCTGGCGGCTGAGGCTCTGGAAGGGAGTGAGGTCACCCGAGGAGGGCGTGCAGAGGCTCCTCACTGTCTTCTGGGAAGTAAGGGTTGCTCCTCACACGGAGGTGCGGGGCCTGACATGGGCGGCCTGCCATTTGCATTAGCCGGTGGCAGCCAACAGGTGCCTGTTTTGGAGAGAGGTCCAGGGAGGAGAGATGAGCAGGGTGCCGTTGGTGACATGGCCAGTCATTTCAGGAGCTGCCCCAACCCCAGACTTGCCCCAGCAGTCCGGGACCCCACTGTGACCAGGCAGATGCTCGAAGGAGTCAGTGGCTCTCTTACCCAGTGCAGATTTCCCTGGAGTTCCCTGCGGGTGACTTAGAATGGCCACCAGAGGCTTAGGATGCTGCCCCAAAGAGGGAGGGCTCCTGGAAGCAGAGTCGAGAGAGTCAGTGCCGGGTTAGCGGGAGCTGGAGGCAGAGCTGCAGCTCCAGGCCTGGTGGGCGTGGACCTGGGGTGCTGGCTGGCAGGCGTGCTCAGGGGCAGGAAGTGGGGGACTCTTCCCTGACCATCGCATCTCACCCTGGCAGATGGTGGCCGACATGCGGGAGAAGCGCTACGTGCAGGAGGGCATTGGCAGCAGCTACCTGTTCCGGGTGGACCACGACACCATCATCGATGCCACCAAGTGTGGCAACCTGGCCAGATTCATCAACCACTGCTGCACGGTGCGCCAGGGGCCAGCCGGGGCAGGAGTTGGGGGTCGGTGGGGGTGGCCACGGCTCACACGCCCTTCCATCCGCAGCCTAACTGCTACGCCAAGGTCATCACCATCGAGTCCCAGAAGAAGATCGTGATCTACTCCAAGCAGCCCATTGGCGTGGACGAGGAGATCACCTACGACTACAAGTTCCCACTGGAAGACAACAAGATCCCGTGTCTGTGTGGCACAGAGAGCTGCCGGGGCTCCCTAAACTGAGGTGGGGCAGGATGGGTGCCCACACCCCTATTTATTCCCCCTGGTGCCCTGAGCTCCCAGCACCCCCCCAGCCTTAGTGGGCTCAGCAGGGCCCACATGCCCCCATCTCCAAGCGTGGGGTTGGGGGCCCCAAGCCCAGCGAGGGAGCCTCAGTCCCTGGAGGCAGCTTCTGCCTCTCCTGTCACCCCTGCCCACCACCCCCTGATTGTTTTTCTTTGCGGAGAAGAAGCTGTAAATGTTTTGTAGCAGCCAGCAGCTGTTTCCTGTGGAAACCTGGGGTGCCGGCCTGTACAGATTCTGTCCTGGGGGGCTACACAGTCCTCTTGCTTTGTGTTAATGGGGACTTCCCCTTACGCCCTGCGTGTACCCCTCCCCAGTTTAGGGGTCTCTGGGGCAGTGGCCATGTTCTCCCCCTGGGGGGGCTCTGCACCCCCAGTCCTGGGGACTCCGTGCCTGGAACCCTGCCTCATCTGTTCCTGCCAGACCCTGAGGGTCACCCTTCCACCCTGGTGTCACTCCCCGGCTCAGCCAGGCCAGGATGGCGGGGTGGGTCCCTTTTGCTGGGCTGGACTGTACATATGTTAATAGCGCAAACCCGACGCCACATTTTTATAATTGTGATTAAACTTTATTGTACAAAAGTGTTTGGTCGGTGTATTTGGGCAGGAGCGAGGGGTTGGGGGTAGAGGGCACGGAGGGTTGTGCAAGTTGAAGAGAGGGAAAAGTGGGTACCTGAAGTGTGGGGCAGGTAAAGGGGCCTTCAGGCAAGAGCCCAGACCTGCAGAGACAGTCCGAGACTGTCTCGGACCCCCTGACAGGCTGCAGCAGCCGCACCCGCACCAGGAATACCCCACCAGTGCCCGCCAGGGTGGTGCCAAGGTCAGGCCTCCCCTTCCTACAATCACAGCTGCAGCTGGACCTCCGGCCTCCTGGGAAGCCCAGCAGGAGGGAAGGCCTGAGGTCACACTGTGGGATGAGGTCACCGCTGGCTCCACCCACAGCCCCAGACCCCTTCAGCCCACTCTGCAAGTTCGAGCTTCATCCCCACCAAGTTCTCCGCTGGACCCAGATGCCAGTGGAGCACAGAGCGGCCGCCAGGGGGCGCCTTGGGGCAAGAGTGGTGGGGGTTGTGGCTGGGCGGGTCTCTGTTCCTGGAATGGGGCAGGAGGGAGAAGGAGGAGCCAGCGGAAGGACGGTGTGCGGGCCGGCCAGCCCTGGACGAAAGAAGAGGGCCCCTCCAGGCCAGTCTGGGCACCCTGGGATAGCGGCTGCAGGTAGGCAGAGGCGCTGCCAGTGCCCAGGTGGCCTTTCCCTCCATCCGGCCCTTCCCACCTTCCTATAACCTTCCCTCCACCTCCCTCAACTCCTGGCCTCCCCACCCTTTTACTGCCTTCAAATCTCTCTCCCTAAACCCTGACCCCTTCCTGCACCCCAAGCCCGCCCCTCTCTCCGTAACTCAGCCATCAGCAGGGGCAGACGGCAGGTGGCCTGGTTGCTGCAGCTCCCAGGATCAGCTCTGCCCTCCCCGCAAACGCCAGCCTCGTCACCGCTCCAGGGCACCTCCAGCAGTAACAGGTGGTTGCAGCAGGTGGCAGCCAGCCCCTGGATGAGCCAAGGTCTCTTCCCCAGCCAGGCATGGCCGACTCTGCACAGGCCCAGAAGCTGGTGTACCTGGTCACAGGGGGCTGTGGCTTCCTGGGAGAGCACGTGGTGCGAATGCTGCTGCAGCGGGAGCCCCGGCTCGGGGAGCTGCGGGTCTTTGACCAACACCTGGGTCCCTGGCTGGAGGAGCTGAAGACAGGTTCTTGTTGGGGGAGCTTGTGGTGGAGAGGGTGTGGACGCTTCCCCAACCCTTCCCAAGCTGGGATCCCCACCCCTGCAGTGGAACAGATGATGCTGGTTTCTGTCCACATGGATGGGTCGAGTGAGTCACATTGGGAACGTGACTCCAGGGTGGAAGATGAACCCAGCCTCTGGCCTCTGGCCCCAGCTCTGACATGGCCTGTGTCCTCCAACCCCGGCCAGGGCCTGTGAGGGTGACTGCCATCCAGGGGGACGTGACCCAGGCCCATGAGGTGGCAGCAGCTGTGGCCGGAGCCCATGTGGTCATCCACACGGCTGGGCTGGTAGACGTGTTTGGCAGGGCCAGTCCCAAGACCATCCATGAGGTCAACGTGCAGGGTGAGGAGCTCTGGACACTCCTGGCCATCTTGCCTGTTTGTTCCCCACTCTGTCTTTGGCCTTGACCTCCGGTGACTCCCCTGGGACAAGTTGTCCTATTGACAGCCCTGCCCCCGCCTCCCCTGACCTGTCATGGTTTTCCCTGGACCTGGGATGGGGAGGAGGAAGATGCAGAGAGGGAAGAAGCTGCAGCTTGGATACGCCTCCTCCTCTGCCAGGTACCCGGAACGTGATCGAGGCTTGTGTGCAGACCGGAACACGGTTCCTGGTCTACACCAGCAGCATGGAAGTTGTGGGGCCTAACACCAAAGGTCACCCCTTCTACAGGTGAGTGGCAGGCCCTCTTGTCCTCTAAGAGCCCATTTCCCTCAGCATTGAGTCTTCCTTCTCCTCCCACCAGGGGCAACGAAGACACCCCATACGAAGCAGTGCACAGGCACCCCTATCCTTGCAGCAAGGCCCTGGCCGAGTGGCTGGTCCTGGAGGCCAACGGGAGGAAGGTGAGCCCAGAAAAAGGAGGCGCAGAGATGGGGCTCCTGCCCTGCACACCCCCTTACCCTGCCAGCCCAAGGAGGCCGGGGCCGAGAGCAAGCTGTCGGGTCCCAGGTCTCAGCAGTACCTGCCTTTGCCACCAGGTCCGTGGGGGGCTGCCCCTGGTGACGTGTGCCCTTCGTCCCACGGGCATCTACGGTGAAGGCCACCAGATCATGAGGGACTTCTACCGCCAGGGCCTGCGCCTGGGAGGTTGGCTCTTCCGGGCCATCCCGGCCTCTGTGGAGCATGGCCGGGTCTATGTGGGTGAGGACTGGGCTAGGCAGGGGGAGGCTGAGAATATGGCAGGAGGACTTGCTCTAGAAGGGGGCAGGACCCACATGGCCCTGGGAGAGAAGTGTGGACTCTGGCTAGAAAAATATGGTCTATACATGGGCCAAGGTAGACTGTGATTATGTCTCCACAGCCTGCAGAGAATACAGGATCCATGCAAGTTGGGACATTAAAAAGTGTATCATAGGCTACAGAGAAGATTGCAGCTATGGGAGCAGCCATTCCCCAGGAGAGGAGAGGAGAGGGACAGTGTGTACACAGCACTAAAAGGGCTGGGTTCAGTGGCTCGCATCTATAATCCCAGCACTTTAGGAGGCTGAGGCGGGAGGATGGCCTGAGCCCAGGAGTTGGAGGCTGCAGTGAGCTATGACCGCACCACTGCACTCCAGCCTGGATGACAGAGACAGACCCTGTCTCTAAAACTTTTTTTAAAGGAAGTAGCATCTACACAGGGAATAAGGTCACCTGCCACTCCATCCTGCAGTCCCCAAGCCTCTCAGGGCCCACCACGCAGGTCCTGGTTTCTCTATCCTCTCCCCAGGTTCTTTGCAGATGCAGGCTGGCCCAGGAGAGCAAGTGACTACCAGGGCGAGGGAGAAGGCAGCCTTTCCCAGGCTGCTGTGGGGATGTGGGCGGCAACTACCTGGGCCCAAAGAGGGGGTGGCCCAGGAGAGCAGCCTCGATGTGGTGTTGCAAGGGCACTCAGGGGTGTGTCCGCCTCTCTTCCGCCACCGGCAGGCAATGTTGCCTGGATGCACGTGCTGGCAGCCCGGGAGCTGGAGCAGCGGGCAACCCTGATGGGCGGCCAGGTATACTTCTGCTACGATGGATCACCCTACAGGAGCTACGAGGATTTCAACATGGAGTTCCTGGGCCCCTGCGGACTGCGGCTGGTGGGCGCCCGCCCATTGCTGCCCTACTGGCTGCTGGTGTTCCTGGCTGCCCTCAATGCCCTGCTGCAGTGGCTGCTGCGGCCACTGGTGCTCTACGCACCCCTGCTGAACCCCTACACGCTGGCCGTGGCCAACACCACCTTCACCGTCAGCACCGACAAGGCTCAGCGCCATTTCGGCTATGAGCCCCTGTTCTCGTGGGAGGATAGCCGGACCCGTACCATTCTCTGGGTACAGGCCGCTACGGGTTCAGCCCAGTGACGGTGGGGCTGGGGCCTGGAGGCCCAGATACAGCACATCCACCCAGGTCCCGAGCCCTCACACCCTGGACGGGAAGGGACAGCTGCATTCCAGAGCAGGAGGCAGGGCTCTGGGGCCAGAATGGCTGTCCTTGTCGTAGAGCCCTCCACATTTTCTTTTTCTTTTTTGAGACAGGGTCTTGCTCTGTCACCCAGACTGGAGTGCAGTGGTGTGATCATAGCTCACTGCACCCTCAACCTCCTGGGTTCAAGCAATCCTCCTGCCTCAGCCTCCTGAACAGCTGGGACCACAGGTGCACGCCACCACACCTGGCTTTTTTTTGTTGTTTTTAGAGACAGGGTCTCACTATATTGCTCAGGCTGGTCTTGAACTCCTGGGCTCAAGTGATCTTCCCACGTGGGCCTCCCAAAACGCTGGAACTACAAGTGTGAGCCACCGCGCCTGGCCCAAGCCCTCCACATTTTCAATCCAGGAGCCTTGAGTCTGTGTTGTGTCCTGACACCTCCAAGTTCTAGGGCCGTCAGGACACGGGAGGGTTTGGGGACAGAGTGTCCTTCCTCTGTCCTCTCATCCCAGTCCTGATGGCCGCTTGGTGAGTGTCTGGTGCCCTGGTGGCCTGCCCCAGCTCTCTTCTGGCTTTCTGAGCAGGAAGCGAGCAGAGGCTCCACAGGCTTACGCTGCTCTCCTGACAGCCACACGCGACCCTCGGTGCAGAGTGCAGAGGCGGCTCTGGTTCCTCCAGCCACCTCAGTCCCTCTTTGGGAGGTGATGTTCCCATTGTTTTTCAAAGGCCTCACCTTCAACTGTCTGTCTTAGAATTCCCCTCTGGAGGGCTATGGCCTCCCTATGCTTTCACTTCCCACCTCTCTACCTAAGTTCCTTCCCAGCACATCGCCAGCCCTGGGCCTGGGGATGTCCCCAATGCTGTACCTGGCTGACCCCGGATTAAAAGCCTCATCCACGACCGTGTCCATCTGTCTGTCCAGCTCTCCCTCCCATCCCCCCACCCCATGTCCGCCTCCCCACGGCGCCCATCCCACGTGGGGACAGAAGGAAGTGAGCACACGGCACACCCGCTGTTGGATTGGTTGCTATTTCTCCCGTCCCACAGGGCCTGACCTGGCCCAGGGTGGGGTGGGGGGCTCTGGGGACAGGACATGCAGGGAGGAAGGGGGGGGCAGGATTTTCCTGTGTTTTATCCATTTGCAAGTTGGTCACCAATAGAAATGGGACTCTGAGGGCTAACAGAAATGGGACTCTGAGGGCTAACAGGAGAGGGCGGCCTGGCTCTGGGCCCCAGCCAGGCCCCAGGAGTCCTGTCCCCTCTGAGAAGGGGAGGGAGAGAGCTCTAGAAACCAACGGAGAAACAGAGAAGGGGGCAGGGGCTCATGTCAGCAAACACGGCTACATCACGTGACACGCCAGTGACACAGAAACACACGCCAACGCACACGGCTGCACAGCGGGCAGGGGCGGTTAGGGGAAAGGGAGCCGGGGCCACCCATCTTGTCCTCTGCAGGGCGGGCTGGGGGGCAGGGTGAATGCATAGAACACATCATGTGTACACGCTCAGGGCGTGGCAAGAGCGTGTGTCGACCCACGGGTACATGGGATGGACACGCAGTGTGCTTCATGAGGGGTGGGAACAGGGAGGAGGGGGAAGAGGAGCACTGAGCCCTGGCCAGGCCCGGGACCACCCGCAGGGCACACGTGGGGCACATGTGGGCTCAATGGTTGCAGGCGCCTGGGCAGGTAGCACACATTTGTCCAAGAACATGCAAAAGACACCAGCCTCCAGACAACATGCCAGGACGCACACAGACAGCAGCCAACAAGCAGGCACATCATAGGATGTGGAGGACGCATAGAAAGGGCACAGCAGACCCTTAGAGATCCCCTGGTCCACCTGAGGCCCAGAGATGGGCAGCTGTGGGCCCAATGCCACTCCAGGTGGGGGGAGTGGTGCCCCAGCCACGCTTCAACCCTTCTCCTGTGGCCCCAAGGCCGTGGGACTTCCGGAAACACCTGGGCTGAATGGGGGTCCTGTCCAGGCGGCCGGAAGAGGGGACTGGGGGCTGGGGCCTGCTCTGATGTCTCCCAAGCAGCCCGAGATGGGAGCAGGAGGGCCGTGGCCAGACTTGGGGCAGACTTCCTGTCCTGCAGAGGGGCGTTCTGGGAAGGGACAGGCAGGCCCCCAGCTCAGGACAGCCCACCTGGGGTTACGCACGTGGCCACACTGACACACACACAGGACAAGGGAGAGCTCGGCTGTCTGAGCTCGGGTAGAGGTGGAGGGGTACTGTGTTCTGGGAGGTCACATCTGTTTGGCCACATGCACACACAATGCACACACAATGTACACACACATACAATGCACACACACGTACGCTTCACATGACCTGGGACCCTGGGGTCCGCACACACACACCGAGTGCCTTGCCTGTGCACACATAAGCCCCATGCCAGGGCATGGCACATTTGTGTACTTGTGTGTTCACCTTTCATGATCCTAGACCACGGAGTGGGGACCTCTAACACTGTCCTTTCTCCCACGCACCACCTACCTGCCACCAAACCCACAAATTGTGCCTGTGCTGGCTACACAACAGGGGAGGTGCTAGCCCCTTCCTCACACCAGAAATCCAGGCCTGTGTACCCCTCAGTCACACCCTGGTGTGGGGAGCAGCCTGAGGGTTCAGCAGGAGAGGTGTCGGGGATGGGTCTCAGGACCCAGCCCACCCTGAGTGGCCACTGCCACACTGGCCACTCCAGTACTTCTGAAATAGACATTTCCCCAAACCCGAGTTCCCTGAGGCAGAGCCCAGAGCATCCGATGGGGCAGTGGGGGACACACAGTCCTCTCCCAGGTCTGAGGTGGGTGTGTGAGGAAGGGGTCGTGTCCTGATCTTTGATCCCTGCAGGGAAGTCCTTGGCATCTTGCCTCATCAGTAACATTCCTACAAGTAGCCCTTTCCTTCCAGGAGGCATTCGTGTGATCCCCGCACCCATGCCAGCGTGCATGGTTTGTGCCTGGTATGGCCCCTGCCTGGGGCCACCTCGGCCTTGCCACGTGTGAGCACACTGAGGGGTACCAGCTTCCAGGGGCTCGGGGCTATGCTGGGCAGAGACATGGAGGAAGATGAGGATCTAGGTGTGAGCATGCAGAGCCCTGAGGCTGGGCAGGCAGGGAGCTCTGCCTGCACAATGATGTAGCCGTGTGTGGCCACACCAGCACTGGGCAGCACCTCTGGGGAGGGGGGCAGGGCAAGGACAACTGGAGAGACAAAGCCAGATGGGGCCACGTCCTTAGAAGTGTGTGTGCACGCACGTGTGTGTGTGTGTGTGTAATACGCAGGGCAGAAACACACCATGTAGGTCAGGCAGGACAGAAACACATCATGTAGGCCAGGCGTGGTGGCTCAGGCCTGTAATGCCAGCACTTAGGGAGGCCAAAGTGGGCGGATCACCTGAGGTCAGGAGTTCGAGACCAGCCTGGCCAACATGTCAAAACCTCATCTCTACTAAAATTCTAAAATTAGCCAGGCGTGGTGGCAGGCGCCTGTAGTCCCAGCTACTTGGGAGGCTGAGGCATGAGAATCGCTTGCGTCAGGGAGGCACAGGTTGCAGTGAGCTGAGATTGCGCCACTGCACTCCAGCCTGGGTGACAGAGCAAGACTCCGTCTCGAAAAAAACAAAAAACAAAAAACAAAAAAAAATTAAAAAGCACACCATGTAGAGAGCCCCTAACACACACACACACGTGCATACACACGCACGCCACACACACACAGCTGCATTCTAGGTAGCAAGAAATACACATTTCTGTGCCCTCCCAAAACAGGTGTCCAGTCCACAGTGTGGAGGGCTCTATCTGAGAAGACCTATCAATACTTCAGGCACATCCTGGACACACACACACACACACACACACACATGCACACCCTCCTGGGACATGCCACAGCCCCTGGGGTAACAAAGACATGGGGTGTCTGCCATGGCCTGTGTGTACCTGGGCCTCCCTGGATCCTCTGAGAATGTGAGTGTGAGTCCACACACACCACCTGCCTGGTTTGTAGCAGACACAAAGGGCTCAGGTATCAGTGGCTTTGTTGCTGTTGCATTAGGTTCAAACACTGAAACACAAAATTCCACGTACACAAATGGTGTGTCCACAGATCTGTGGTCTCAC
Organism: Homo sapiens; assembly: GCF_000001405.40. Lineage (NCBI taxonomy): Eukaryota > Metazoa > Chordata > Mammalia > Primates > Hominidae > Homo > Homo sapiens. Next base: position 30,992,373 of record NC_000016.10, read on the forward strand.
GCACGCACACACACTGTTCACAGAGGACAGAGAGGGCGTGATGGACTGCTGTGTTACACTTGGCTGCAGTCTACACAACAGCCCCGGTGAAGGGGGAAGCTCAGACCACGCACACACACCCAAGGTGGGGGTGGAGGGGGTGCTCTGGTGCATCACACACATCACACGCACACGCACGCTGGGGTGTCCACACGTCTCGAGCATGTGCCGGCGGCATGCATGTTGGTGTGCATGTGTAATCACGCCTGCTGCGATCTACGTGCGGGGACGGGGGGGGGGTCCATGGCCCGGTGAGGTCCAGGGACACCAGGGTCTGCCGTGGGGGTGGGGCTGCCTGGGTCTGTTTTGGGAGTGAGCCTGGAGCAGGGGATGGAGTGAAAGGGGTGGTGGGGGTATTGCTCCCGATGTGGTGGGGGAAGGGTCTGGGAGAGAGAAGGGTGGGGGGGGCCTACAAGCCCAGCGTCCCCCCAATGGATGACGCCAAGACCACCCCCAGCACCACACAGCAAATGATGATCATGATTTTCTTCTGCAGCAGAAAGAGGAGTGAGACAGGCAGACAGTGAGAGAGATCGACACACGGACAGATGCAGGGACAGACAGGGCAGAGGGTGGCAGGGAGAAGAGGGGAGAGAAAACAGAAACAGGAAGAGGTCAGAGCCAGAGATAAGGCCTCCCGCCCGCTGCCATCACTCACCTCAGCCCGGGCTCAGCCTTGGGCTCCCCCGCCTACCCCCAGGCCGCCTGCCCCGCTCACCCTCCGGGCCTTGCTCTGATATTTCACTGCTTTCTTGGTGTCAGACACAGCTCGCTCCACGTAGTCCACAGAATGTTCCACGTTGTACTCGATGCGGTCAATCATCTCTCCCTGCAGACAGAGGAGACATGCACAGGGAGGGATGGGGGCTGGGCTGGAAGAGGGGACCTCAGGCCCAGGGAGGCTCCCAGAGTGGCATGGGTGGCAGAGCCAGTACCTGGCTCTCTACGAGCATGGCCATGTCCACAAACATATCGTGCAGCTCGCGGATGCTGGTCTCCAGCTTGATGATCTCATTGTGCCTCGTCTCAATCTCATTCAGCGCCTGCTTCGTCATCTGTGAGTCCATTTTGATCTAGGGTGACGAGGGAGAGAGCTACAATCACCCTTCTCCGCCATGAGCGCCTCCACCGCAGTGGAGTGGCCAGGGTCAAATCCGGTGTCATTTACTAGCTGAAACCTTAGGCACATTATTCACCTGCTCTTGGCCTCAGTTTCCCCACCTAGAAAATGTGGATCATAACACTGCCCACCTCACAGGGTGGTTGTGAAGACTGAGTGAGTTAATATGTACACATTGGTCAGGCACGATGGCTCACACCTGTAATCCCAGCACTTTGGGAGGTGTGTAGATCACCTGAGGTCAGAAGTTTGAGACCAGCCTGGCCAACATGGCGAAACCTCGTCTCTACTAAAAATATAAAAATTAGCCTGGTGTGGTGGTGGGCACCTGTAATCATAGCTACTCAGGAGGCTGAGGCAGGAGAATTGCTTGAACCCGGGGGGGCAGAGGTTGCAGTGAGCTGAGATCACGCCACTGCACTCCAGCCTGGGCAACAAGAGTGAAATTCCATCTCAAAAAAAAAAAAAGAGTCAGGGCTGGGCACAGTAGGTAGCTCATGCCTGTAATCCCAGAACTTTGGGAGGCTGAAGCGGGCAGATCACGAGGTCAGCAGACCAAGACTATCCTGGCTAATGCGGTGAAACTCCGTCTCTACTAAAAATACAAAAAATTAGCCGGGTGTGGTGGTGGGCGCCTGTAGTTTCAGCAACTTGGGAGTCTGAGGCAGGAGAATGGCGTGAACCCGGGAGGCGGAGCTTGCAGTGAGCCGAGATTGCGCCACTGCACTCCAGCCTGAGCCACAGAGCGAGACTCCGTCTCAAAAAAAAAAAAAAGAGTCAGTAGGGAGAGGCCTGTAACCCCAGTACTCTGGGAGGCCAAGGCAGGAGGATCACTTGAGCCCAGGAATTTGAGGCCAGCCTGGGCAACATAGTGAGACTTTGTTTCTATCAAAAAAAAAAAAAAAAAAGGAAATTAGCTGGGCATGGTGGCGCCTGTGGTCCCAGCTACTCAGGAAACTGAGGCAGAAGGATTGCCTGACCCCAGGAGGTCGAGGCTGCAGTGAGCTATGATTGCTTCACTTCACTCCAACATGGGCCACAGAGTGAGACCATGCTGAAAAAAAAAAAAAAAGAAAGCCAGTGGGGAAGAGACCGTGACCCACAGTCAGATATGCCTCCTCTCCACAAACACCCAGCCTCAGCCAGGTGACTCACTTCCCAAATTACTCACTGTTCTTACCACATTGAGCCACTCCTCTGCTCTACAGCCTGCCATGGCTCCCCACTACCCAAGGCTCCACACCTTCCCTTCAGCAGTCAAGGCCCAGACTCCCTCTCCCCTCATCTCCTGCTCATCCTATGACCATTCTATAAGCCGAAATCATACAATGGCTGTTTGGACAGTGTTCAGTCTCCCCGTCTTTTTTTTTTTTTTTTTTTTGGTTTTTGTTCTTTGTTGAGACAAGTTCTTGCTCTGTCACCTAGGCTGGAGTGCAGTGGTGCTATCATAGCTCACTGCGGCCTTGACCTCCTGTACTCAGGCAATCCTTCCACCTTAGCCTCCCGAGTAGCTGGGACCACAGGCACACGCCACCATGCCTGGCTAATTAAAGCAGGTTTCACCATAGAACTGATTTGCCTACATTAAAAGAAATTGTTTTTTAAATCAAAAAAACATTTTTTTTGTAGAGATGGGGGTCTCACTTTGTTGCCCGGGCTGGTCTACGAACTCCTGGGCTCAAGCCCTCCATCCTCCTTGGCCTCCCAAAATGCTGGGATTACAGATGTGAGCCACCACACCGGGCTGCTCAATGCGTTTTCAACAAAGATCAGTTCTCCAAATAACAATGAGCTGAAAACTTTTAAGACAGTCATAGCGCATCCTTTAAACCTGGTCTAGAACCCTTAACCAGAGTCATTTTGCCACCAGAAACAGAAACGGAGACAGGAGTGGGCAGGCCGGGGCAAAAGTCCACTGAGAGAAACAAGAACTAGGTTCGGGGAAAGCCCATCCTTTCTTTCTTTTTTTTTTTTTTAAGAGACAGAGTGTCAGTCTGTTGCCCAGGCCGGAGTGCAGTGGCAAGATCTCGGCTCACTGCAACCTCCGCCTCCCAGGTTCAAGTGATCCTCCTGCCTCAGCCCCCTAGTAGCTGGGATTACAGGCACGTGCCACCATGCCCGGCTAATTTTTGTATTTTTAATAGAGACAGAGTTTTGCCATGTTGGCCAGGCTGGTCTCGAACTCCTGACCTCAGGTGATCTACCTGCCTTGGCCTCCCAAAGTGCTGGGATTACAGGCATGAGCCACTGGGCCCGGCCAGCCCATCCTTTCATATGTAAAAGGACAAGGGCAGCACAGGGGACAAAACCTAAGCAAAACTAAAACTTGTTTTAAAAAAAATATTCAAAATGTAGGCAAATTAGGCTGGATTCGGTGGTTCACGTCTGTAATCCCAGCACTTTGGGAGGCTGAGGCAGGCAGATTATTCGAGCCCAGAAGTTTGAGACCAGCCTGGGCAACAGAGGAAGACCCCCCATCTCTACAAAAAAAGGTTTTTTTAGGCCGAGTGGTGGGCGCCTGTAATCCCAGCTACTCGGGAGGCTGGGGCAGGAGAATCGCTTGAACACAGGAGGCGGAGGTTGCAGTGAGCTGAAATCTCGCCACTGTACTCCAGCATGGGTGACAAGAGCAAAACTCCGTCTTGAAGAAAAAAAAAAGAAAAAAAGTTTTTTTTAATTAAAAAAAATTTCTTTTAATGTAGGCAAATCAGTTCTCTGGTGAAACGACTTGCTTCAGTAGCAGAGTATGTCGTGTATCCTAGGGCTCGAGAGTTCTGACTCTGAAACTAGACAGGATTCAAGTCCTGGCCCTCTCCCTCGCTCTGAGATCTTGCCAAGTGATTTCATCTCTCTGGGCCAGTTTTCCTCATCTGTGAAATGGGGTTTCCTCGAAGGGGATGTGTGAGTATTAAATGAGTTGGTGGGTGAATGTGAAGATGGAAAGTGCTTAGAACAGTGCCTGGCACACGAACGACTCCGTCATCTGATGGGGGTGCCTTCCTGCTCCGCTCCCATGGAATTCCCCAGTTCCCGGCTCAGGCTTCCCGCTGCTCATTTTTCCAGGGTGGACTTAGGACCTTAGTTCAACCTGAACTTAGGGAGGGGAGGCAAAAATTTTCCAAAAGCAGAGCCCGCCCCACCCGCGGCTCACGTCATCTGTGAAGATGGCCAGCTTCCCGCTCTCCAGCATGTCTTCCAGTTCTTCGTTGGTGGTGGTCCTTCCAGCTGCGGGAAGAAAGGACTCCCTGCTCGGGGGCTGGGACAGCCTGGGGGCCTGAGGTGGGGTGATGGGGCGGGGACCTGGGGCCCACCCTCCCACGCCGCCTTAAGCCAGGGGCCCCCTCCAGAGAGGAAATGCCTGGAAGGGGGCTTGGGCAGCCTCAAGGAGTTCGGGGTCCTGGGGTGGGGGGCACACGCACTGATCTCCAGTTGCCGCTGGATCCGGTCCTTGCAGCGGTCCCGGTACTTGGACTGGGTCGCGTTATATTCGGTCATTACCTCCACGAACTTCCGGGACAGTGTGGAGTGCTACGGTGGGGGTGGGGGGACAGACGGATCAGGGAGGTAGTCAGGGATCAGGGAGGGAGTCAGGGAGCAGAGACCGAGGCAGGTGAGGAGGCAGTGCATGGGCGGAATAAGGAGGAAGCGCTGAATTAGTTTACGGTCCCTTCTTCAGCTCTGGCCGCGATCCCAAACCCTGACAAGTTCATGGTTCCCTACCCGCCCGGCACCCCCATCTTAGGCCAACACCAGCTAGAGACACTGCTACTGCGCTGAGATGCGGCTCGACCCCGCCCTCCCCGAGAGCCCCGCCCAGGGCCCCGCCCGCTCTAGCCTCGCCCCCAGAGCCCCGCCCCAGCCCTCCCTGACCACGCCCCCGCCGGTGCTTGGCCCTGGCCCGCCGGCCTCCAGCCTGGGCTCCTCCCGAGCTGGGTCCCGACCCGACCCCCAATGGGCTGCCGCCTCCTACCTGGGTCTTGCGGATGCGCAGGTCCGCGGAGGAACGGTTCAGCCCCTCCTCCTGTTCAATGCTTTGCTCGATCGCTGCGGGAGAGAGGGCGCAGCGATGGGCGGGAGACCCGGGGCACATGGGGCGAGGGTCCGGGGCGTACGAATGGTCAACACCCCGCGGCAGCGCCAGGCCCGGGGAGAAACGTCATCCCCAGGGCGAGTTGCGGGCAGCGGTGCCCCAGGGTGGTGTTAGGAGCCAGCAGATAAACAGACGAACAGACGTTTGAGGGGGTTCCGAAGGCAGGCAGGAAGGGATACTGAGGGTCAGAGGGTCACCAGACAGAAGGGGGCTATTTGTTCTAGTGGCAGAACTGGGTCTTGGAAAGTCCCATCAGTGGTAATTCCTGTCCAACTCCATGAGGGCGTGCCGGCCCAGCCCGCGTGAAGGGGCCATGTATGTGGGGTGCTCCCTACTTCCTACAGCCTCTGGACAGGGGGCAAGAACACAGCCTGCCTTTTTTCTGATGGAAGGCAGTCACCTCCAGGTGGATCAGGTTCTAGTGGCCCCTCTTTCCCAGGGGAATTCAAGGGCAAACACATGGATATTCCAAGGGAGAAAGCAGCCCTCTCCCTGCCCTGTAAGGTGATCCCCGATCCGGGAATTCCCACTTCTGAAGGACGTTCTGGAAAAGTGCACAGATTAACTGAGATTCCTGCTTCTGGATCAAGCACTCCTGACACTATCGTTCCGATTTTCTAAAAAAGAGATTGTGGCAAAATCTACCTCGGTGAGATCAGAAAATGCAGCAGGGATGAATCACCGGCCCTCTCAGACCTCACCAGCCTCCAGGCCATTCCTAAGAGCCTCACTCCTCCGTTCTGTTGGCAGTGGGGGAGGTACGGGGCCGGATGGCACCCCAAGGCTCCCCCGATTGAGTGACAGCTCTGGCTCAGCAACACATGGCCCAGGGATATTGGAATCGGCTGGCCCAGATTGGGGCCCGACTGTCAGCCTTGGGGCTGGGGTCAAGTCCGGAGGGAGGGGTCTCTTACAGGATCTCATTGACTTTTTACAACATTCCTGGGAGTTCAGTGATATCAGCTCATGTTTTAGACTAGAAACTCAGTTTCCAGTGGGCAAAACCACTCACTCAAGGTCACACCCAAAGCCTGAGCTCATGCCACCAGCTGGAAGAGGACTAAGAGAATCCTCTCTCCTTTCCTGGAGGTCTGAAAGGTCAGCTTCTCTAAACCACGGCCACTTTTCCAGCTTCTTTCTTGGTCTATTCCTGAACCCCTCACCCACAGAGCCCTCCCCAGGGTCTTACAGAGAGTGTTCAAGGTCAAGGCTTGATGGACCTAGAGAAACCATTGAGCCCAGGGGATTTTAAACTGCCAGCAGGAACCTTGTTTCTGAGAAGGAATTTCAGGGGCTGTTGCAGAGAATGAAGAGAGGTCAGGCAGGTAGGTGCTCCCAGCTCCAGCTCAGCTAGAACAACCTGACTTTTATGTTTTATATATTGGGATTCTTTGTATGACTTTGGAAAAAAAAGTATTTTGATGCCCTCCACCCCCCACCCCCAAAACAAGCTAATTTTGAAATTGCTTTCATTTGTCTTACTGTACTGATAAGGAAGCTGAGAGTAGGGGACTTGTCCAGGGTGAGCTGATGGTGGAGGTTAGACTCTGTCTGCCTGGATTTGCACTTAACATGCTCCCAGATTCAGACAGTTTCCATCCAGCAGACTCTCCTGAGTACAAAGGGCTTGTTTTTACAAATCCACATCTGAGGCTCACATATGGCCTCCCCTCCAGTCCAGAGGGCATGGAGTTACTACCCTTCTCTCTCTGGGCCAAGGTCAGTGTTCTCCAGGCCAGGTAGCTGATATAGCTCCTCTTCCCCAAAGCCTAGCAATGTGCCTCGGACATTGGAGGTGCTCAGCATATGTTTTCTGATACTGACTTACCAGGAGCATGCAAAACAGCATGCCAGTAACACTGCTATTTCCCTGGTATGAGCAGACAAGGAGGTTCCCAACCCACGGTGCTTTGGGGGAAGGTGGTTATTACCAGCACCCAAGTCCTTAAATTAGAGTGAATAAATGAACATTTGGCAAGTCCCTCTTGAAAGCTCGCCAGCCCCTGATGTCAGCCACACAAGTCCAATCTGTCCTGAGCCAAGGATACCGATTCAGAGGCATTTGCTGGGCCCACCCACTGGGTGCTCTGTGCCATGCCGGGGGCCTGCTCAGGAGAGATGAGGACTTAATGAAATCGAAGCCACTCGGAAGATCACCTTTTTCTGGTGAACCTTCATGCTGGTGGAACCAGCAGGGCTCAGATGCAATTTAGACAGTCTCCTTTCCCTCATTTCCTATCATATATCTTTCTCCAAAGAACTGGAGCAAGGGGGAAAGCTGGGGTTTTGTGCTTTCTGACTGTTTAATAATCTGGCTCCTGGAACTTTGTAGAAATTCCTTAGAGAAAGGCCTGTTTTGCTCAATGGATGGCAAAGTTCTTTTTTTTTTTTTTTGAGAAAGAGTCTTGCTCTGTCACCCAGGCTGGAGTGCAGTGGCGCGATCTCGGCTCACTGCAACCTCTGCCTCCCGGGTTCAAGTGATTCCCCTGCCTCAGCCTCCCAAGTGGCTGGGATTACAGGCGCCTGCCACCATGCCCGGATAATTTTTGTATTTTTAGTACAGATGGGGTTTCACCATTTTGGCCAGGATTTGGTTAGGATTTTGAACTCCTAACCTCAGGTGATCCACCCACCTTGGCCTCCCAAAGTTCTGGGATTATAGGCATGAGCTACCACGCCCAGTCCCTTTTTTTTTGTTTGTTTGTTTTTTGTTTTTTTTTTTTTTGTTTGAGACAGGGTCTCTATCTGTAACCCAGGCTGGAGTACAGCAGCATGATCTCGGCTCACTGCAGCCTCGACCCCCTGGGCTCAAGCGATTCTTGTGCCTCAGCCTCCCAAGTAGTTGGAACAGAGGCACGTACTACCATGCCCAGCTAATTTTTTTTTTTTGAAACAGAGTCTCTCTCTGTCACCCAGACTGTAGTGCAGTGGCGCGATCTCAGCTCACTGTAACCTCCACCTCCCGGGTTCAAGCAATTCTCTGCCTCAGCCTCCTGAGTAGCTGGGATTACAGGCGCCCGCCACCACACCCAGCTAATTTTTGTGCTTTTAGTAGAGATGGGGTTTCACCATCTTGGCCAGGCTGGTCTTGAACTCCGGACCTCGTGATTCACCCGCCTCGGCCTCCCAAACTGGCCCAGCTAATTTTTGTATTTTTTGTAGAGACAGAGTTTTGCCATGTTGCCCAGGCTGGTGTTGAACTCCTGGGATTGAGCAATTGGCCCCGCCTCGCCCTCCCAAAGGCCTGAGCCACCATGCTCCACCCACAATTCTTTTCCTTCCTGGTTGAGGGATTGTACTCCTCACCTTTCAATTTGGACCGAACCTTGTTGGCCGTCTTCTTGATGTCTGCAGTGAGATCCTCCAGCTCCTGTTTGGTCTCTGAGGGGAGGGCGAGGGCAAGTGAGATGTCTGGGTGGGAACCCCAGGCCCCTTCTCCTCCCACCCCACAGTCACCGGCAGCCACACTCACTCTCATCTGGGTTGGGTGCGGCCAGGATGGCGCTATGCTGTTTTTTCACCTGCTCCACATCCTCCGACAGTTTCTCAATGCAGCCCCGGATCTCTTCCACCTGGAGCAGAAAATCGGCTATACCCAGCCAAGCTGTCAGGCCAAACAACGGGTTCCAGGGGAACCAGCCAGGGTTCAGGGGAATGGACCAGCCCCAGAACGGCTGATAAAAGGCCAGGGAGGGTGCAGGAGCAGGGAAGTGGGGGACAGGGAAAAGGAAGTTGTCGGTGGCTAGGGGCTGGGTGCCGGGGCTGCGGCTGGGCGGTGGGACTAGGGGCTGGGGCTGGGTGCTGGGGCTGGGGCTGGGTGCCGGGGCTGAGGCTGGGCGGTGGGACTAGGGGCTGGGGCTGGGTGCTGGGGCTGGGGCTGGGGCTGGGGGCCTTGGAGGCCCATTACCTGTTCAAAGAACTCATCCATGAAGTGGTCCCGATCCACGTGGACCACCTCCTCTTCATCATCACTGTCTTTCGCCTGGGGACAAGGAAGGCTGAGTCCATGAGCAGGCCCTACCTGGGTCCCCAAGGCTGGCTCTCCAGCTCTCCCACCCTCTCCCTGCTATGCACACACAGGTGCTCCCAGCTCTAGGCTCAGAGGAGGGGTCCTGGGAGGGGTCCCATGCAGGGTAGATGGCAAAGGCACCAAAAGTGTTTGTCAGCCCAAAGGATTCCTTAGAAGGAATTGGAAAAAGACCCCCTCTCAGGGTGGATGTGGCCTTGGGGGCGCAGAGCCAGCCTTGACCAGCCAATAGGGATGATTTCAATATTTCAACAACGGCTCAACGTCAGGCTTGCAGTAACTGACCCTGGGCTCCATGAAGGGTCCTGGACTAGAGTCCCGGGAGCCTGGATCTCCCTACTGTTCCTGCTCTCCTGCCCAGATCTCACTTTACTCCTTCTCTTCCTCTCCTGCCCCACCTGACCAGACATGTCCCCTGTGCAAGGTCACTTCACTGCCAGCGGCAGGCGCCAAGTTGAGCAAGCAGTGAGGGCTGGATAAGAGATACGGGCAGCACCCCGACCTCCCTCGCGCCCTGTGCCCCCCTCTTCCCGCCCACTCTCCCTCCCCTCCCAGCCGGCTCTCCCTCGCAGTGGATTCACTTGCTTTCATCCAGCCCCTTCCAACTTCACACCCACCTACTCTTGCTGGCTTGGATTTCCCAGTTGCAACCTGCAGCTGCTCAACCCTCCACCCGCAGGGCTCAGAGACACAAAGAGATTTACCCACCCACAGCACCACTGCCACCGACAGACAGACTCGAGACACAGACAGAAGAGCTGACACCCAAGGCACACAGGAATAGGCCCCCCCGACACCCACACGGAGATGCACTGATGCTGGCGTTCACCCGCACGCAGACTCACAGCTGAGCCGCACTGACATGTGTGGACACACTGGCTTTCAGCTGCACCCCTGAGGACATTTGGGAGGGCTCACTGGGCTTGTTCTTCCAGCTTCTCCGAGCCTCATGTCTGCACACACACTCAGAGCTGGACAGGAGAGGCTGTAGGGGAGGTGCCCTGTGCTACACACACCTGAGTCCTTCTCTGCTTGGGACAGAGGTCTGACAGCAAAATCTGAGTCCATCAAGCTTAATGACATCTGGAGCCCTGATCAGCCCCAGTGGAAATGTATACAGAGTTCATTCTGATTTCCAAAAAGAACCCAGCCAGAGCTCAGACAGAATCCAAACCCCAGAGGCTGGGTGAAATCAAGACAGGATCCAAACAGCATCCACCTGGGGGTGTACTCAGTTGGAATCCAAAAAGAAGAGCTTGCCAGGGTCCCAGCGGAACGCAGACAGGGCCTAACAGAAACCAGACAGGCTCAGACTGAACTAGCCGAGGCTCACACGGATCCCAGACAGATCCCAGACAGCTCAGATTGAACCTAGACAGGGCCAGATGGGACCTAGGTGCAGTCCACACAGCCAAAACTCAGGATCAGCAGTGCCCCACAGCCCCAGGAAAAGCCAGCACAGCCTGGGGGGCCTCCAGCTCCACGCTCCTGAGCCACCCCAGCCTCCCTGCTAAGCCCAGCCCAAATGGAACTCCAGGGAGTCTTCACACAGACGCTGGGCCCACACTGTGTCGGAAAATGTGTTCAGCACTTGTGTTGAATTTCCAGACAATCCCAACCATCCGCCTGGAAAGGGAGTTTCCTCTGTCTTGGCTCACAGCTGCCCCCAGAAAGTGGGGCGGCACAGGTGGCATAAGTTGGGGACCCTGAGAGGCTCTGGGATGCTGGGCTCACCTCTGAGGACCCATCGGCCTACCATGATGCTCTTCACTTTCTCTGTCCTCAAAATCCAGCTGTGCTACAAGGCCTCCTTCCCCTAGAGCCAAAAGCCTTCCTCTGCCCTTTCTCTCCCTTCAACCACTCACTCAGCCACCAGCCTCACGCAGGTCATGCGGCCTCTCCCTGGCCCGGGTGCCTGAGGACTTTCCTGTTCTCTGTGTCTCTCCCTTCCCCATGCTAATGTTAGGAAGTCTTTCCTAAAATCTAATTTCAATCTCTCCTGTTGTTCTTGGAGCCACCTCCCTTAGGTTCATCTCTGGAGCACCCTGGGCTACCTATTTGTTTGCCCTCAAGACAGGAAGAATGATAGAAGGCCCAAGTGTGGTTTATTTGGTATAATAAATACAAAGAGAGCTGGGAGCTAATAATCCTCTACCATTTACAAACACTTTTACATCCATAATCCGTTTTGATCCTCAGCACCACCAGCCCTGAGAGAAAAGCTGCATAAACATCATCGTCCCCATTTCACAGATGAGGGAACAGGAAGCCAGGGGGGTAAAAGGAGAGTGACTTGCCCAAGGGCACCCAGGCCACATAGGGCCAGAAAACCATGGGCATCCAGCCCCTCAAAGACCGCTGTTAGGCTCCAGACTGGGCTACCTCCCCCACTGACTTTCCGCTCCCAGTTACTTTCCCTCTCAGTGAGCGCCTGCTAAGTCCCAATCTGGGGAAGGCTCTGTGTCCGGACAACCTAGCAAAACAAGAGCACTTGATGGTATTTTTTGCGTAAGTCTTACATTCTTGTTATCTCATTTAATCTTCATTAGGACTCTGTAAGGACCATTGGCCAACATAATTATACTTATGCAAATATTTAGATGATGTTTTACAATGTGCCAGGCACTGTTCTATGTGCTCCACATATATCTATCCATTTCATTCTTACAACAGTCCCCTTGGAGGTATTATTATAGCCCCCTTTTATAGATGGGGAAACTGAGGCATAGAGCTAAATAACTCAGGCCAGTTGTAGTGGCTCACGCCTGTAATCCCAGCACTTTGGGAGGCTCTGGTGGGAGGATCACTTGAACCCAGGAGTTCAAGACCAGCCTGGGCAACATAGCAAGATCATGTCTCTACAAAAAATACAAAAATTAGCTGGGCATGGTGGTGCGCACCTGTAGTCTCAGCTACTTGGGAGGGTGAGGTAGGAGGATCCCCGGAGCTCAGGAGGTCAAGAGACTGCAGTGAGCTGTGATTGTGCCACTGCACTCCAGCCTGGGTGACAGAGCAAGACCCCGTTTCTTAAAAAAAAAAAAAAAAGAACTTGCCCCAGGTCAGCTGTTAGAAGACCATTTGGCTCTACCCCTGAGCCTAGTCTCTGCATTTGCTGAGTGGTAACAATGCCTACCACCGGCTGATTCCATGTTACAGACAAGGAAACAGGCTCAGAGAGGTTGCCTGACCTGCCTAAAGCTTCACAGCAAATGAGGCCAGAGGTAGGACCTGAACCCAGGACTGTCTGGCACTAAATGTCAGGCTCTCTCCCTTCTGTCCTGCTGACAGATGGCAGTCCCTCCTGGTCCTAAAAAGCCCACTCTGCCATGTCCTCAGGACTGCTGAACTCCTGCAGCCAGGACAGAAAATCAGTAGGAGGGGCCCAGGGCTGCAGGAAGAGCTTGGACAGGAGGCCATCCCTCCCAGCCTCCGTCTGTCTTGCTGTGTGACCCCAGGCAAACTTAGACTCCTCCCTGGGCCCCAGTTCCCTCATCACTGAAATGAGCAGACTGGTGCAAGTGCCCACCCTGCTCTGAAGGGCCCTCCGTGCTCTGAGTGATGCATATTTAGTAATGAGTACAGCATCCATTTCTGGAAGAAGTTAGGCCAGCCAAAAAGAAAGCAGGCTGTGGGCAAACCAGACTACCTAGGAAAAGATGATCAAATGTGCCCCAGTCTACTTTATGGTGGCCTCAGGTTACAGGTGAACGATTCAAGCCTCAGTTGCCTCATGTGCAAATCGAGGATGTAACATATATGTGCTGATTACCACGAGTTGGGTCCTATTACAAGTGCTTTGCATTTCTTTTTTTTTCTTTTTCCTTTTTTTTTTTTTTTTTTTGAGAGATGGGATCTCACTATATTGCCCAGGCTGGTCTCGAACTCCTGGGCTCAAGAGATCCTCTCTCCTTGGCCTCCCAAAGCGCTGGGATGACAGGTGTGAGCCACTGCACCCAGCCTGCATCTCTTGTTTAATCCTCACGACCACTCCATGAGGTCATATTCTTATTCTCACTGGACAGATGAGGAGGTGGAGGCGCAGAGAGATTGGGTAACTTGCCCAAGATCACACAGCTGATGGGATGACTCAAACTCAGGCACTCTGCTCTACAGCGCACAGCTCCTTGAGCACTTGAGAGGGATTGAATGAGAGAGTGCAGTGCCCCTGAGCCCCTTCCAGAAGCACCTGGGGACTGCGCACATCAGATCCAAGCCTCCAGCTGCAGCCTGACCTCCTCAGGGGCCCCCTAAGTCCAGGTCTTCCACACCAGAGCCACCACGGGCCTTGTGTGTATGTCGATGTGGAGCGACGGCAAGGACAGATACAGAAGCGGAAGGAGGAGAGTGACAGTGAGAGCCAGCAAGTCAGTGACCAGAGAGACAGATGGTGAGACGGTGACAAAAACACAGAGGCGGCAAGAGACTGGAATTGGGTGACAGAAAAGTCAGAGAGAGTGTGCGTGTGTGTACGTGTGTGTGTGTAAACATATGCGTGCCCCAGCACTGACACACACGGGCTTCCCATGCTCCTCAGGGGTGCAAGCATCATCGTTTGATCGGAGGCAGCAGCCTCCCCCTGCGCCCTTTCCCCCACCCTCTGCTTCAGTCCATCTGTCTCCCTGGCTGGGGCCTCTCCTTGCTCCCTCCCCCTGAGCAGCCTGGCCCTCTCACCCTGACCTCTCTCCTCCATCTTTCCTGCCTTACCCCCTGCCCCTTTCTCATCCTCCCTCTGCTTCATGGAGTCATTCATTCATCTAACGGATGTGTCTGATTTGTGCCAGGTACTCTTCTGGGTGCTGCTGGCGATGTGGTGGTGAAGAAGACAGGCGAGGAGGGCCTGCCTCCAGGGAGCTGGCATTCCAGTGGGGGAGGCAGACAATGGGAGGTGAACAAGACCATTTCAGATTGTGCTGAATAGCAGGAGGGAGATAAGCAGAAAGATGGAATTGAGAGACATGGGAATTGGGGGGGATTGTGGAAGGATTTCTACAGGACAGTTAGCAGGGCTTTTCTGGGGAGGTGACATCTGAGCTAGGTCCTGAAGGAGCCAACTGTGCCACAGTGCTGGGGAAACAGAATTCAGGGCAGAGGGAACAGCATGCTGGGCAGAGGGAACAGCATGCGCGAAGGTCCTTGGACAGGGGTAAACTTGTGTGTTTGGATAGCAGAAAGAAGCCCAGTGCCAGCCGAGCGCGGTGGCTCATGCCTGGAATACCAGCACTTTGGGAGGGCGTGGCGGGAGGATCATTTGAGGCCAGGAGTTCAAGACCAGTCTGGTCAACATAGACCCCATCTCTACAAAAGCAAAAAGAATTAGCCAGGCATGGTGGTGCGCATCTGTAATCCCAGCTACTCGAGAGGCTGTGGCAGGAGGATCCCTGGAGACCAGGAGGTCAAGGCTGCAGTGAGCTGTGATTGCACCGCTGCACTCCAGCCTAGGTGACAGAGGAAGACCATGTCTCTAAAAACATTTTTTTAAATATAAATAAAGGCAGCCCAGAGCAGCTGGAGGATATGGATCCATCACCCAGGGTTCGTTGGTCTCTGCACCCTGTGATTTCAGGGCTGCGTTTCTAAAGCACCTACTGTGCCTGCCTCATACCTGAGGGCCTTTGGGGCACGGGGCGGTCCCTCAGCAGCCTTCATCCTGTCCAGCCTCAGATTCAGGCTCCTGCAGTGCAGGCCCCACCTTCCTCCCAGGGTGTCTCCGCACTTCTCCCACCCGACTCCACAGCTGCGTCTCAGACCTCAGCCCTCCCTGTGCCCCTCCTGTCTTCTCCCATAACCCACCTTCCTCTCCACCTCACTCACTCTGCTCTTTCCTCTGGAGCCCCACTCTGGCTTCACTCCTTAGACCCTGGGACACCTATTTAGCTGATTAACTCCTTTTCACAGCCTCCACAACCAGCCTAGCACCAACCAAGGTTGCCTGGTAAACTGGACGCAGAAAACCCTGGTTCAAGCCCACCTCAACCATTAAAAGCTATCTGACCTTGGACAAGTCAGGTTTTTTTTACCCCCTCTGGCCCTCAATGTACTCCAAAATAAAATAGGGGCCATGTCCTGCCCATCGCAGGGGGCTTGTGTGGTGTTGAAGAGAAATAAACAAGCCATCTGCTGGGTAACAGACACACAGCACTGCTGGGCGCCAGGCCCCCTCCTAGGCACCTGATGCATATTAACTACTTCCAGTCCTCAGGACAACCCTGTGAAACAGGCACTCTTACTTCTCCCAACTCATACGCGAAGAAATTGAGGACCAGAGAGGTTAAGCAACTTGCCCAAGGTCTCACAGGAAGTAGCAAAATTAGAATTTGAACCCAGACAGTCTGGCTCCCGAAACCACTGTGTGACAAACGGACTTGAGAACCCCTTGGGAATGCCAAGGTACTGTTGGAAAGACAATCAGTCCCCTGGGCTAATGTCCCCTCCCACCACCGCCCCTGCCTCATCCCTCCCAGTGTCTCAGAGACCCCGTTTCCAGGTCCCCCACACC